>NC_000012.12:98369218-98672249 GCF_000001405.40 Homo sapiens | reverse complement strand
GAGGTTGCAGTGAGCCAAGATCACACCACTGCACTCCAGCCTTGGCAACATAGTGAGACTCTGTCTCAAAAATAAATAAATAAATAAATAAATAAAATCTTCATGGAAACAGCACTTATTTCAAAGGATTGTTATCTCCATTTTACATATGAGAGAAAAACCTGTAACTTGTTCAAAGTCACAGAATTATTAGGTTTTAGAACTGAGGCTCAAACCCAGTTCTGTGGCTCCAAAGTCCATGCTCCTCACCACTATACTAAATTACAGTAAGTCAAGCACTTAGTACTGAATACTTAGGATAATTTGTCCAAATGCCTTACAGGCATCTATTTATATGGATTCTTTGAAAATACAATCATTTTCTCCTATGCTTACTTCTCTAGAACTTTTCAATAAGTAAGAATGCTTATTAAAAGTTCCAGCCCTTTCGAAAGTAGTTAAATCCTCCTGGAGTGATCGTATTCACCACCTGAAAAATAATGATATAGTTAGCGCACCACTCCCTTTGGTTTCTCTCCTAACCTACTTACATCCATTCCAGGTAAAGCATTCCATTATCGACCTCCTGCTTGGCCTGCAGCTTAGCTTGCTGATAAACTTCTGAAGTTTCCGGCTCACAGAGACCCAGTTGTACAATATTAGGAAATGGCTGTCGTCCAAGAAGGTGTCCATTTAAAGATAAAAACTCCTGAAAATTCTCACTGACTGCACAATCCTACAAATAAACTGAAATCTCTTAGAAACACAATCAGAGCCACGATCTGACATTTTTCCATTTCTGTGATCTTGCCACTTTAAAAGCTTAAATGAAATATTCTTTATATGAACTAAAATTGAACAGCCAACCATTAAGTAACAAATATATAGTAATCCTCTTCTGACTTTTAAACATAGGGTAAAAATCTCATTATCAAACACATTTCTTAATACATTCTTTTTTTAAAAAAACCACTGAACATCTTATTTTCCTAGCTTTTAAACTTCAATCCTACCTACTTTCCCAGTAGGGTAGGAAGCAAATTAATTAGAATAACCAAAAATCAAAGGAGGGAAATTATCTTCACCCCTTCTATTCTGCTCATTCCCATCATTAAATCTAGAATTAAATGTAAAAAAAAATGAGATTCCTTTTTAGCACTAATTTTTCATGTTAATATATATACCTTTTCATCTAGTATATGTCTGTATTCCACAAATTCATGAATCAGATGAGCAGGGCCTACAAGTTCTGTTTTTGCTTTAATCCAATCCAGGGAAAACATTAAAGCACAAAGTTCCTTTAAAAAACAAAAAGTAGTATCAGCAGCACTGTTAGAGATCAAAAAATTTTAGGTATAACATCATTAACCTCACACTGCTAAGAGAAACAGTAAATATCTAGAATTTAAAGGATGCAAAAGCTAGTGAGAAAGAACACATCCATAGTTCCAAAGAAACATAAAATGGGCCTCATACTTCAGCTCCAAATAAACTCCAGTTGGTTAAAAATTTAAATAGAAAATAGAAAACATTTAAAAATACTAGAAAATAAAAATAAATATTTTTGTAAGCTTGTAGTGAAGGAAATCTTTGTAAACATGACCCCAAAGCAAAATATCAAACAAAAAGAAAAACTGCACTTAACTATATAAAAGTGTATTTAACTACATAAAAATTCAAATCTTCAATACAGTAGAAAGCAATATAAATTAAACTCAAGACCAAAGAAGTTTTAAAAAAATACTTATTTGTAACACATATGATAGATCAGGGCTTCAATCCTTATTTTTATAGAAAATTATTTTTTATAGAAAATTCTAATAAAACAGTAAGAAAAAGAAAAACACGTCAAGAGAAAAAATAGGTAAAGGAGGTAAAAGCAAACAAAGGATGGGAGCCACAATTCACAAAACAAAAAGCACAGATGGCCAAAATCTCACCGGTAATCAAAGGAGAACAAGAAAAATTTACCATTTTTAAAGTATCAGATTTCTGAAGACTAAAGGAGTAACAAGAATATTAGCTGGGGCTGAGCACAGTGGCTCACACCTGTAATCCCAGCACTTTGAGAGGCTGAAGAGGGTGGATTACTCGAGCCCAGGGGTCAAGATCAGCCTGGGCAACACAGTGAAACCTCAACTCTACAAAACATACAAAAATTAGCCGGGTGTGGTGGTGCACACCCGTGCTCCCAGCTACTCAGGAGGCTGAGGTGGAAGGATCACCTGAGCCCAGGAAGTGGCGGTTGCAGTGATTTCAGCTGAAATCATGCCACTATACTCCAGCCTGGGCAACAGAGTGACATCCTGGTGAGATCCTGTCAAAGAAAGGGCAAGGGCAGGAAGAGGGGAGGGCAGGAAGAGGGGAGGGCAGGAAGAGGGGAGGGGAGGGGAAGGGAGGGAGGAGAGGAGAGGAGGTGATTAGCTAGAATCAGAGGAAATGAACACTTTCAACCACTGTTGGTAGGCATGTAAAACAGGGTACCCTTCTGGAGAGCAGTCTGGCAATCTGTATTAAAATTTAAACTGCACATACTATTTGACCCAGAAATTCCACTTATAAAAAAGTATCCTAAGAAAATAACCAGATGAATATGCTTAAACAATCTAATTGTCCATCAACCAACTGGCCATTCATAATGTAGCTATACAATGAAATAATATGCAGCTTTAAAAATCATGTCACTCTATATAAATGACATGAAAAGATGACCATTCAATGTAATTAAATGGTAAAAAGCAATATATGAGACTATTTCTATTATGATCCCATTTGGTTTTAAGAGACAAGTATGTTTATAGAAGCAGCAAAATGATCTAGAAAACTATACACAAGAGCATTAGTAATGGTTGTGATCTCTGTTTTCCTTTTCATCGTTTTTTTCTGTTTTTCCAATGAAAATCAACCATTACCTTTAAAGTCAGAAAAAAGGCTAAAGAGAAACTGAATCCTGCCACACTATCATACATGTCAAAAGCTTTAAAAAGATGCATTGGCTCAGTAATTCTACTTCTCGGAATTTGCCAAGGAAACAACATAGGTACAAAGATAAACAAGAATGCTCATTACATCATAAGGACCAAAAAAACTGAAAACCTAAATGTTCGATAACTAGAGTTTGGTTAAGTAAATTAGGGCACAAGTATTTATTGGAATACCATCATTCCAATATACACTATTAAATGTAAATATATTTTGCTAGATAAAAAAACAAACTACAACAATTTACTATGTATCATAACCAAGAAATAACATACCTGAGCATAGAAAATTTACTGAAAGTACATATGGTTTTCCAAATGTAAACATTTTTAGTAGCTACTTGGTAGTCATGACTTCAATCAAATACCATCTATGTGCTAATAATTCCTTATTTTCATCTTTCATCTATAATTCTCCCCAGAATTCTAGACTCATATATCTAACTGCCTATTCAATATTTCCAGCCAGATGCCTTAATAGGTATATCAGACTTAATATATCCAAAATGAGTTCTTAACCATCCCCATTCTCTGCAGGAAAAAGCTTGTTCTCCCAAAGACCCCTGTTTCAGTTCATGGACTCCGTTCTTTCCACTGGGGTTTGAGTCATCTTTGATTCTTGGAGTCATCTTTGATTCTTCTCTTTCTCGTATAATGCATACCAAACCCATAAGCAAATCATGATGATTCTACCCCTCTATCATCACTTTCTTTCCCCTTCCATGCTCTGTCCTTCTTCTGAGCACTTAACTACCCACTGAAATATAATAAATTTGTTTAATGTCTGCCTCCTCCCAGAACATAAACTCGTGAGAGCAATGACTTTGTGCCTGTGCTTTATCCTCTTAATGAAGAGCAATATACATAACAAGCACTCAATAAATATTTATTGAATCAATGAATATACTTTTCCACTATCCATTTCCTCTCAAAGCTTACAAAACAAATCCATACTGCCCAAAAAGGAAAGCTACTAGTAAGAAGAGGATTAATTCTGAGGTGGTTCATTTACTAGTTACTAAGGTACCTTTTCTAATCACTACAGGTAAAAACAAAAATAATTATGCAAGCTATAATCCCATTTTTACTAATAAAAAATTATACTAATAAAACAATACATGTTTATGAACAGGACAGCAAAGCAAAATACCAAACAACGACGACAACAACAGTGGTAAATTTAACTACATAAAAATTCAAATCTTCAGCCAGCCGCGGTGGCTCATGCCTGTACTCCTAACACTTTGGGAGGCTGAAGCGAGTGGATCACTTGAGCTCACGTCAAGCTCAGGAGTTTGAGACCAGCCTGAGCAACATAGTGAAACCCCATCTCCACCAAAAATACAAAAATATTAGCCAGGCATGGTGGCATGTGCCTATAGTCCCAGCTACATGGGGGGCTGAAGTGGGAGGATCACTTGAGCCCAGGAGGTGAGGGTGTAATGAGCTGAGATTGTGCCACTGCACTCCAGCCTGAGAAACAAAGTGAGACCCTGTCTCAAAAAAAAAAAAAAAAAAAAAAAATCAAATGGAAAGCAATATGAACAAAATTCAAGACAAAAAATAACAGAAAAAAAGCACTTATTTGTAATACATATGGAAAAAGGGAAGTCAGATAAAAGAATTTTTAAATGGGTCATCTTACCTTGTGCATCTTGGCACTGGCCATGTGATAGGCCAGAAAGTTGTACCAATACATACAGTCTTCCTGATCTGGTGAAAGAGTATGCGGCTGGTGATATCTCTGAAACTGAGTGATTATCTTCTTATGTAGATCCTGCAACCCAATGAAACGTTTCAGAAGCCAGAAACAATTTTATAACCTAAGCATCACAGTAACTTCAGCTTCCAAAGCTATTAAGAATGTACAGAGAGGCCGGGCTCGGTGGCTCACGCCTGTAATCCCAGCACTTTGGGAGGCCAAGGTAGGAGGATCACTTGAGGCCAGGACTTCGAGACTAGCCTGGGCAACATAGAGAGATATCCGTATATTTAATTTTTTTACAAAAAATAAAAAATAAAAAAAATCAGTCAGGTGTGGTGGCATATGCCTGCAGACCCAACTACTCGGGAATTAGCTACTCAGGACCAACCGAGCCCAGGAGTTTAAGATTGCAGTGAGCCACTGCATGCCAGCCTGGGCAACACAGTAAGACCCTGTCTCAAAAAAAAAAAAATACATATATATATACAGAGAATCTCCCCACAAAATAATGACTTTACAGTGCAGAAACCTGGCAGATACCACTTTAAACAAATTATCAACATTAACATCACCCATAATAAAACATATCAACACCAGGAGTCTGGGAATAGTGGCTCATACCTACAATCTCAGCACTTTGGGAGGCCAAGACAGGTGGATCACTTGAGCCCAGGAGTTCAAGAACAGCCTGGGCAACATGGCAAAACACTATCTCTACAAAAAATTTTTTAAAAACCACCAAGTACTCTCAGCCTATGACGCCACTGAGAAAGATACAACATCATTGGTATTCTTGCCAAATATCTATAACTTCAATCTAGTCAGGAAAAACATCACACAAAACCAAATTTGGGTATACTGTACAAAATTACTAGCCAGTACTCTTCAAAGGTGACAAGGCCATGAAAGATAAAGACTGATAAATTTTCACAGATTTGAGGAGACGGAAAAAAATGACAAGTAGGGAAACAAGACAATCATATGCAATACGGGATCCTAAATTGGCCTGGACTACAAAAAGAACACGTAGGTTAGTGAACAGTATTGTATCAATGTTAATTTTCTGGCTTTAACAACTGTACTATGGTTATATAAAATGTTAATATTAGGGGAAGCTAGGTGAAGGACTTATGCACAGAAACTATCTACTATTTTGTAAATTTTCAATAAATCTAAAATTATTTCAAAGGAAAAAGGAAAAAAAAAAGTAAACCAAGATGCAAGTACCTGAAGCTGGCTGCAATTCTTCTCTGTAAGAAAATCTACTTGAAGATCATGTAAATAATAACGAAACGACTTTCCATTCCGATCACAGAATAAAAGAGACTTATTTACAAACTCCTGCAGTATGTCTTCAACTTCTTCAGTTTCCATGTCCCAGAGAATACATAACACCTAGGAATTGTTGTAAGTATTTAATATGCCACAAAAGTACAATGACCAGGACTGTAGACAGGTATTATCACACACACAAAAAAACGGTATCTTAAAGCCCTGAGTAAGAATGTCTCCATTTCTTAAGAAGAAACTCAGCTACTCCTCAAGATAGAAAAGAGAAAGAGAAGTCAGATGCTTCTTCAGCTGCACTAGAACCACAGAAATAGGTTAACTCCTGAGTTCAACACAAAGCCCTTAATGGAAGCTAACAGCAGAGGGATTTCTACACCCAACACCCCACCACCTCAGTCCCCTGGGTCTTATCCTTCCAAGGTTCTCTGTAACAACATGCTCAGTACTATATCAAAGCTTACATGCAATAAATACCCAATGATGAGGATCATTGATCCCATTACCTTTGTAGGCACCTTAACGTCCTTCTGAAGGATGGAAAGATCTGTGTAATAATCTTTGATGTCTTCTCTGAGCATTTCAACACTTATAGACATGGCTTCATCTAGAGCCTCATAATCATAAGACGAAGATTTCCTTATTCTCTTAAACTGCTTATTCTGAAGCTGTTTGAGGTAGTACTCCCAGCGATTGGGAAAATCACGTAAAAGTGCACCAATTAAAGATACTACAAGGGGAGAGCCTTTAAAAAAAAAATGAAGTCACTATGCTAATACCATCCTATTTTGTCACTAATAAGAATCGACTTACTTACTTACATTACTAAGAAACAATTTCTGCTGCATGTTATCAAAAGCCTTAAGTATTTATCACTCTTGACTTCACTTCTAGATATTTATCCCAAAAAAAATTAGAAATAAGAAAGATTTCATTCAGTAAGTTCCTGATTATCTTTATTAAGTCAAAATAACATAGATCAAATCTGGCTAAGATGTCATTACAAAAAAAAAAAAAAATATATATATATATATATATATATGCGCCAGTCTAAGCAATATAATGAGACCTTGTCTCTACTAAAAATAAAAATTAGAAAAATCAGCCAGGTGTGGTGGTGTGTGCCTATAGTGCCGGCTACTTAGGAGGCTGAGGTGGGAGGATTGCTTCAGCCCAGGAGGTTGAGGCTACGGTGAGCCATGACAGCACCACTGCATCCTAGCCTGAGGAACAGTGTGAGACTCTGTCTTAAAGAAAAAGAAAAGAATGATTAAGTTTAAGGATATTCATCACAGCACACTTAGAATAGTGAAAAAATCTTAAACAACGTAAACAATGTCCAATAATACAGAAGTGGTTGAATAAATTAAGATATATCAATATTATGCCACTGGTAAATTTTTTTCAAAAAAATATTTAACAACATGGGAAAATGCTCAAGATATAGAAAAAGGGTAAGATCCAGCTGGGTGTGGCGACATGTGTCTGTAGTCCTAGCACTTCAGGAGGCTGAGGTGGGAGGATTGCTTGAGGGCAGAAGTTTGAGACCTGCCTGGGCAACATAGTGAGACCCTGTCCCTACAAAAAAATTTAAAAATTACCCAGGTGTGGTGGTGGGTATCTGCAGTCCCAGCTATTCAGGAGGCTGGGGCAGGAGGATTGCTTAAGCCAAGACATTCAAGCCTGCAGTGAGCTGTGATCTTACTGCACTCCAGCCTGGGTGACAGAGCAAGACCCTGGCTCTTTAAAAAAAAAAGGGCAAAATCCAAAACCACATATACATAATCTCAACTTTTTAAATCTTTGTTCTAAAAGACTGGAGGCAATACTCTCATGATGCTAATAATTATCAGGTTATGGATAATTTCTATTTTTTTTTTAGTTTCACACATTTTCAAAATGGACATGCATCACCCTTTGTAATAACTACAAATTAAGCATTTTTTCTAAGTGTAAGATTTCTTTAAAAATTAACAAAACTGGCCACGTGTGGTGGCTCACGCCTGTAATCCCAGCACTTTGGGTGGCTGAGGCAGGTGGATCACGAGGTCAGGAGTTCAAGACTACCCTGGCCAAGATGATGAAACCCCATCTCTACTAAAACTACAAAAATTAGCTGGGTGAGGTAGCACGCACCTGTAATCCCAGCTACTAGGGGGCTGAGGCAGGAGGATCACTTGAACCTGGGCAGCAGAGGTTGCAGTGAGCAGAGGTCGCACCACTGCACTCCAGCCTGGGCGACAGAGTGAGACTCGTCTCAAAAAATAAATAAAATAAATAAATAAATAAATAAACAAACAAAACTGTGTGTCTATTTGATGGCAGAATGAAAAATAAGGTGGCCAGGTATGGTAGCTCATGCCTATAATCCCAGCACTTTGGGAGGCTGAGGCGGGCAATCACCTGAGGTCAGGAGTTCGAGACCAGCCTGACCAACATGGCGAAACCCCGTCTCTACTGAAAATACAAAAATTAGCTAGGCATGGTGGAACATGCCTGTAGTCCCAGATACTCGAGAGGCTGAGGCAGAAGAACTGCTTGAACCTGGGAGGCAGAAGTTGCAGTGAGCCGAGATCACGCCACTGCACTCCAGCCTGGACGACAGAGTGAGACTTGTCTCAAAAGAGAAAAAAAAAGAAAAAGAAGAAAAATAAGGTATTTCCAAGCATAACAATAATGAAAGAAATAATTTTAAGAGTTGATAGATTTGACTGTTTAAAATTTTAAGCTTCTATATGTCAAAAGAATACAACAAATAAAAGGTACACAAAAAACTGGGTAACAGGCTGGACATGGTGACTCATGCCTGTAGTCCCAGTGCTTTAGGAGGCTAAGGCAGGAGGATCATTTGAGGCAAGTAGTTCAAGACCAGCCTGGGCAACACAGCGAGATTCTATATATAAATTTTAAGTTAAAAAATTGTTTTACTGGGAAATAATACTTGTAAAAATATGACAAAGAGCTAATAGTTTCTATTTTTTGAGTATTTAGAAATAAATTAAAAATACTTATATCAAAAAAGAAAAGTGAGTCAAGGATAATTTCTTAAAGTCAAGGATAACTTCTTAAAACGTATTCAATAAACAAGTAAAAAGTTTAACTTCGCTAAAAAAAAATGCAAATTAAGACACCAGTTTTTACTTACCAAATTAGAACACTATTTTTATAAAATCCCAAGCAAAAACAAGTTTTAAAATCTGATTCTCACTCTATTTTTAACTCTAACAGCAGAGGTCACATCTGTGTCTCACTTCTCTCACTAATGTGGTCTCTAACACACTGTGGGTAGATGGTAAATATTATTTTAATGAATAAATAAATACCATAATATCATGTATCCATTTAAGATATCAGAGAACCTAAAATACTAAATCTCCCAGAAAAGTTTTTGGATGTTCATGTGCTAAATTACCATATTCATTAGCTCAATTAACAAAAGGGAAATTATATAACTCCCTATAATCTCCTCATAAACAAATAAATAACCATACCTTTACATTCTTTTATAATACTATGAGCTTGTTCTGGCAAATCTGCCTTCTTCATATTAACAAAAAGGGATAAAATTTCAAGTCCTTTTTCCTTTCCTAAGGAACTCTCCACAGGGACTACATATTTAGGACCTGCAAACAAAAATCACAAGACAAAGTAAGTAATTTGGTATGTCACATATTTAAATGTAATTAAATTAAATATAAAGGTACTAAAAAGTAAACGAATAATCCTTACCCATTACTGAATCTGTAACACTCTTGTCTCTGGTTGTAAGAAGAATCTGACACTGACTGTCAAAAGCTTTCAACACCCAAGAGTCCCAAACATCATCCAAGATCAAGAGAGACCTAATTTAAAAAAAAAATATTAATCACTAATGACACTTATCTTAAGCTTCCTTTTAAAAAGATAATCCCACCAGTGTCTTTTAAAATCTACCAAATTAAATTTTTTTTAAAACAAATAGATGGCTAGATCTAGGAAAATGATTCTTCCTCTTTGCTATACTCTTCTCAATATGCTGATTCAAATAAGGAAAAAAAAAATTAGAGACTGCCTTCTCCTCAAACCCTAAATCAGAACATATTAAAATTACAGATCCTACCATAAAAGGTTCAGCCATCACTTACTGAGTGCCAAAAAAAAAAAAAAAAAAGCGACCATTACTATCCAAGTAATGGGATTTTCCAACTCAGTCTTTAAGCACCAAAACCAAACTAGAACTGAGCTCAGGTTAGCATTAGAATGAATCATACAATAATGATGATATGTGACCATTTTTTACCTAAAAACTAGCAATTTCATATGTTGTAATCTAAAAGAATATTACCTTTCATTTGGTATACAAGTGGTTTTTTTTAATCAATTTGTTTATTCATAGTAACCAAGAACCTCTATGCCAGTTCCCAGTTGTTCTCTCCAAAAACTTTTCTAAACTCACTAGAACAGATGAGGGGAAAAAATATAACTAAAACCTGATAGCATAATTATACAATAACATTTTTGTCTGAATGACACACTATGGCTGTGCATTACAAAAAAAAAAATACTCTAGGCCTGTAATCCCAGCACTTTGGGAGGCCAGGGCAGGCGGATCACCTGAGGTCGGGAGTTTGAGACCAGCCTGACCAACATGGAGAAACCCCGTCTCTAATATAATATTAGCCAGGCGAGGTGGCACAAGCCTGTAATCCCAGCTACTCAAGAGGCTGAGGCAGAGAATCGCTTGAACCCGGGAGGCAGAGGTTGCAGTGAACCGATATCGCACCATTGCACTCCAACCTGGGCAACAAGAGCGAAACTCCATCTAAAAAAATAAAAATAAAAATAAAAATAAAGAAATACTCTAGGCACATACATAGGTTGAAAAATTACAAAAGCACAAACCAAATGAGACTGAGAGATTAAAAAAATATGCCTGGCTTTGTAAGCTAGTCTGACACATCTGAAAGTGGCTACATTATTTTACTCAACAGAAGTCAATTTTAATTTTGCAAAAAAGGAAAAGTAGAACTAGGGAAAAGTTACTGAGCAATTAAAGAGGGAAGGGTTAGTGATCTCAATCCTATTTCCTCTACACAGATCAATATCAAGAGAAGGAGGGGCCGAGCGCAGTGGCTCACGCCTGTAATCCCAGCACTTTGGGAGGCCAAGGTGGGCAGATCACGAGGTCAGGAGATCAAGACCATCCTGGTTAACACGGTGAAACCTCATCTCTACTAAAAATACAAAAAATTAGCCCGGCGTGTGGTGGGGAGCCTGTAGTCCCAGCTACTAGGAGGCTGAGGCAGGAGAATCACTTGAACCCAGGAAGCGGAGCTTCAGTGAGCAGAGATTGCACCATAAAAATATAACGAATATGCATCAGAATCACCTAGTAGGCTTTTCCCAAAAATACTCTTCTCACCCTATATTCTGATATTAATACCCTTACCAATTTGAGAATCACTGCCATACTCAGCAACTGCTACATATGAAAGTATACTGCATCCTTGGGTGCATTAGGGCATTTTTAAAAAGTGCAGAGCCACTACCTAACTCTCACTCAGTATACTATAACATTCCCAAGGAATGCTTTATTTATCTTTGTACTTGCAGCACTTGGCCCAGAACCTGGCACAACACTCAATGTTGGTTAAATGAACAAATGAAAGAGAGGCTGTTAAGATGACAGAAATCAAATTGTTGACTGAATCCAAGGTTATACTCTTAAGACAAGCAGCAACTAAACTGCTGTCTCCCTTTTGGCTAATGAAAACTGTGAAACACTTGATAACAGTGCCTGGCACATAATTATAATGGTAAGTATTTGCTGAATTAATTAACTGTTGAACAAACAAAACAAACTCACTCCTGAAGTACATGGAAGTAGAAGAGTTACACGTATATTTCTAGAAACTAAGACAATCAAACAGAAGAGCCCCATTAAAAATCCTTCCTGACTTTTTTTTTTTAATTGAAACAGGGTCTTCCTCTGCCACCCAAGCTGGAATACAGTGGCACAATCTGGGTTCACTGCAGCCTCAATCTCATAGGCTCAAGTGATCCTCCCACCTTAGCCTCCTGAGTAGCTGGGACCACAGGTGTGTACCACCACACCAGATTAATTTTTGTATTTTTTAGAAAGACAGGGTTTCATCATGTTGCCCATGCTGGTCTCGAACTCCTGGACTCAAGCAAACTATCCACCATGGCCTCCCAAAGTGCTGGGACTACAGGCATGAGCCACTGTCCCTGGCCCCTTCCTGACATTTATCAGTTGCCTGCATTTATTCTCTGTTGTTCTATGTTAACCCATTAGAAATAACGGATTCAAAGTAAGAAGTTTGCACTTTCTAGCAAAGACCACTCACCAACTCACCTACTTAAGACATTTCCTGAAAGCCTACAATGGTACATATGAGATGATGTGGTAGGTAGCATGCAAAGAGAAAAAGCAATTTTAGGCCGAGTGGCAGCCACTTTTTTTTTTCGTTTTAAATACAAGAGAGAAAAGCAGGAAAGCAATGGTTCTTTCTTTCTTTCTCTCTCTTTTTTTTTTTTTTTTTTTTCTGATGGAGTTTCACTCTTATTGCCCAGGCTAGAGTGCAATGGCACGATCTCGGCTCACTGCAACCTCTGCCTCCCGGGTTCAAGCGATTCTCCTGCCTCAGCCTCCTGAGCAGCTGGGATTACAGGCATGAGCCACCAACACCTGGCTAATTTTGTATGTTTAGTAGAGATGGGGTTTCACCATGTTAGTCAGGCTGGTCTTGAACTCCTGACCTCAGGTAATCCAACAGCCTCGGCCTCCCAAAGTGCTGGGATTACAGGCGTGAGCCACTGCACCTGGCCGCAATGGTTCTCTCTTATCCTCCCTATAGAACAGCAGGAAAAAGGCATGATGTTCTCAAGAGGTCAGTAGTTACATCTTATTGGGACATGGGACCTGACACACCAACTAAATTTGACCATCGGTACCTTGGGTGTTTGCGAAGCATCAGAATGCGGAGACGGTCTTTAGCCTCTTCAATATTAAGTGGAAGCCTCTGGGAAAAACTCTCATCCTGATCCAACCGTGTGCAAAGATTCTGCAGTTTCATCAGAAGCCCAGATTTGTCTTGTTTCCCAACTGAAACCCAATGCACTCCCCCTGGGAAACAACCTAGTGAGGGAAAGAATAATGAACTTAAGGCCTTTCAACAGGAGTACTCCTTTAAATGGTTTTACTGTTAAGCATCAGATTTACTCCAATTTACAATCCCATCACATCTTCAACTTCTCTTGATTTAGAGTAGAAATTTTACGTGCAAGATACTGGTAGGCTTTATATCCTGAATCTAAGACAAGTTGAAGATGTGAAGAAACTGAAGTTTGAAGTAAATCTGTGGCTTATCGGGAAAATCTTACCAAGTAAAGTTTTATGATCTTTGTCCTGTGTTGTCAGTGATCACTGCACAGCACAGTTTCTAAACCTTGTACTTCTGACTTTTTGGGATGGCAATTCTTTGTTGTAAGGGACTGTCCTATGCATTATAGGATGTTTAACAGCCTTTTTGGTCTCTATCCACTAGATGCCAATAGGATTCCCCTTCACCAGTACTGACAAACAAAAATGTCTCCAAACATTGTCAAATGTCACCTGGGGGGGTGTGAAATCACCCCTCGTTGAGAACTACTGATGTCCTGGAACATATAACTCACCCATTATGGTTTTCTTATACAGACTTAAAATAGGAAGTTAGACTCAAGTCTGGCTCTACTGCTTACTAGCTAAGCAATCTTTATCAAATCATTTAACCTCAGTCTCATTGATTATACTGAAATAAGGCTGTCTAGCCCACCTATTTCAGAGTTGCTGTGAAAAATTAATGATATAAAATATGTGAAATTGCTATGTTAAGTATAAAGGATTAAAACAGGTTATTAGTGTTATGGATCTGAGAGCAACTTACCAATATTAAGCTTCAAACTAGTAAACACTAGGAATGGCCATGATTATTATTACTGTTATCATCATCATTGTTAATTGAGCCATAAAACATCTTGAAATATGTATTTTTATTTACATATTGTCAGTAGCCAAAATCTTAAGTCTTCATAGACTATACTTAATCACCTCCACATAAATATACATATATAAAAAAGAGGGGTCCCTATGTGTAAAATATGGTAAACAGTAGCATTAGATCATTCCAGTAGCATCAATCATAAAGATTTATGTGATCTTAAACATACCAAAAAAAGCAAAAAACAGACTCAAAGATAAATGAATTAAATTACACCAAAGGGCAATTTATTTACTGGTATTCACAAATAATTAAATACAAATATAAATCACTACTTTAAAAACCTAATCACCCAAAAGAGATACTTGTATATATGCACAAAGATCTATTTACATCAGATATTTATTGGGCACTATTCTAAGAGTTCTCTGTATGTTCATTCATTTAATCCTATAGCACACTATCAAGCAGACACTATTATCTTCATTTTGAAAATGAGGAAACTGAAGAATAGAAAAGTTGAGTAATTTGCCCAAAGTTACACAGCTAATGAAGCAGAGTTGAGATTCAAACTTAAAGTATCAATGTTCAACTTCTACACTATTCTGCATCCACAAGAATATTCACTGCAGCATTGTTTGCAACAGGAAAAAGCTGGAAACAACCCACCTTAACCTACTATCCCATTGCAGGCTTCCAAAGTTTCAGGCAGGCCCAACTGAACCTTATATGTAAATGAAGTTTGGAGTACTGAATAGGACTTGACATATTAATTATGAAAATTAGACTTTTTATAACTTGAAGTGACATGGAGTCTTTGAACCTGCACAAGGTCAAGGAAAGGATCAGTCCCAGAAAAGAGGACGTAAGCAATGGTCTGGATGAAGCCTTGAGGAGCAAATACCTATTCCACTTCCCAGCATAGAGAAAAAAATCGGTTTTCACTCCAGATAAGGAGAGGACTAAAGAGTCAAGAGTATGTGCTAAGAAGCAACTGAATGATGGACAATAAAATGATGGACAATGATGGCTGAAGTCTAGGAGAGGACTGATAGTATGAATAGAGAGGATATTCTGGAATCAATGGATGAGAAGTCTTGGTAAGTCTATAGCATTAAACTTGAATAAAATGGGTGGAGGTGGGTAAAGAGTAGAAGAGAATGCTCAACATCAAGATTTCAAAAGTGCTGTAGTTCTAGTAATGACAAAGATCAGGGTCTAGCCTGTAATCAGGGAAGAGTTAAGAAATGTTCACAGGAGACAAAGAGGTTAAGGAGGTAAGAGGTTAAGGTTTTGGATGACTCATCCACACAGGTATCAAAATCACTAAGAGTGCTAACAGACAAAGAGCATAAGAGGAAGGTTATAATCTACGAACTCCAATCGTCAATGAATGAGACGGTGATTACATCAATAGGAAAGGTTAGAGACATGAACCTCAAAGCATTCAGCTGGAGAAGGGAGTATTAATGGTCTGGATGAGACAACAGAGAGCAAGAACAACGCCCACCCATTTCCTGGTGCTAAAGTATGTAGGATATAAAGGAAAAAAGTTGCCATGTCACTTAAGAAGGTTATGGAGAAGGTAGTAAACTCAGGAAACTGCCCAGTTTCAGATAAGGCAAGACGGCGAATATTCTAAGAAGTTGATGATACAAGAGAGTTTCCTGCTCACAGAGGAGTTCTACAGGGTATGGCAGAAACACATAGGAATGACAGAAGAAGACTTAGATCAGAATTTGGCAATGTACTGAATAGTGACTGCATGAAAGTCTAAAATATAACAAACAACTGGAGACAGAGAACTCTACAGTAACTGAGGTAGAGACAGGGCTGTGAAGCCTGGTTTGATTATCAGTGCCAATGTCTTAGAAGAAGGTAGACAAGCCCTACTGCTTACTCCTAAAGTTTCCTGAGGTCCCCTCAGGCCTCCTTCAGTGTAAGTTTGCAGTTATGAAACAGCAAGTCCTTGAGACTTCACTTAAACTTAAAGCTGTGTTCTGTATGTGTATATATTTATAATTGCAGAGAATAAAGTTTGGAAAAATTTACTCCGAATTGTTAACCAAGATTATCTCTAGGATAAGATTTAGAATTTAGAGCCTGGCACGGTGGCTCCCAGCACTTTGGGAGGCCAAGGTAGACAGACTGCTTGAGCCCAGAATTTCGAGACCAGCCTGAGCAACATGGTGAAACCACGTCCCTAAAAAAATACAAAAAATTAGCCAGGCAAGGCCGGGCGCGGTGGCTCATGCCTGTAATCCCAGCACTTTGGGAGGCCGAGGTGGGCGGATCACAAGGTCAGGAGATCGAAACCATCCTGGCTAACACGGTGAAACCCCGTTTCTACTAAAAATACAAAAAATTAGCTGGGTGTGGTGGCAGGTGCCTGTAATCCCAGCTACTCGGGAGGCTGGGGCAGGAGAATGGTGTGAACCCGGGAGGCCGAGCTTGCAGTGAGCCGAGACCGCGCCACTGCACTCCAACCTGGGCGACAGAGTGAGACTCTGTCTCAAAAAAAAAAAAAAGAAAAATTTTGGCCAGGCAACGTGCTGTGCGCCTGTGGCCCAGCTACTCAGGAGGCTGAGGTGGGAGGATGACCTGAGCCTGGAAAGTTGAGGCTGCAGTGAGCCAGGATCATGCCACTGCACTCCAGCCTAGGTGACAAAGTGAGACTCTGTCTCAAAAATAAAAATAAAAAGATTAAGAATTTAGGAGAAAGCAAAAAGGAACAAGTAAGGAGAACTTTTATTTCTTTTTCTTTTTAAATGAAAATACTACGGCCGCCCCTACTGGGAAGTGAGGAGCCCCTCTGCCCGGCCAGCCGCCCCGTCCGGGAGGGAGGTGGGGGGGTCAGCCCCCTGCCCGGCCGGCCGCCCCGTCCGGGAGGTGAGGGGCGCCTCTGCCCGGCCGCCCCTACTGGGAAGTGAGGAGCCCCTCTGCCCGGCCACCACCCCGTCTGGGAGGTGTGCCCAACAGCTCATTGAGAACGGGCCAGGATGACAATGGCGGCTTTATGGAATAGAAAGGCGGGAAAGGTGGGGAAAAGATTGAGAAATCGGATGGTTGCCGTGTCTGTGTAGAAAGAAGTAGACATGGGAGACTTTTCATTTTGTTCTGCACTAAGAAAAATTCTTCTGCCTTGGGATCCTGTTGATCTGTGACCTTACCCCCAACCCTGTGCTCTCTGAAACATGTGCTGTGTCCACTCAGGGTTAAATGGATTAAGGGCGGTGCAAGATGTGCTTTGTTAAACAGATGCTTGAAGGCAGCATGCTCGTTAAGAGTCATCACCAATCCCTGATCTCAAGTAATCAGGGACACAAACACTGCGGAAGGCCGCAGGGTCCTCTGCCTAGGAAAACCAGAGACCTTTGTTCACTTGTTTATCTGCTGACCTTCCCTCCACTATTGTCCCATGACCCTGCCAAATCCCCCTCTGTGAGAAACACCCAAGAATTATCAATAAAAAAATAAATTAAAAAAAAAAAAAAAAAAAGAAAATACTACTTTAAAAATATTTAAACAAACAAAAACAGACAAATAAACTATCTGTTGCCTTAAGTTTCCATTTTTTTAAATTTGTACTACCTAAAATTTGTAAAAATCGGCCAGGCACAGCAGCTCACACCTGTAATCCCAGAACTTTGGGAGGCCGAGGCGAGGGGATCACTTGGGTCAGGTGTTCGAAACCAACCTGGCCAACATGGTGAAACCCCATCTCTACTAAAAATACAAAAATTAGCCGGGTGTGGTGGCACACACCTGTAGTCCCAGCTACTTGGGAGGCTGAGGCAGGGGGACTGTCAAGAGGCAGAGGTTGCAGTGAGCTGAGATCATTGCACCCCAGCCTGGGCATCAGAATGGGGCTCTGTCTCAAAATAAAATAAAATAAAATAAAATTTGTAAAAATCATCCCAAGATTAAAGGTAAAGAAAGCATCCTGATATGGCTACCTAGTAAATTCTTTCATATTTTAATTTATGTACCTATTACCTAGGGTCAAAGGCCTTTTTCCCTAAATGTATAACTAAAAATTTAGGGCATTTAAATACATGCAAGAAAAGAGAAAACACTACCAGCTTTAAAAAGGCAAACAGACCAAATGACCATCTGATATGTAAATCTCTAACCATCACAATATAACATTTAGTTAAAAACTGAACCATTAATTCCACATTTCAGAAAGAATCTAAACATCTTGACTATGGGCACAAGAGGGAGCAATTTAGCTTTGCATGAGGAGGCTGTATTTACAATTCACTCAGAGAAACTAATTCAGAGAAAAGTTGCCTTTATTCAGGGAAAACTCCACACTACTTTCACAGGAGGCTTATCCTGGTAGCAATTAATAATCTAATAACACAAAGAAATCTTGGAAAGGACAGAAACAAATAGGAACACAGCCTATGAAGAAAGCATCCATGATTAAAAACCAACATACGAATACAGTAATGTAAAATGTCACTACTGTATTTAAAGATACGTCAATTCTTTACTATTTCCCTACAAATAAGAAAAAATTAAAGCATTGAAATTTCAAAAGACAACTGGGTTACTTAAAACTGTATAGACATAAATAGTTAAAAACTATATATATATATATATATATATATATATATATTTTTTTTTTTTTTTTTTTTTTTTTTTTTTTTTTTTGAGACGGCATCTCACTCTGTCACCCAGGATGGAGAGCAGTGGTGCAATCTTGGCTCGCTGCAACCTCTGCCTCCCATGTTCAAGCGATTCTTATGCCTCAGCCACCTGGGTAGCTGGGATTACAGGCATGCGCCACCACGCCCAGCAAATTTTTGTATTTTTAGTAGAGACGGGGTTTCACCATGTTGGCCAGGCTGGTCTCAAACTCCTGACCTCAAATGATCTGTCCACCTCGGCCTCCCAGAGTGCTGGGATTACAGGCACGAGCCACCACACCCAGCTAAAAGTTAACAACTTAATATTCTTTAATTTATGCCAATCACCACCCAAAGAAAACATTTCCATAGGAACCACAATTTTAATCAAATTTAGATCTCTTATATTATCTGTACTTTTAAAAGAAAAGGTTTTGCAATACAATTAAATGTCAAAAATCCAATGTTCCTGTATTTGAGAATGGAAGTGAACTCCAGAGATTAAAATTTATCTTTGGGAAAGCACCTATTCTTGAATTAGTGGACATACAAAGGCAGACTCCAGAGAATAAAGAACTAAATATGAATAATAAGACTGTAATAGGACTACTTGAACAAAACTCAGGAAACACAAGTTAGAAGACAAAAAAAAAAACTGATTAGTTTGACTACATCAGAGTTCTCGTCTACTGAGAACACCCAGGAAAAAAATTAATCAGATGGCAAATTAAAATAAGGTATTTAAAAGTCTAAAACCAGCTGAGCACAGTGGCTCACGCCTGTAATACCAGCACTTTGGGAGGCGAGGCAGGGGGATCACCTGAGGTCGGGAGTTCGAGACCAGCCTGACCAACATGGAGAAACCCCGTCTCTACTAAAAATACAAAATTAGCCAGGCGTGGTGGTGGGTGCCTGTAATCCCAGCTACTCAGAAGGCTGAGGCAGGACAATCGCTTGAACCTGGGAAGCAGAGATTGTGGTGAGCCAAGATCGCGCCATGGCACTCCAGCCTGGGCAACAAGAGCGAAACTCCGTCTCAAAAAAAATAAAATAAAATAAAATAAAAGTCTAAAACCAACAAAGTTTAATGTCTAGAATATATAAGAAACTCCTAAAAAGCAAAAAGAAAAAAAAATTGGAAACCCCAATGGAAAATAGACAAATAATATAAACAAAATCCATAAAAAAAGAAACCCAAAAGGCTAACAACAAGCTTATGAAGAAATGTTCAAACTTGAGTTACCAGAGAAATGCAAAGTAAAAGACACAACTTTATAGAAGTTTGCCTGGCAAAAATTACAAAGCTGGATCATACCAACCGTCACTGCACAAGTAGAATTATCGGAGTCCCCATACTCATCTGGGGGAAATGTACAGACTGGAGGGGAATCAAATTTGGTATTTGTATATCCTATCATTTAGTAATTTTGGCTGGACATGGTGACTTTCATCTGTAACCCCAGCACTTTGGGAGGCCAAGGCGGGAGCATCACTTGAGCCCAGGAGTTTGAGACCAGCCTGGACAAGATAGCAAAAACCTGTCTCTACAAAAAAATGTTTAAAAACACACCAAGCATGGTGGCTTACACCTGCAATTCCAGCACTTTGGGAGGCCAAGGTGGGTGAATTGCTTGAGCTCAGGAGTTCGAGACCAACCTCGGTAACATGACAAAACCCCAACTCTACAAAAAATACAAAAATTAGCTGGGTGTGTCAGCATGCACCTGTGGTCCCAGCTACTCCGGAGGCTGAGGTGGGAAGATCACTTGAGCCCAGAAGGCAGAGGTTGCAGGGAGCCAAGATTGTGCCACTGCACTCCAGCCTGGGTGACAAAGCAAGACCCTGTTTCATAAATAAATAATTAGCCAGGCATGGTGGCGTGTGCACCCAGCTCCTCAGGAGGCTAAGGTGGGAGGATCACTTGAGCCTAAAAGTTTGAGGCTGCAGTGAGCTATGATATGGCCACTGCACTCAGCCTGGGCAACAGGGTGACACTCTGTCTCTTTAAAAAAAAACAAAAATAAATAAATAATTACTAATTTTGCTCCTAGCTACAAATACCCAAGAAATTCTTACTCACATAGAAGTTCAACCCAGCTTTGCTGCAGCAGCAGAGAGTTGGATACAATCTACATATCCATTTACTTAGGGTAATGAGCAGTAAAATGGGTTGGTGGCAATCAGGTGTAACAAATAACATGTATACATAGCAACAAGGATAAATCTTAAAAACATTGTGTCATGGGAGATAAAAAACAGAATAATACCATAACATCTATGCAAATTTAAAATACCTGCATACCAACAACATACATATTTTACAAGAGTACACACTTTACACAGACATTTACAAAGAACATACATTAAATACATTAGGATTGTCCATGGAGAGGGGAAAGGAAATAAGAATAGGAAATTTTGAAATGGAAATAAATAAATACAGTGAAAAGCTCAGCCTAGTACAGATCTACTATAATAAGCCGTGAACTAAGGAATATGAATAACTCAGTCCTCTGAACTTGAGATCCCACAAAAGTACGAGGAATATGAATTAAGCTCACATGTACAGTTGCCAGTATCTCTAGGATTTTCTCAAAACAAAGTAGTTAAAACCTGTTCCAAGATAACAATTTATACAATATGACTCCTGAATATTTAATTCCATAGATTGTTAGTCAATTTTAATCCCTAGAATTGAAAATTCATCACAATAATGTAGAGCAATTTAAATGGGGAGAGGGAGTGTTCTTTTAAACCTATAAATTGGAATATTATAAATACACAAAGAAAGTTCATAATATTGAAAGGAAAACTCATTCCTTCACACTAAAGGAACTTAAGCTAAATTTATCCTGAAATATCCTTAGTGATCAACTTTGCAGTAGGGGCTTAAAAAAATCCTTGGCTCTGAGACTTGAAAGGAGCTAAGTCTCAGGAAACTTCTCTGTAATGATAGAGGGGAAAAACCAAGGGTTAGGAATCAGGCATACTTCTGACAAGAGTATAGTCTATACCACTTACAAAGGCTATGAAATTAAACTGAGGCCATGTGTACACATAGATATACCCTAGCCTCCATATTTCTAAGTCTCTTAGAGGCTTACTACTTATTCCAATCATTCTGTCTAAACTGTCTTAACCGTAGATCATGTTATACATACATATCAAAAAAAAAAAAACAAAAAACTTTTTTTTGAGATGGAGTCTTGCTCTTGTTGACCAGGCTGGAGTGCAGTGGTGCGATCTCAGCTCACTGCAACCTCCGCCTCCTAGGTTCAAGTGATTCTCCTGCCTCAGCCTCCCGAGTAGCTGGGATTACAGGTGCTCACCACCACACCCAGCTGATTTTTTTTGTATTTTTGGTAGAGACGGGATTTCACCATGTTGCCCAGGCTGGTCTTGAACTCCTGACCTCAGGTGATCCACGCCTCAGCTGGGATTACAAGCATGAGCCACCGTGCCTGGCCTACTAAAAAAAAAATTATTAACTACTAGAAGTTGGGAACTGTCTTTGAATTCCCCTAGAAGTGTCATACAGAGAGAACACACTGATGAATGAGAACACACTGATGAATGGGGGCAGCCTAGAACTGATGGAGCTATACAACTATTCCTGATGAATACCCTGAGAACCTACCAGGATCGCTAAGGTCAGTGGTATACCTGCCAACATTTCTTAAACCCTCTTCTACCCAGTATGCCCTTCCCCACCCCAGTAACCACCCACTACCTTTCCCACCTTCCCTAGTCTCCCATCCCTACCTTCACTGCCTAGCTAACTTTTATTCTTTCTCCAAACTCCTGCTAAGATGTCATCTCATTCAGGAAGCTTGTCCTATCCATCCCCTCCCTTCAGAGAGTTAACATATCCTTCCTTTGTTCTAACTCTGTACCTTATACTTGTTTCTACCATTCAATTTATCACGTATTGATATATCATAATATTTTTACATGTCTATCTACCTTACTAGACTATGAAATGGACTAAGACACTTACCTTCTAAAAGGGAATGATCTCTAACAGCTTCTGCAGCTAATACAGACTTCCCACAGCCTGCCATTCCATGTATGGTGACCCATCCTGGTTCACCTTTCAATTTGGAGAGCTTCTGCTGAATTGCATTCACCAGCTTCTTCCTTGTGACAAAAACAACTGGCCTCTGTGGTACTCCACCTTCACACAGGACTGTCCTTACTAAAATCCAAAACAAAACAAGCATGAATGAATAGAACTTTGGAATAATTACTGAAGTAATACCATAAAAAACAAAGAGCAAAGCTGAGGCTTAGCCTGAAAATTTCCAAGAGAAGTTAAGAAAATGTGGCTAGCATATTAACTTCAATTTTCTGATTTCTCAGACAACAGAGAGCAAAGACAAACATATATCCTTCAAGATGACTAAAGAAAATGGAAGTTTCTATCTATATCTGCTTTACTCACCCAATTATTTCCTGACTTTTCATTCCCTCTCATATTGAAGACTGGGAAGGCAAGTGTAAAAGGAAGAACATTTATGGAATACCTTTCAAGAACATATATTTCTAAAGATTCTTATTTTTTCCTATAAACTCTATAAACACATAGAACTGGAAAATAAACAAGGGCCTATAAATTGTCTTATTGTCTCTAAAAATTAGGGTAGACATATTATTATCTCAGCAGTACAGTTCACTGGGCAAGAAGAAAAGTTGAGAGTTAATGTGGATGCAAATAAAAAATATTTAAATTGAAAACATCACTACAATTTTTTTAACATGCAGTTTTCAGTGAACTGGTCACACTCTCTTCAAAAGATTACATCTACAATAAGACAAACCCAAAGCAATTTTGATAGCAAAGTGATAGAAGGTATAATGGATACAAACCATACGAAGTTATTCCACTAACTGAATCTTTACCACTGGAAGAAGAGACAACAGGAATGCCATCATGGAGAAGGGCAGCAAGATCTTTATATCCTTCATGTAGTAGAGCATTGTAGAATGATACGTAGGAATCATTATCTTTTTTAAGTATCATTTTAATCAGCATAGCTGCTCTTTGCTGTTGAGTGGGCTAAAAAAAATTAAGTAGTTTAGTATACAACAATGAATATGTATGCAACATAAAGTAGTGGAGACCAGTACAAGTTCTGAAATTCTAAAAATTTTTAAGGAAGTGTGGACTGCTTCAGAGAGCTTTACCTCATTTCTTACTTTTTCCTCTTCTGATATTGTTAAAAATCCATCACTAATCATGTGATCCATGATGTAGGATGTCTTGATGTCCTTTTCCAGAGCTTCTCTATGTTGAAGCAAACAATTTCGAGCTTTTGCATCCATCTTCCCTCAGATCTTTCTCTCTCTGAGCTGTCAACCATGAGCTACAGCCAAAACACCAAAATATTTGTCAGGCCAATAAAAATATGAAAAGATACATAATCTCACTAATAAACAAGAAACGTAAAAAGAACAAAACTGATTTTTTTTCCTTGGCAAAAATTTTTAAATGGACAAAACCCAGTGCTTGGAAAGGTATGAGAAAATGGCCATTCTTATGCACTAATTGGGGAAACTAGAAAATGAATGCAATTTTTCTGGAAAGCAGTAAGATATGGAATTGTTTAAAATAAGCTTTCTCTCTAACCCAGAAATCCCATTTCTAAGGATTTACTTCAAGGAGACATTCAAATACATATGTAAAAATATCCACAAGGAGAATTAATGAGTTTCCAATCAGGTGTGGTAGCTCAAGCCTATAATCCCAGCACATTGGGAGGCTAGAGTAAAAAATAAAAAGAAAAAAGAATTAATGGAGGATGTTTCAGTGATGAACGCAACCTAAATGTCCATCATTCTGAATATAGATTTTAAAAATTAGGGTATGTATATAAAATGGAATATTATGCAGCCATTCAAAATTATGACACATATCTCCATGTATTGACATGGAAAGATGTTCATAATACTGTTGCTGAAAAAAAAAAAAAAAAAAAACAGAAACATGATCCCACATACAACACATAACGTGGGGGCCGGGCGCAGTGGCTCATGCCTGTAATCCCAGCACTTTGGGAGGCCGAGGCGGGTGGATCACGAGGTCAGGAATTCAAGACCAGCCTGGCCAAGATGGTGAAACCCTGTCTCTACTAAAAATACAAAATTAGCCAGATGCAGTGGCAGGTGCCTGTAATCCCAGCTGCTCGGGAGGCTGAAGCAAGAGAACTGCTTGAACCAGGGCGGCAGAGGTTGCAGTGAGCCGAGACCACTCTACTGTACTCCAGCCTGGGCGACAGACTGAGACTCTGTCTCAAAAAAAAAAACAAGTGTTGGTATCATATGAATATATATAGACGTTTAGAAGTTTATTCATCGAAATGTTTGAGTTACTTCTGAGTAGCAAAATTTGGGATTTCTCCCCCACCTTGTCTTATTTTTTTTTTTTTTTTAGTACAGACGGGGTTTCACCATGTTGACCAGGCTGGTCTTGAATTCCTGACCTCAGGTGATCCACCCGCCACAGCCTCCGAAAGTGCTGGGATTACACTTGTGAGCCCCACCATGCCCGGCCTCTACTGTCAATTTTTTTTAGCACACATTATCATTTCTTACAATAAAATACTTCCTTTTTTAATTAAGATTGTATAAAATAGTGATTACATTGAAGTCCTAATATTAAGAGACTTCTTGTTTTCCTTATCAAACATAAGAGTGAATAGAGCATTGTTACTATTGAGTATTAGTTCTCGTTCAAGGAGGATGTCAGCTCTAGGTCCTCCTTGCTAAACACATTTCCCACAAAGCAACAGGAAACACTTTCTGATGTGATTTCTCAGACCAGGAGGACATGAGGAAAGAATAACAGCCTTTATAGTAAAATACTTGACGTTTCTAGCAACTTTATTTCAAATATAATGCAAATTTTTCCATGGGCATAAAACCCAGTTCACAATATCTGCAAGTTTTCAAAACATTAACAGAACTTTACACAATGTATAGAGTGAAAGAGTCTAAACGGGTTTATCAATTCATTCATTCAATACACATTTGTGCCCCTCCCTATATGTCAGACACCAAGACTACAGAAAAGATTGAGTCATTTGCCTGAAATAATTCACAGTCTACTCAAAGAAGAAAAAGAGAGAGAGAGTGGGAATGTGAATGCCCGAAGTGCAAAAACAGAGCACAAGTAACTTGGAGCTCACAGAAGGGGGCAATAATTATCAAGCTTCAATGACTGTTTTTGAAGTCACCAAATGTAGCACTTGGAAAAACAGGGACGGACGTAGGGCATTTGCCTATGCTTGTCAAGGCTTACAAAATGCCCAGCAGGGGCACAAAACTGATAAAAAGTTATTGATTCGAATCAAAACTCTCATTTTTTAAAATGTTAATAACGTTTTTGTCCTCTTAAACATAAAATGTTCCTTAATTTATAGTAATGAAATTCGATGTGAAAAAACAAGAATGAATGAATTTTTTAGGTGATGTCCAATAGCTAAGCAAATAAGACACTCTGGTTTTCTGAAACTAATTTCCAATTTCACCTAGTCCTGTTAAACTAAAATATGCAAATCTTAAATACGTTTTAAAACTGCACAACTTATCTGAACTAAGTCTCAAAACCTTTTGTAACCCACAACAAAATGGAAAGCCAAAACTCTTCATGGACGTAAAACAGAAAACAGCGCACGTTTATCCACGAAAACCCCAAGTTTACTACTTCCTCATTACAGAATTTCTCTTCCTGGTACAGGAGCAGGATGGTTATCAAATATTCCATGTCCTCAAATTCTCAGTCCCTGAAATCAGCTACCAAGCCTCCAAAGAACCTGGCTCGGGGAGAAAAGCGAGGAGGTCAACTTACCCAAGCCTTTGCGCCTAGGTCTTAGTGGGGAGGGCGGCACTGCCGGGACAAGACTGGGAGACTCCAGGCCGGTGGAGGGAAACGGCAACAGGAGTTTTCCACCGGGAATTAGGGGTGCAGGGCTCTGTCTCGCCACATACCCTTCGCCCCGGGGCAGGTCCGGGCCTCACAGGCGCCTCCCCTGGATCTCTGCAGCCCCGGGGCGCACGAAGACCCCCAGGGACCTCCGAAGGTTGGCGAGGTGGGCGTCCACCCAACGCAGCCTGACCCCACAGTCCCGGAGCGCCGCGGTGAGGCCCGGCCCACGGGCCGCCCTCCGGTGGACCCCACTACTGGACACAAAGGGAGGAGGTCTTCCCGGCCTGTGGCGCCCTTCCCCCGACGGCGGCTGCACCCCGGAGGGAGCCCGGCGCTACTCCGGATGCCGCTGCGGCACCTCAAGTCTTCGCGGGTCGCCGACTGCCCAGACTCCCCACCTCTGGTTCTATCCCTTTTGCCCGGGATAGAGCAGTCACGTCCACTCGCTACCTCTTCTTCTCCGCCTCTGGACAGCGGAGCAGTCAAATCCCGCCGGATCCACCCAGCCCGGACGGCGCGCGCCCGCTTATGCAAATAAACACACCCCAAGCCCCAAGGGGCGGCCACCGCTGCCGCCGCGCACTCCTGCCACGGCTCATGCCCGCGCGCGTAGAAGTGCCCGCCTACCCCGCGGACGGGGCGTGGCTAAGCCTCAGGGACGCGCCGCGTTCCCACCAATGCCGGACTCGGGCAGCGGCGGCGCGCCCGACGTGGCGCGCGCGACCCCTTCGTCCTGCCCCTCCTCCTCGGGTCCCGTCGGCCTGCGCGCGCCCGGGAGTTTGAATTTCCTCGGATTTGGAGCAATATCGCAGTGGAAGGCGCTGTGGGTTGAGGTCGCCGCCCACCTCTCCTAGGGGAACTATGGAGCTGGCAGCTGAAAGACTCAGTGAAGCAACGAGGATGCCGGGGAGAGGGAAGGGGCTGGGCTCTGGGCGGTGCCAAGTCTGTGAGGGGGCGCGGTCACCGCCCAGGGTTCCCACGAACGCCAAGGCGGCCACGTCCTGCTCCCCCTGGTGAAGAAGCTGCCCTGGGCTTGTCGTCCTAGGGTCTCCAGACATGTCTGAGGTGAAGAGCCGGAAGAAGTCGGGGCCCAAGGGAGCCCCTGCTGCGGAGCCCGGGAAGCGGAGCGAGGGCGGGAAGACCCCCGTGGCCCGGAGCAGCGGAGGCGGGGGCTGGGCAGACCCCCGAACGTGCCTGAGCCTGCTGTCGCTGGGGACGTGCCTGGGCCTGGCCTGGTAAGTGGACGCGAGGCTGCCTGGGCCGGCCTCCTGTGGGCCCCCTGCTGTTTGGGCTCCCACCCGGCTCAACATCCAGCCGGAGGTGATCCAACCTCCCAGACCTGGGCCTTCTGTGCCTCTGTCTTGACCCCAAAGGAAGGAAACAGCCCAGCCTTGTTTTTCCCTTTCGGGCGTTTCTTGTATCTCATTTCCCCCCGTGCTGGTAGCATGCCCCTATCGCTCAGAAGGAGTTGAGGCTAAGGTTTGGGAACGAGCCATTTGTTAAGAGCTGCAGATTCGGCCACGCTTTCTGAAGCTCCCGCTACACGTCAGAAGCGTTCACGTTGTTATAAACCGTTACTTCCTGTCCGCTGTGCCCCATTCCGGGACACATCTGCCCCACCCTACTCACCCCATAAATACCTAATGGAAATACTTGCAACCTTAAAACAGATCATTATGTTTGGAGACCGAGGCAGGTGGATCACTTGAGGTCAGGAGTTCGAGACTAGCCTGGCCAACATGGTGAAACCCCATCTCTACCAAAAATACGAATAATCAGCCGGGCGTGGTGGCGGGCGCCTGTAGTCCCAGTTCCTCCGGAGGCTGAGGCAGGAGAATCGCTTGAACCCGGGAGGCGGAGGTTGCTATGAGCCAAGATCGCATCACTGCACTCCAGCCTGGGCGACCGAGCGAGACTCCGTCTCAAAAAAAAAAAAAAAAGAAAACCATATCATTATGCTCCCAAAGGAGCAAACGTTATAGTAGCAGAGCTTGGAGGAGTGCTCATATTTTGATCACCGTGCATGCATTATGAATTTAAGGTCTTTTATTAAGTAAGTTACAGATTGAATATGGTAAAGCTACAAAAACATAGCACTTGTGTTCACTTAAAACTAACCAGTTGCAGTTTTAAAATCAGGTAAATGGCGATATATTGGTGTCATTAGGAAAAATGAATATTAGAAATAACCTTAAAACCAACTCGTAAAAAAAGAAAAAAGAAAAAAACCAACTTGTGAATTTTATTTTCCCAGCCTTTTTTTTTCTGGCGGGAGGAGGGAATAGCCCATTTCATTTTAATAAGATTGGCATCTTAATAGAATTTTTCTCCATTTTTCATTCATGTGTAAAGTTATTTAGTAAGACTGTTGTTAATCTTCCAGAGTGATAGAATTTTAGAAGAGACCCTGGACATCTAGACATTTTTTATGCTACTACATATGGAATTATACTTTACTGGTGACTCATCCCAAATAGTGTATTTTTCAGAGTTAAAAGATTTGTTACGGCTGGGCGCGGTGGCTCACACCTGTAATCCCAGCACTTTGGGAGGCCGAGGTGGGCAGATCATGAGGTCAGGAGTTCAAGACCAGGCTGGCCAACATGGTGAAACCCTGTCTCTACAAAAAATACAAAAATTAGCCAGGCTTGGTGGCACAAACCTGCAATCCCAGCTATTCAGGAGGCTGAGGCAGGAGAATCACTCGAAATGGGGAGGTGGAGGTTGCAGTGAGCTGGGATCGTGCCATTGCACTCCAGCCTGGGCAACAGAGCGAGACTCCATCTCAAAAAACAAACAAACAAAATTTTGTCACAATAAAGTGATTAAACGCCCTCTTCAAAAACAATAGAATTGTCAGCCTGCCGGCAGTGGCTCATGCCTGTACTCCCAGCACTTTGGGAGGCCAAGGTGGGTGGATCACCTGAGGTCAGGAGTTTGAGACCAGCCTGGCCAACATAGCAAAACCCTGTGTCTACTAAAAATACAAAAAAGCCAGGCATGGTGGCATGCTCCTGTAATCCCAGCTACTCAGGAGGCTGAGGCAGGAAAATCACTTGAACCCAAGAGGCGGAGGTTGCAGTGAGCCGAAATCGTGCCACTGCACTCCAGCCTGCAGGATGGAGCAAAACTCCTTCTCAAAAAAAAAAAAAAAAAAAGCAGATAGCATTATTTATTTTACTAATACGGAATATGTTAATTTTGATCTGAAAGGAATAAATGTACTGAATTTACTGTTTTAAATAAACGGCTCTTATGCCTTAAAATGCTTGACCTCCTTTAAGTAAATTGAAAAAAAAACCTTTTTGGGCCAGGTGCAGTGGCTTGCGCCTGTAATCCTAGCACTTTGGGAGGCCGAGGCAGGCGAATCACTTGAGGTCAGGAATTTGAGACCAGCCTGTCCAACATGGTGAAACCCTATCTCTACCAAAAACACAAAAATTAGCTGGGCCTGGTGTAATCCCAGCTACTCAGAGGTTGAGGCAGGAGAATCACTTGAACCTGGGAGGTGGAGGTTGCAGTGAGCCAAGATCTGCTACTGCACTCCAGCCTGGATAACAGAGCGAGACTTCGCCTAAATAAATAAGTAACCTTTTGTGTTTTGGGAAAGTTAGTTACTATCCTGGGATAAGCTTTAATAGAAAACTAAACTTTATGGGAATAAAATTTCCCTCACATCAGGAATTTGCTGTTAGTGATTCCTGTATTACATTGTAATGAATGTATTACATTCATTAGGAAGATTTAATTTGAACTATGTTTGCAAAATGATAACACAATGCTATATCAAAAATAATTTTGGGGGCCAGACCCAGTGGTTCATGCCTATAATCCCAACACTTTGGGAAACTGAGGCGAGAGAATTGCTTGAGGTCAGGAGTTTGAAACCAGCCTGGGAAACATAGTGAGACCGTGTCTACGAAAAATTTTTAAATATTAGCCAAGTGTGGTGGCATTCGCTGTAGTCCCAGGTACTTGGGAGGCTGAGGTGAGAAGATAGCTTGAGTCTGGGAAGTCAAAGCTGCAGTAACCCATGATTATACCACTGTGCTCCAGCCTGAGAGACAGAGCAAGACCCTGTCTCTCTAAAATGTATGTATTATATGTGTTTTTTATGGGCAGATTCTATAATTATTATTTAAATAGTTGCCTCTTAGTTGCTCTTGTGAAATCTTTTGCTGCAAAAATTGAAGCAAATGTACTTTGGTTGCTGTTTATTGCAAAATATTTATTCATAGTAAATTTTGAAATAAAAATATATCCCCATAAGACATTTGTAAACATTTTCCAGATAAAAAGCAAGTATTTGGCATCTTAAAATACTTAAAAGCTCACTAGAATTTTGACAAAGCCATTGAGATCTTTACCACTAAAACACGTAATTCAGCATCTAAAAGTCGGTCTATCAAATCTTTATTAAATGCTTTCCGTACTGACACGGCCCTGGTGGTTAAAATACAAGTGCATATGTGTGCCTGTCTGTGTACTCTTAAATACTGCTTACTCTCACTCTTCATCTGATTAAGTTGGAGGGAAAAAATCTGAACCCTTCCACTGCCCAAGAAGGATTTCAAGGAATCACACTATATCATTGTCTTCAGACCATTTCCTATGTGGAAAGAAAAGAGAAATAATACATAAGAAACTTAAAAGTGTGTTGCTTTAATATCTTCTCTCTGCTAAATAAAGGCCTGATAGGCCAGGTGTGGTGGCTCCCACCTGTAATCCCAGCACTTTGGGAGGCCGAGTTGGGCGGATCTTGAGCTCAGGAGTTCAAGACCAGCCTGGGCAACATGGTAAAACCCTGTCTCTACAAAAAATACAAAAAATTAGCCAGGCATGGTGGCGCATGCCTGTAGTCCCAGCTACTTGGGGGGTTGAGGTTGGAGGATTGCTTGAGCCCCGGAATTTGAGGTTTCAGTGAGCTTTGATTGCACCACAGCACTCAGCCTGGGTGACAAAGTGAGACCCTGCAAAAAAAAAAAGGCCTGATATATCCTATGTCATCTTGACAATAAACACTGGAGATAAGTTGCCCAAACCCATATGGCTTGAGTGTCAGTTTGCATAGCTCTTTTCTAAACTCTTATAGAAATTTTTCAGGTAAGAATTGAGGTGATTCTACTTTCAGAAAGTTAAAAAGTTGTTAAATTACTAAACAAGACACAAAACCTGTCACTCATGCTTATTTAATTACATAGAAATTTAATCAGCTGGAATTTCCATTGTGAAAATTTTGTTTCTTATGGAAACTTCAATAGATTTTTTAATTGCTTTTTTGTTTTGTTTTGTTTTGTTTTGTTTTGTTTTGTTTTGAGAGATGGAGTTTTGCTCTTGTTGCCCAGGCTGGAGTGCAGTGGCGCAATCTCAGCTCACCGCAACCTCCACCTCCACCTCCCAGGTTCAAGCAATTCTCCTGCCTCAGCCTCCCGAGTAGCTGGGATTACAGGTGTGCGCCACCACGCCCAGCTAATTTTGTATTTTTAGTAGAGACAGGGTTTCTCCATTGGTCAAGCTGGTGTCAAACTCCCAACCTCAGGTGATCTGTCCACCTCAGCCTCCCAAAGTGCTAGGATTACAGGCGTGAGCCACCGTGCCTGGCCTAAATTGCCTTTATAAAAGTTTTTTATAGTATCTGTTATAATTATGTACAAAAAGTCAAAAGCTCTTTAAGCAAGTTGTATAACTCTGGTTTTTGTTTTAATTATCCAATATAATTTTCTCTATAAATCATACTGTAAAACCTTGGCTAACTCCATTTCCAGCTTTTTTCTTTGTGTTAGTAGAGTTTTATCTAAAAGACAAGGGTATAATTTAAATGTCCTGCTTCTTAAAAATGGAATATGGTCAAGGTTTTCTTGAAAACTAGGTATTGTGCTAAAACTGAGGCTATAGATGGTATGAAACATAGGGCTAAATGGGTACTGACCCTAATAGTGGCCCTGGAACTTCTTTCCTTGCAGAAGGTCCGTAACAGCTTCCTTTGGTTATTTGCCTCTTTTTCATTATTAAGCTGAAATAGAGCCAGAGGAAATCCTGAATTTGTAAGTCCTCAGTCAGCTGTCTGCCACCATTTAACGTTCCTAAAGGAGCTATTCAGAGGCAACACACACCATTAATTACCACCATGCACTGTAGGAAAATGTAAACCATTCATTATCACAGGACCCTAGATAGATCTGTATGAGGTCTCTATAGACTGCAATGGCTCATGAAGGAGTCAGGAAGATTCTTTTTGTAAGGCCTACGCTAAAAGTAGCCTGGGTCCCTTTCTCCTGTATCTCACTCTTCCACAAGGCCATATGATATGATAGTGAGAAGAGGCCCAAAAACGAGAGTTATTTTTATTTAGTGATTTATAAGTGGTCTAATCCATCTATTCCATCCTTCATTTGCCATAAACACAACCCAGTTTATACTTAGTGTTCAAAGGGGGACAGGCCTGGGGCTTCTATCAAGTGCAAGTGGTCGGGAACCCTGCTTCCCTTATGCAATCATAGGCATGTAGGAAGGATGGAAGAGTAGCTGCACAAAGTAGTCCAAAAGAAAGATAGCTGGTCTTGTTGATGGGCACCTGTAATCCCAGCTAGCTGGGAGGCTGAGGCAGAAGAATCACTTGAACCCAGGAGGCGGAAGTTGCAGTGAGCCGAGATCACACCACTGCACTTCAGCCTGGACAACAGAGTGAGACTCCATCTCCAAAAAGAGAAAAAAAAGGGGCCACAGTACTTAAAGGAAATAGCTGATGTGCTATGGCTCTATTGTTCCAGGAGCTTTTATAAATAGCAATAACTAATGTCTACAATAACTCGGCCAGGCATGGTGGCTCACACTTATAATCCCAGCATTTTAGGAGGCCAAGGCGAGAGGATCGCTTGAGCCCAGGGAGTTTGACCTGCAGTGAACTATGATTGTGTCACTGTAGACCTCTTCCTCTTCAGCTGCCTCAAAAAACGAACAAACAAACAAAATAGCCAGATCTCCTCTCTACAGAATTTTTTTTTTTAATTAGCCAGTGGTGGTAATGTACCTGTGGTCCTAGCTACTTGAGAGGCTGAGGTGGGAGAATCACTTGAGCCCAGGAGTTCAAGGCTGCAGTAAGCTATGATCAGGCTACTGTACTCCAGCCTGGGTAACAGAATGAGACCTTGTCGAAAAACAAACTACAACCCTATGAAGTATTGGCTGGGTGCTCTGGCTCACACCTATAATCCCAACAGTTTGGGAGGCCAAGGCAGGAGGATCACTTGAGCCCAGGAGTTCAAGACAAGACTGGGCAACATAGGAAGACCCCCATCTCTATAAAAAATTAGCCAGGCATTATGGCACACGCCTGTGTTCCCAGCTACTCAGGAGGCTGAGGGGGTAGGATGGATTGGGCCTGGGAGGCTACAGTGAGCCATGATCACACCACTGCACTCCAGCCTGGGAAATAGAGTGAGATCTTGTCTTTAAAAAATAAGATTAAAATAAGGTATTATCCCCACTTCACAGATGAGGAAACATCAAAGTTATTTAACTTGCCCAAAGTGGTTATACAGCTTAGTAAATGGCAGAGCTAAGGCAGTCCAGTCACCCACCTAATCAGTATGATTCGTTGCCTCCATTCGATATTAATCCCCAACAAAAGGCCAAGATCCTAGAAATAGAAATCCCCAAGTCCAGAATTACTTATAGTTCTTTTCTTCCTTCTACTTGAAGGTATACCCTTTAGCAGACCCTAATTGCTTGTTTTTCACTCTCATCTAAATGGGAAGACTGGGAACTGCTCTCACTAGAATATGCCCCTGACTCATAAAAAGGAAATAAAGGACCTTATACCCTAACATGGATGCCAGTTTGAAAGCTTAGTTTTTCAGATCTGAAGCAGCTTTCTCAGCATATTTTCTTGACTTCTAGAAAATCAGTCATCTAGGCTGGGTGCGGTGGCTCACGCCTGTAATCACTTGAACCTGGGAGGTGGAGGTTGCAGTTAGCCAAGATCATGCCACTGCACTCCAGCCTAGGCAGCAGAGCGAGACCCTGTCTCAAAAAAAGGAAAGAAAGAAAAAAGCCGGGCGCGGTGGCTCACGCCTGTAATCCCAGCACTTTGGGAGGCTGAGGCAGGCGGAACATGAGGTCAAGAGATCGAGACCATTCTGGCCAACATGGTGAAACCCCATCTCTACTAAAAATACAAAAATTAGCTGGGTGTGTTGGCACACGCCTGTAGTCCCAGCTACTCGGGAGGCTGAGGCAAGAGAATCACTTGAACTCGGGAGGCAGAGGTTGCAGTAAGCCAAAATCGTGCCACTGCACTCCAGCCTGGTGACAGAGTGAGACTCCATCTCAAAAAAAACAAAAAGAAAGAAAAATCAATCATCTTCTTTAATGTTAAATGAATTAATATTTATCAAGTACTTAGAATAGTGTCTGGCACAAATAAGGGAAAAATAAAATATATTTTAACGCAGCACAGCACATATCACTTCATTTTTTTCATCACTAGTGCTGAGTCAGCTTTGTACTTTTTTCTTATATGCACCGTTCACATGTAGCAAGGATGAATTTTTTTTTATTTTAGTAAGAGGCTAATCAAAAAAAACTACTAATTATCAGAGATGATATTTCCACTAACATGACACAGGTTGTGTTTAAAGCTTGAATTTGAAAAGAAGTTCTGAGAAAGTTCATTAATGTATTTTTTGTAATGAATCAACCTTCATACGAAAGTCTCTTATAATAATGATTTCATTCTGAATAAACTCGCTAATCTATAGTATAGATCTATGGTGGAGTATTGGATAATAAAACTAGTCCCTGAAATGAACTGTGTTTCTTCTTTTACTTTTTTTTTTTCCCCCCTGGCAGGGAGGGACAGGAAGGCGTGAGGAGGGCAACTCTTATTTCTTTAGGGTGGTCTCTTTCTTAATAAGGTCTCTATCTGCTGGTCTTAGATATCCAATACTCTGGGGGAAAAAAAAAAAATCCTAAAAGCCAGAAATGAAACAGCCAATGAAAAAAGAATTATGTTCACCCTTCCATCTCAGAGAATTAGGATAATAGTGTTTTCTAATAACCAGAAGCTTTAAAGGTTCCTATTAATTTAAACACAGGAGAAAAGTCAATCTGTGCTAATAATGTAACCTGGGATCCCGTATAATAGAAATTAGCCAGCATCATCAAAAGAAATGTATTTCCTCCAGTATTGTAAACATTTGTCTAATTTAGCTTTGGACAGTTTTGTAGCTACGGTTAGCCTAATGATGCCATTTATGAATTCAAAGCATTACCACTTTTGCAAGGATGCACAAAGTTCAGATAACTGCATTTACTCAGAAAAGTCTTTCACCTCTCCATTAATCCTTGGGATCTTTAAATGATTGCCTTTCAGTGGAAATGAATTTCACAAAACATGGTCAGTCAGTATGGTTCTAAGTTTGGCTGTGCACTTAGATTACCTGAGAAGCTGTTGAGTTTCCAACATCCAAGCCACATCCCAAGCCAATTAAATCAGAATCTTTGTGAGACCCAGGCATCAGATTTGTTAAAGCTGCCAGGTTATTACAATATGTAGCAAAGCTTTTGAACCACTTGTCTCAGGACTGTGTTTAGGCAGGTACTTATGGTTCTGCTCCATTGCGTTTTGATGACTCAATATGCAAAGAATTTCAAGTGTTTTTTTCTGAGCCTAAAGAATTGAGTTAAAGTAGACAAAATGGTATTGGATCCAAGACAATTCTTTTATGCTTGCTCATTTCAAATCCTGTATAAACAGATGTTGATTTGTTGTTTTGAAGATTGAGATAGCTTTTTGGGCTTCCACCCATAATGAAGAATAAACTCCAATTTTAGAGTGACATCTCAAGTACACCTATACGAGTCACATCACTGAGTATAACCAATTGTGCAGTTTATACACTCTGCACTGATTGTGATCTATTGTCACTTTGGCAATGGCTTTTTTCTATTTTCATACCTCTTTTCACACCTCCTGCTATTTTGCAACTTCTAATTACTATCACTTCTCTCTTCTACTCCACTGCTTTTTATCAGTCAACTCTTCTACATTTCAGTTTTAAAATACTTTTTATAGACGACTCTTGTTTCGCCTACATTTCAGCATAAAAACACCTATTTTCTAGATATTACCCAATCATGGCCTTGTGAAAAACAGTAGAGATCAAAGATCTTGTTCTAAATTTTTCACTTTGTCCTCCTCTAAAATATTTCTTGTGCATGCATCTATTACAGATATCACACCATCTTATTTGGTGGGCTGTGAATTGTGAACAAGGGCAGTGCTTTACTCATCTTTGCATGAGTTAAACCAGTACCTACCACATGAAAATCTGTCAAAAGAAACTGATAAAAGCTGCATCTAGGCTGGACATGTTGACCCACACTTGTAATCCCAGCGCTTTGGGAGGCTGAGGGGAGGATCACTTGAGGCCAGGAATTCAAGACCACCTTGGGGCTGGGCACAGTGGCTCATGCCTGTAATCCTAGCACTTTGGGAGGCCAAGGCGGGCAGATCACTGGTCAGGAGTTCAAAACCAGCCTAGCCAACATGGTGAAACCCCATCTCTACTAAAAATATTAAAAAATTGGTGGGGCGTGGTGGCAGGTGCCTTTAATCCCAGCTACTTGGGAGGCTGAGGAGGAGAATCGCTTGAACCCAGGAGGCAAAGGTTGCAGTGAACCGAGATCGTGCCATTGCACTCCAGCCTGGGCAACAAGAGCAAAACTCCATCTAAAAAAAAAAAAAAATACCGGGCGTGGTGGCTCACGCCTGTAATCCCAGCACTTTGGGAGGCCAAGGCAGGTGGATCACAAGGTCAGGAGATCGAGAGCATCCTGGCTAACACAGTGAAACCCCGTCTTTACTAAAAATACAAAAAATTAGCCAGGCGTGGTGGCAGGCGCCTGTAGTCGTAGCTACTCGGGAGGCTGAGGCAGGAGAATAGCGTGAACCCAGGAGGCGGAGCTTGCAGTGAGCCTAGATCGCGCCACTGCACTCCAGCCTGGGCGACAGAGTGAGACTCCATCTCAAAAAAAAAAAAAAAAAGGCTAAAGACCACCTTTGGCAACATAGCGAGATGGACAGTCCTAGCTATTTGGGAGGTTGAAGTAAGAGGATCACTTGAGCCCAGGAGTTCAAGGCTGCAGTGAGCTATGATTGTGACACTGCATTCCAGCCTGGGTGACAGAGTGAGACCCTGTGTGAAAAAAAAAAAAAAAAAACCTACAGCTACCCATACCAGAATTTATGTTGTTCTTAACAGAAGTGGGTATAATTCTCCTTTGAAATTCGGATTTAAATGGATATGAATTGGAGAATAGTGATTTTTCTTTTCTTTTCCAGGTTTGTATTTCAGCAGTCAGAAAAATTTGCAAAGGTGGAAAACCAATACCAGTTACTGAAACTAGAAACCAATGAATTCCAACAACTTCAAAGTAAAATCAGTTTAATTTCAGAAAAGGTAATCATTAATTGGCTTATCTGGGACGGTTTTCCCATTTTACTACCCCACTATCATTTCTCTATCCCAGCTCAGAACTTCTTTCTTCCTGCCTTTTAGACCATCACTATTTTAACTCTCACTGATCTTCCTACCTCTTGACATTCTCCCTCTGAGCCATTTTGACTCAGATTGCATTTTGAGGGGCAAGGATTTTTTAATATGATAATTTCTAGTATTGAAAAAGACCAATTTGTTCATATTAGCATGATGTTAATTTTCTACTTAAGTGTCAGGTATCTAGAGCATTGAAAATATGGTTGATCATGTCTACAGCCATACCACCCTGAATGCGCTCGATCTCATCTGAAAATATGGTTGATCTTTGGACATAAAATTAGAATATGAATAGCACTTATTGGGAAAAGATCTATCCATTTTTTCCCTTACTTTTTGCTTTTTAAGGATATATGTACATGCATTTAAGAATGGCTAGCCTAGGCTGGGAGTAGTGGCTCATGCCTTTAATCCCAGCACTGTGGGAGGCTGAGCCAGGCAAATCACTTGAGGTCAGGAGTTAGGAGACCAGCCTGGCCAACATGGTGAAACCCCATCTCTAGTAAAAATACAAAAATTAGCTGGGCGTGGTGCACACGCCTGTAATCCCAGCTACTCGGGGGGCTGAGACAGAAGAATCTCTTGAACCTGGGAGGTGGAGGTTGCAGTGAGCCAAGATCACACCACTGCACTGTAGCCTGGGCTATAGAGCGAGGATCCGTCTCAAAAAAAAAAAAAAAAAAAAAAAAGAATTAAAAAAAAAAGAACGGCTAGCCTAAAAGTAACTATTTGTCCTGTAGCCAAATAAGAATTCCAATGAAAATTAAAATAATACCATGTCTATATTGTGTTCCTTCAAGTTGCTGATTTCTACCAGATGCGTTATTACTGTGATTCTTAGAAATGTGAGACAAATAAACATTTTTGTAACTCCCACACCTCTCAGGAGAAAGTCAAAGTCAGCTGTGATCAATAAGGCATCATGTAGGCCTATTCTGGGTACCAGGGACCAAGCTATCATTGGGAAATATGGCTTTTTGTTCATTTATTCATTCACTAAACCTTTGCTCATGTCACAAGGTAAGCAAGGACCTATGCTTGGCACCAGGGTGGGTAAGGATGTTGTAAAAATAGAGATGAAATGGAGCATCTAAGTCCCTGCAGCCCCATGCACAGGATGAGCATATAATCCTCCAGAAGAGAAAAGCCATGGAGGAAAATTAAGTATCCCTCACAAATGCCAGGGGATTCCATGGATGGTGAGTGTAAGGGATTTGGGGAAGGAGCTGCAAAGGAGTTGGTATTTTCACATAGGGCTCAAATTGGAATCTGAGCCAGGCGTAGTGGCTCATGCCTGTAATCCCAGCACTTTGGGAGGCCAAGGCAGGCGGATCACCTTGAGGTCAGGAGTTCGAGACCAGATTGGCCAACATGGCGAAACCCTGTCTCTACTAAAAATACAAAAATATTAGCTGAGCATGGTGGTTCATGCCTGTAATCCCAGCTACTTGGGAGGCTGATGTATGAGAATTGCTTGAACCTGGGAGGCAGAGGTTTCAGAAGTGAGCTGAGATCATACCACTGCACTCCAGCCTGGGCAACAGAGTGAGACTCTGTCCCAAAAAAAAAAAAAAAAAAATTGGAATCTGGTTGTAGCTGTTGGGGGAACTCTAACATACCATTAGAAGAAATCCCAGGGGCAAGAAACTTCATATATATATATATATATATATATATATATATATATTTTTTTTTTTTTTTTTTTTTTTTTTTTTTCAGATAGAGTCTCTCCCTGTCATCCCAGCTCTCACTCTGTCATCCAGGCTGGAGTGCAGTGTTGGAATAACAGCTCAACCTCCCAGGCTCAAGCACTCCTCCCAACTCAGCCTCCCAAGTAACTGGGACTAACAGGCACGCCACTGCACCCAGCTAATTTTTTTTTCTTTAATTTTTTGGAGAGACGGGGTCTTGCTACATTGCCCAGGCTGGTATCAAACTCCTGGCCTCAAATGACCTTTCTGCCTCTGCCTCCCAAAGAATTGATATTACAAGTGTGAGCCACTGTGCCTTGCCAAAACTTCACATATTTAATTAAAAGCTATTGAAGGCCGGACGCGGTGGCTCACGCCTGTAATCCCAGCACACTGGGAGGCCGAAGCAGGCAGATCACGAGGTCAGGAGTTTGAGATCAGCCTGGCCAACATGGTGAAACCCCATCTCTACTAAAAATACAAAAATTAGCTGGGCGTGGTGGCGGGCGCCTGTAATCCCAGCTACTCGGGAGGCTGAGGCAGGAGAATCACTTGAACCTGGGAGGTGGAGATTGCAGTGAGCTGAGATCACGCCATTGTGCTCCAGCCTGGGCAACAGAGTGAGACTCCATCTCAATAAATAAATAAATATAAATAAAAGCTATTGAAAACTTATTTTGAACAAGATTTCTCCTTTTTTTTTTTCTTTTTTTTTTTGTGGGGGAGGTCAGGGGTGGTACAGAGTTTCACTTTTCTCATCCAGGCTGGAGTACAATGGCTCGATCTTGTCTCACTGCAACCTCCGCCTCCCGGGTTCAAGTGATTCTCCTGCCTCAGCCTCCCGAGTAGCTGGGACTACAGGTGTGTACCACCACACCCGTCTAATTTTTGTATTTTTGGTAGAGACGGGGTTTCACCATGTTGGCCAGGCTGGGCACGGTGGTTCACACCTGTAATCCCAGCACTTTGAGGGGCCGAGGTGGGTGGATCACCTGAGGTCAGGAGTTCAAGACCAGCCTGGCCAACATGATGAAACCCCATCTCTACTAAAAACACAAAAATTAGCTGGGCATGGTAGCGTGTGTCTGTAGTCCCAGCTACTCAGGAGGCTGAGGCAGGAGAATCGCTTAAACCGGGGAGGCAGAGGTCACAGTGAGCCGAGATTGCACCACTGCACTCCAGCCTGGGCAACAAAGTGAGACTCCATCTCAAAAAAAAAGCTTTTGAAGCAGATTTTTAAAATATCATTATAGAATCCAAAAAATATTCAGTCTTGGCCAGGCGTGGTGGCTCACACCTGTAATCCCAGCACTTTGGGAGGCCAAGGCAGGTGGATCACCTGAGGTCAGAAGTTCAGGACCAGCCTGACCAACATGGAAAAACCCCATCTCTACTAAAAGTACAAAAAATTACCTGGGCATGATGGTGCATGCCTGTAATCCCAGCTACTCGGGAGGCTGAGGTAGGAGAATTACTTGAACCTGGGAGGTGGAGGTTGTGGTGAGCCGAGATCATGCCATTGCACTCCAGCCTGGGCAACAAGAGCGAAACTCCGTCTCAAAAAAAAAAATGAAAAGAAAAAAAAGAAATATTCAGTCTTTTCGTAGCTTTTTCTCCCATTCTGCCCTGGGAGTAATTTAATAAGAGGTCCCTTTTCACAAAGGTGGCCCTAAAGGGCAGCATAACCCAGATGGAGGGGAAAACAGCTAGACATGGACACCCATCCCAACTGTGTGACCTTAGACAAATCACTATAACTTATCTTCATCTCTATTTCATCATTTATTAAGTGAGAAATAATAAGATTTTTATAAAGATCAGATGAGATATACAGTAAGTCCTCAACGTCATCAATAGGTTCCTGGTCATCAATAGGTTCCTGGAAACTACGATTTTAAGTGAAGTGTATAATGAAACCAATTTTTTTCTCATCTACGTTGTAATGAAAGGACATCGAAACAACGTTGTTGGAGGAGCTGCTCTGAATAGTTCCACTTAAAGTCAGTTTCCAAGAACCTACCAATGACGTTAAGTGAGGACTTACTTTATATACAAATTCTTTGAAAACAATCAAGCACTAATAAAGTACTAGCTCTTTTTTTTTTTTTTTTTTTTTTTTTTTTTTTTTTTTTGCCCAGGCTCTTGTTGCCCAGGCTGGAGTGCAGTGGGGAGATCTGGTCACTGCAACCTCTGCCTCCTGGGTTCAAGCAATTCTCCTGCCTCAGCCTCCCAAGTAGCTGGGATTACAGGCATGTGCCAACATACCCGGCTAATTTTTTGTATTTTTAGTAGACATGGGGTTTCACTGTGTTAGCCAGGATGGTCTCAATCTCCCGACCTCAGGTGGTCCACCCGCCTCAGCCTCCCAAAGTGCTGGGATTACAGGTGTGAGCCACCGCACCTGGCCCTACTAGCTCTTTCTTTAAGAAAAAATGAGACCCGGTGTGGTGGCTTATGCCTGTAATCTCAGCACTTTGGGAAGCTAAGTTGGGAGCATCACTTGAGCCTGGCAGTTTGAGACCAGCCCAGGCAACATGGTGAGACCCCATCTCTACAAAAAAAATTTTTTTAGTAAATAAAAATGAAAAACGATTAGAATATGTTGGTGGCCCATAAATGCTAGCTACTGTGGCATACTAGTCACTAAATATTTGCAGATTAAATCTATAACATCTTGCACTTACTTGGGGTATACTGCTTTCAGATTATAGTGAGGCTCTGATGAACCTCCTAAACAGGACATTACCTTAGGTGAGGATAAGCTTGCCTCTTCAAAATACTGCTAATAAAACAACTAAACCTAACCATGTTAATGGTTAGTATTTCTCATAATTGATTTTAAAAGGAACTTGTATTATGGCTGTATGTGTACATTTAAAAGAGGTTTTTATTTCTTTGGATTTTTTTGTTTGTTTTCTTTAAATGTGTGTGTGTGTATGTATGTATGTTTGAGACAGGGTCTTGCCCGGTCACCAAGGATGGAATGCAGTGGCATGATCATAGCTCACTGCAACCCTGAACTCTTGGGCTCAAGGAATCCTCCCACCTCAGCCTCCCAAGTAGCTGGGACTACAGGCGCACACCACCATGCCCAACTAATTTTGTTTGTTTGTTTGTTTGTTTGTTTGTTTGATAGAGACAGGGTCTTGCTTTGTGCCCAGGCTGGTCTCAAACTCCTAGGCTCAAGCAGTCCTTCTGCCTTGGCATCCCAACATGTTGGGATTAAGGCGTAAGCCACCATGCCCAACCCTTAAAATAAATTTTAAACAACATTTCAGAGTGGTGTTAGTCATTCTTGTTGCATACTCTTTAAGTCTTGATTGGGGTGGACCTAGAAGGCTTAGGGTCATTCTTCCTAAGCATCAACAAACATATTCTTTGTACTCTGAGATGTAGGGATTACACAGAGGCATAAGACATGGTCTCTTCTCCTTTGAAATTTAGAAGCTTTCACATCTTCACCCTGCTAATTCATCAATCAGTCTGTTAATGATTCCAATTTTGGAGCCACTTCCAGGCCTTTTCGCATTGCCCTCCTAACTTTTTATCTCTCCTCAAAGCATCCATTGCCCCCTGTGCTAATTCTTTTGTGACGCTACTTATAATCTACTGTGATTTTTTTGGTTGCTAGTTTATCTCCTTTACTCCTCTTTAGAGCATACACTGCATCTTTTATCTCCATTTCCCTAGTACCTGATAATGGAACTACCTCACACAGGGTACTCAGTAGATCTTGTTGGGACTCTAGAATATATGATGTGGAAGATCTAAACACTGTCTCCCAATCAAATTGTGAAATCAAGGACTATGCTGTATTTGTCTCCACTGTCTCACACAAGGCTGGCACAGAGTGAACCCTCAAAATTTTTTAATTGTATGTGCTAAGAGGCAAATATGTGGCAAATATATGTGTAATAGGTGCTACAGGAATTCAGGTTGTCAGGGCTAGGGCTATGGAAGAAATGCTGCTCTGAGGAGCTGAGATCCGGTCTGAGCCTTGAAGTAAGGACAATGTAACTAAATAAAGAGGAGAGGAGGATAGCATAGGGAGAGGTTAGAGAATTTGAGACTTTATCCTAGAAGTATTAGGAAACATCAAAGGTTTTGTAACAGTGTACCATGATAGGCATACCAGTTTTTAAAAGCTTAGTCTAGTAGTAGTGTGTAGGCTAATTTAGAGAGCAAGCAACTGGAAGCAGATATTAGATATTACTTTTTCTAAAATACTTTCCTTCATCACTGAAGTCTAGGTTGGGTCTCCACCTGAGTGCTTCCATAGCTCTTCACCTGTCATAGTGCATATACACTTGTCTTTCTCGTCGATTAAACAAAGCTGCTTAAGGGCAGTATTTTGTATCTTGTTCAGTATTATGTCTTCAGCATAATGCTGCAAGCACATAATAAATTAATGATTATTTCTAGGCCTTCCTGTAGTCTCTAAAGCTGTTATCTAAGTGTAGACTAAAAGAGGTCAATGACTTGGCCTTCTATATTCCAGATACAGATTAGGAGGTGCCGGAGGCTTAGCATAATTTACAAATACTTAAAACACTTTACCATTCAATTTGACTTGTCTCACTAAACTGTTTTTTAATTCATTGTTGCCTTTGTATCTGTAAGACCTGATTCTAGTACTTTCTCTGCAAGAGGTTGGTCAAAAAAATTTTTTGGCAGAAACCCTTCCAGAATTATAGGATTTTAGGAAAGATATCAAATTGTATACAAAGTTGCAGTTTCTAAAAAGCCAAAAAACCATAAAAATGACATCGAGGGCTGGGCGCGGTGGCTCACGCCTGTAATCCCAGCACTTTGGGAGGCTGAGGTGGGCGGATCACGAGGTCAGGGGATCGAGACCATCCTCGCTGACACGGTGAAACCCCGTCTCTACTAAAAATACAAAAAATTAGCCGGGTGTGGTGGCGGGCGCCTGTAGTCCCAGCTACTCAGGAGGCTGAGGCAGGAGAATGGCTTGAACCTGGGAGGCGGAGCTTGCAGTGAGCCGAGATCACGCCACTGCACTCCAGCCTGGGCGACAGAGCGAGACTCCGTCTCAAAAAAAAAAAAAAAAAGAAAAAGAAAACTGACATCAAAGTTACTTACCATTAGAGTTAAAAGGAGGAAATTGCATCTATTTCAGGCACTTTAACATTACTTTTCTCTTGTATATGCTTCCATAGAAATGCTGAAATATCTAGGATTGTGTGTTCAGGTGTATTTTTTTTTTTTTTTAACATAGTGCTGGCCAGGCGCGGCAGCTCTCGCCTGTAATTCTAGTACTTTGGGAGGCCGAGGCAGACGGATCACTAAAGGTCAACAGTTCAAGACCAGCCTGGCCAGCATGGTGAAACCCCATCTCTACGAAAAATACAAAAATTAGCTAGGCATAGTGGCGCGTACCTGTAATCCCAGCTACTCAGGAAGCTGAGGCAAGAGAATACGTTGAACCTGGGAGGCGGAGGTTGCAGTGAGCTGAGGTTGCTCCACTGCACTCCATCCTGGGTGACAGGGTGAGATTCCGTCTAAAAAATAAATAAATAAATAAAACAATGCAGGGTTAACGTATTTGTGAAAACTATTAATGTAATAAATATCTTTGTCAGTCTGATTCTGATATACTTGGATATTTTAGACATCTTCAGAATTTTAACGTGGCATGTGTTATGCTCCTGATTGTTAAAGTGTGTTTCTCTAATATGAAAATTATTAAGTAGCCTTGGGAATTGTTTTGTGTTATAAATGCAGCTTGAGTCTACTGAAAGCATCCTGCAGGAAGCTACATCATCCATGTCTTTGATGACCCAGTTTGAGCAGGAAGTATCCAACCTCCAAGATATCATGCATGACATTCAAAATAATGAAGAGGTGCTCACTCAAAGGATGCAAAGCCTTAATGAGAAATTTCAGAATATTACGGATTTCTGGAAGAGAAGCCTAGAAGAAATGAACATTAATACAGACATTTTCAAATCAGAAGCAAAACATATACATTCTCAAGTAACTGTCCAAATTAACTCAGCTGAGCAGGAAATAAAATTGCTCACTGAACGGCTAAAAGATTTGGAAGATAGCACACTAAGAAATATTAGAACAGTAAAAAGACAAGAAGAAGAAGATCTCCTGCGAGTAGAGGAGCAGCTAGGCTCTGATACAAAGGCAATTGAAAAGTTAGAAGAGGAACAGCATGCCCTCTTTGCCAGAGATGAAGATCTGACTAATAAACTTTCCGACTACGAACCCAAAGTTGAAGAATGCAAGACACATTTGCCAACAATTGAAAGTGCTATTCACTCTGTTCTCAGAGTCTCTCAGGATCTGATAGAAACAGAAAAGAAAATGGAAGACTTGACTATGCAGATGTTTAATATGGAAGATGATATGCTGAAAGCAGTGTCTGAAATAATGGAGATGCAGAAAACCCTTGAAGGAATTCAGTATGATAATAGCATATTAAAGATGCAAAATGAACTGGATATTCTAAAAGAAAAAGTTCATGATTTTATAGCATACTCAAGTACAGGAGAAAAGGGAACTTTAAAAGAATATAATATAGAAAATAAAGGAATTGGTGGTGATTTTTAAATTCATGACATTTATTCTGATGAACCATATCATTATACATAAATTGATTAGTCCATTGATTTTGAGTTACTTTGATACGCCTCATCTTATCCTACATTATTGGAAAATAAATGAGATGTCCACACAAATGGATTATCCACATAATCAAAGCTTATCTTTTTAAGCACTAAAACTTACTTCATTGTAACTATTTGAAATAGAAATAGTTCTTTAAAAATATTTCTCTACTTTTAAAACAAGATACTTAATATTTTTAATGTTTTTTAAAGCATTAATGAACATCATCATTAATTTCACCTATTATATTGTACCCACATATATTGATGTCTCCAGGGGCTAATAAAGAGTATTTACCACTTCACTAAATGACCCCAATTTGCCATTTTCAAACCTATGTCTCATACCTTTTCTGTCACCTGAACTTACTGTCAGGTTGGTTGGTAATGTGCCTGCCTCAGCCAGTTCACTTTCTTAGGTAATTCACTGCAGGTTAAGAATCCACACAACCAAGTTCATGGGAATTTTGTGTAAAATAAAAGATAACATGCCTGAGGGAGAGCCTGGTGCCTTTGCTATGAATTAATATGCACTTTCTGAAAACTCTAAAGCCTGGGAAACATTTTAGTTTTTGTTAAGGTTCTAAACTGTGTTACAGATACTTGTAAGACTTTTAAAATCAGAGTAAGTATGTTCTTACATAAGGCCTTTCTTAGGAATTATGTGTATATAAATCTTTGAAATATCTTTATATACCTGAGTTTTAGGTTCCAACTGTGTTAGACATGAGTTTGCTAGATCCATGGTCTCTAGATGGTTTACTTAAATAGGCCAGGCGCAGTGGCTCACACCTGTAATCCTAGCACTTTGGGAGGCCGAGGTGGGCAGATCACGAAGTCAGGAGATCAAGACCATCTGGCTAACAGGGTGAAACCCTGTCTCTACTAAAAAATACAAAAAATTAGCCAGGCGTGGTGGTGGGTGCCTGTAGTCCCAGCTACTCAGGAGGCTGAGGCAGGAGAATGGTGTGAACCCGGGAGGCAGAGCTTGCAGTGAGCCGAGATCGCGCCACTGCACTCCAGCCTGAGTGGCAAAGTGAGACTCTGTCTCAATAAATAAATAAATAAATAAAAATAAGCCTGTGGCCTGTTTTGAGGGAAAAGTAACATAACTCTGATAATTAATTATGATAATAACTATGATAGTTAAAAATACGTCATTTTAAAGATTTCCCAAACCACACCACTAAATTTGTTTTATGAATTGATTTTATTTTATTTGAAATTATATAATGTAGTCAACTGCAATATGGAAGTTTGTTCTTGTTTCTTTGTCAATAACCTTACCAGTTTTATAATGCAGTTTTTGATGGAATTAAACACAAAGAACTTGAAAGCAGTCAGTTACAAAAAGGTAGTTGTGGTCAAGTAGTTTTAATATGTAAATTTGCAAGTTTTTGGAGAACCCCCAAACTCCTTCTCCACTGGAGTTAGGAGGGCCTGTGGTAGACAGCGTGAATCATGAAAATAAGCCTGGAGAGTTCTGTTATTAAGGGGCATAGCATTAATTTTTGCAGTCTTAAAATTACACTTCTTGACTTCTGAATGTCTCTTATTTGCGTGCACTGACAAAATTCTATTTGTTTACTTTTATATTAATGGTAATAAAATAGATTATAAAGTAAGCTGGAACTTTGTTGTTTTAACCTCCATCCTGTCAAGGCAAATGTGATCTCTTATCTTATATCCTTTACGTTTAAATATTTTTTTCTCACCGATCACCACATTTAATATGAGGTTATTATGAACTTATATATACCATGGTAATGGTTACTGAAAGTAAATGGAAACAAGGTGGCTACTGTTCTCTATAATGACACAAGGGAAAGGAAGAAAACTGCACTTCTACAAGTATAACATGAGAAAACTATTAAAGTATATATGCGTTTGTATGTATGTATAGATATCTAGATAGATATATCCTGTATTTATGAAGAGGTTTTCCTATTAAGAAATTATTAGAGAGATTTAGATGTACTTAATTTGTCTTTCTCTCTTTCTTCCATTCATTTATTTAACACAGATGCTTAAAATTTCAAAAACTTTCCTGTGTATCAAATATTAAATTACATTGTTAGTCTTTTCTTTAGGGAAAATTACCAATATCCTAAAACACATTTTTGTATCTTTGTAACTGATAATAAATTTTATGTCAATTAATTTCTTATAAAGTGGCCAGGCACAGTGCCTCATACTTGTAATCCCAATACTTTGGGAGGCTGAGGCAGAGTGGCTTAAGCCCAGGAGTTTGAGACAGCCTGGGTAACATAGTGAGACCTCGTCCCTACAAAAAAAAAAAAAAAAAAAAAAAAAGTGTAAGGAGGAGTAAGGCCAGGCACAATGGCTCACTCCTATAATTCCAACACTCTGGGAAGCTGAGGTGGGAGGATCGCTTGAGCTCAGGAGTTCAAGACCAGCCTGGATAACATGGTGAGACCTCATGTCTACTAAAAGTCAAAAAAAAGCGCATCCCTGTAGTCCTAGCGACGCAGGAGGCTGAGCCCAGGTGTTCAAGGTTGCAGTGACCTGCACCATTGCATTCCCAGCCTGGGTGACAGAGCAAGACCCTGTCTCAAAAGCATAACAGTACTGGATCAGCTGGGCGCAGTGGCTCACCCCTGTAATCCCAGCACTTTGGGAGGCCGAGGTGGGCGGATCACCTGAGGTCAGGAGTTCAAGACCAGCCTGGCCAATATGGTGAAACCCCGTCTCTACTAAAAATACAAAATTAGCCGGGCATGGTAGCAGGCGCCTGTAATCCCAGCTACTCGGGAGGCTGAGGCAGGAGAATCACTTGAACCGGGAGGCAGAGGTTGCAGTGAGCCAAAATCACGCCATTGCACTACAGCCTGGCAACAGAGTGAGACTCCATCTCAAAAAAAAAAGTAAAAGTACTGGATCAATTTTTTTAATGTTAACAGGAATAAATCACTTTTACAATACAAGCACCTAATTATTTTTAAACTTTTGAATATATAATTTTTAAATGTAATATTGCCTTAAATTTTGCTTAATGATCAGAAACTATTGACTAATTATACTTGTATATTTTATAACCAAAAATCTTGATTTATTAGCCTGTGTGGCTTCATAGAAAAACCCATAAGATGCAAAATTAGTAGTATTATTTTTCTTCTCAACCTAATTGTAGACCTTTGTATGAATCTATAACATTGTTCAAATTTTGATATGATGCCATTACACAGTAATGATGCTGAAAATTTACCAAACTCAATAAGAAAAAAAAAAAAACATCCTTTGTAGACTTACCCCATATTTGCACAGTTGACAAAAGCTCTACAAATTTTCCTAGCACCTGCTCATTTCAATTTATAAGCTATTAATTAATTTTGGGACAGGGTCTCACTCTGTCACCCAGGCTGGAGTGTAGTGGCGTGAGCACTGCTCACCACAGTGTCAACTTCCTGGGCCCAAGGGATCCTCCCATCTCAGCTCCTCCGATTGCTGGGACTACAGGTGCACACCGCCATGCCAAGCTAATTTTATTTTTTTGTAGAAACAGTCTCATTATGTTGCCCAGGCTGGTCTCAAACTCCTGGGCTGAAGCAGTTCTCCCATCTGGTCTTCCCAAAGTGCTGGGATTAGAGGTGTAAGCCACCATACCCAGCCTATAAACTATTAATTTAATACAAATCAAAATACTCCACCCCAGCTTTACACAGCAGGAGAGGAGAGAACTAACACTTCAGCACCTGTTAAAATGACATACCCACACGTATGTCAAGCATTTCTAGGAGATGTACATTCATCATAATCATTCCTTTTTTTTTTTTTTTTTAAGATGGAGTCTCACTCTGTCCCCAGGCTGGAGTGCAGTGGTGCGATCTCAGCTCACTGCAACCTCCACCTCCCGGGTTCAAGCGGTTCTCCTGCCTCAGCCTCCCGAGTAGCTGAGACTACAGGCATGCGCCACCATGCCCAGCTAATTTTTGTATTTTTAGTAGAGATGAGGTTTCTCCATGTTGGCCAGGATGGTCTCGATCTCTTGACCTCGTGATCCGTCTACCTCAGCCTCCCAAAGTGCTGGGATTACAGACATGAGCCACCGCGTCCAGCCTTCATTATCGTCATCATAACAGCTCTATATATTGATTACCTACCTTGTGCCAGTCATTATCACTAATCCTTACTACACCTTTACTAGCTATTAGACCCATTTTACAAATAAGGAAATGGAGACTTAGGAACATTGGGAATCTTGCAGTCACACTGTAGACCTAGGTCTGTTCAATTCCAGAGGCCAAGGACATCTCACTACACCATGGAGCCTGCTACTGTTCAACTAGGGGAGAAAAATCACAACAAATCTGCTGTTAGTAGAACTATCTCGATAACTCAAAAAGCAATAATTGAGTCAAATGTGTTCTCTACCATGTTGCCATTAAACCAGACTCAGTCCCTCAAAAGCTGTAGCTGTGCTCTAAAATTGTTTGGCCCTTGAGCATGAGAAGGAATCAATAAATGAATAAATGTTGGAGAAGAGGAAAAAGCAGTGCTGAAGAGTCCTAGGCTGTACTCCTCTAATCTATTAATAGGTTTTGCCACTGCATATTCTGGGCACTTTATTTTAGGGCTTAGGTTTTTTTTGTTTTGTTTTGTTTTTTGAGACAAAGTCTTGCTGTGTCGCCCAGGCTGGAGTGCAGTGGCACAATCTTGGTTCACTACAACCTCCGTCTCCTGGGTTTAAGCAATTCTCCTGCCTCAGCCTCCCAAGTACCTGGGATTACAGGTGCCTGTCACTACACCCGGCTCATTTTTTGTATTTTTAGTAGAGATGGGGTTTCACCAGGTTGGCTAGGCTGGTCTCGAACTCCTGACCTCAGGTGATCCACCCACCTCGGCCTCCCAAAGTGCTGGGATTACAGGTGTGAGCCACCACGCACGGCCACTAGGGCTTAGTTTTAAATAGTAAAAGGAGAGAATTATATCAATAATCCCTAAGATGCCTTCTGGCTTTAAGTGGTTTTATTTACTTATTTACCCTTTTTTTAATATAAAAAAAAGTAGAGGTGAGGGTCTCTCTATGTTGCCCAGGCTGGTCTCAAACTCCTGACCTCAACGGATCCTCCGTCCTTGGCCTCCCAAAGTGCTGGGATAACAGGTGTGAGCCACTGCGCCTGATCTAAATGGTTTTAAATTATACAGATCAATAAAATTTCCAGGTCCTTTAATAGAATTCAAAGAACCTAGCTGGGTGCAGTGGCCCACGCCTGTAATTTCAGCGCTTTGGGAGGCTGAGGTGGGTGGATCACGAGGTCAGGAGATCGAGACCATCCTGGCCAACATGGTGAAACCTGTGTCTCTACTAAAAATACAAAATTAGGTGAGCGTGGTGGTGAGCGTCTGTAATCCCAGCTACTTGGGAGGCTGAGGCAGGAGAATCTCTTGAAACCAGGAGGCAGGGGTTGCAGTGAGCTGAGATGGCGCCACTACACTCCAGCCTGGGCGACAGAGCAAGACTCCGTCTCAAAAAAAAAAAATCCTTTAGCAAGTTTTTAGAAAGCAGATTGGACCTAGAAATCATATTCTTGAACCATGTTGCTGTGCTTGTAGATCCAGGCAATGTTTAACATTACAGGACAGCATCTAACCTCATACCTTGAATATATGATAGGAATTTAATAAATATTCTGGCCGGGGGCAGTGGCTCATGCCTGTAATCCCAGCACTTTGGGAGTCTGAGGTGGGCGGATTACTTGAGGTCAGGAGTTCGCAACATGGTGAAACCCCGTCTCTACTAAAAAAAAAAAAAAAAAAAATAGAAAACTTAGCCAGGTGTGGTGGTGCATGCCTGTAATCCCAGCTACTTGGGAGGCTGAGGCCGGAGAATCACTTGAACTCAGGCGGCAGAGGTTGCAGTGAGCAGAGATTGCACCACTGCACTCCAGCCTGGGCAATAGAGTGAGACTCCATCTCATAAATAAATAAATAAATAAATAATCAAATCACTGATGTACTTTTTTTTTTTTTTTTTTTTTTCTGAGAAAGGGTCTGGTTCTGTCGCCCAGACTGGAGTGCAGTGGCATGATCTCAGCTCACTGCAACCTCTGCCTCCCAGGATCAAGCCATCCTCCCAGCTCAGCCCGGCTATTTTTGTAATTTTTGTAGAGATGGAGTTTCACCATGTTGCCCAGGCTGGTCTTGAACTCCTGAGCTCAAGTGACCCATCCACCCCGCCTCACAAAGTGCTGGGATTACGGGCGTGAGCCACCATCCCCAGCCTTCACTGATGTGCTGTTTTCAGCTACTGATAGACTCTAACTCTTCTATCCATCCTAGGCAAATAGGTTAACCAAACCCGAAGTAATTTTTAAAATAACTTAATACAACAATCTGTAGACTATTACCACACTGTATTGAGCTTATATTTTCATAAAGATCAATAGAAGTTCATGATACATTGCTATTATAAACAACCAAGTGAAACAAAGAGGTTTACTAACAGCTTCTTCCTAATAATCTGATCCTTCTAAGAATAAGCTAAGCTCATTCATCAACATCTTAATTGTTTAATTGCTATTAAGCTACTTTTACCAGAGTAGATACATTAATAAATGATAACCTGGTAATGAAATAGATTAAAGTAGCCGTCTAGTCCTTTCTCCCTTGGGAGATTGTTTCATCAAATACACTATGTTGCAAAACTTCCTCCTTAAAAATAAAATGTGATTTTGCAATCACTTCTTGGTTTCCTTCCTATTTGTGGCTACCGCTTAATGTCATACCCACAGGAACATTTCGCAAACTCACTTCTCTACCAAAAAACACATTTTGGGCCACCTTATCCACCAATAATTAATTTAAGCATAAAGCAATTGAGGAGAAAAATCCTCAAGTGTATTTTGAAATTAAACATTTATGATGGGGCGAAGTGGGGGGGTTGCTACTTAGAATTATTTTGTCCTACTGTCCCATTTCTGTACTTCATTATAATTATTTTGCAACTATATGGATGCTTCTTTTTAAAGCTGCCCTCAAAATAATATTCTGAGCATAATTCATTTTTATTTGTGTTAAGTAAAACTAAATGTATGATAACCAAAATAATCTCAAAAGGTTGGCATTAGCCAAGTAATCCAAATACAATTTAAGAAAGATAATTCAAGCTAGGTGTGGTGGCTCACGCCTGTAATCCCAGCACTTTGGGAGGATCACTTGAGCCAGGAGTTCAAGACCAGCCTGGGCAGCATAGTGAGACCCCCATCTCAAATTTTTTTTTTTTTTTTTGAGACAGAGTCTGGCTCTGTCGCCCAGGCTGGAGTGCAGTGGCACAATCTCGGCTCACTGCAAGCTCCGCCTCCCGGGTTCACGCCATTCTCCTACTTCAGCCTCCTGAGTAGCTGGGACTACAGGCGCCCACCACTACGCCCGGCTAATTTTTTGTATTTTTAGTAGAGACAGGGTTTCACTGCATTAGCCAGGATGGTCTCGATCTCTTGACCTTGTGATCCGCCCACCTCGGCCTCCCAAAGTGCTGGGATTACAGGCGTGAGCCACCGCGCCTGGCCTCAATTTTTTCTTTTAAGAAAGATAATTGATAAGAAAACATTGAAGAAATACACAATTATTTTAGAAAAAAAGATATCTTTAGATTAAACTGCATATTTAATTTTGTAAAAATGTTTTACAGTCTATTTGTTTTTATAAATTTTAATTTCAATTTTTTTGTTTTAGAGATGGGGGTCTTGCTATGTGCCCAGGCTGGAGCACAGTTGGTATTCATAGGCACAATCATAGCACACTACAGCGTCAAACTCCTGGACTCAAGCTTTTTTATTTCTTCTTTTCTGAATTTTAAGTAACACATTTATCGACATTCTGTGTCCCAAACTAAACTACAAACTCCCTAAAAGCAGAGACTGTTCTTGATCATACTAGGACATACTGTAGTACAGTATATGCTGTCAAATCAAACTAGTTTTGGTTATTAATAGAAAGTTATAATTTCCTACTTTACAACATAGTACTTTCCTAGAAAACAAGCTGAAAGTTAAATATGCAAAAGTCAAATGATTGACTTACACATTATAAATGGGATTCTTTTTCCAGAGTAATTACTGTATATCTGTCTTTGGGCATACGCATTAGCAATGTATTTCTAGCCATTTTACATTTGTTTCTTAATTTATTTTTCTTCATAATTGAGCACACAGTCCATAGGCTAATCTTCTGATTGAAGCTAAATAGTCTTACCTGATTTCCATCTTTGTTTTAATTGTACGACTTTATCCAACTTTGTGTGGTTTATGAGATCTACCCATCTTATCGCTATGTAATTTTCCCTTCTTCATTTTATTAACTGATGGCACAATGCAATAAAATGTCAAATATTTAAAGTTCGATAAAATACTCAACTCCCCAACACTGCTATATAGGCACGCACATGTGTGTGCACAGACACAGGACCATCACCACAAACAACAACAAAAATAACAACTCAAGATGTTGCCAGACACTTGGGTGGCTCCAAATGTTTATCAGTTAATGTGTCCAAGTTAAATCAAGGTGACAATTTAAGAGCTTTCAGTTCATAATGTATAGTGGGGAAGAAGGATGACATTGAAACATACAAAAGTTGAAAAACAGCTGCATTTGGAATCAGAATTTTAGAACCTTGGAAATTCTTTTCTTTTACTTATCTGTCTTCTCTACTAAACTAAGTTGAGGCCACAACTCGAGTTATACTCATCTTTATGTTCCACATATTTTGCATGCCTAACAACATACTAGGAACTTGAGAATTTGAATTATTCAAGGTCTCATGGATAGTTAGATAGGCCAGAAAACTGTTCATAAAAGTTACAGGCCAATAAAGCGTAGACATATAGTCTTGGACATTGGTCCCTTCATTCTAGCATTTGCTATAACTTATTTGCAGTTGCCTTAGACCCCGAATAGCCAAAGCAATCTTGAGCAAAAAGAACAAAGCTGGAGACATCACACTACCCGATCTCAAAATATATTACAAAGCTGTAGTAATCCAAACAGCGTGATACTAGCATTTAAAAAAAAAACATAGACTAATGGAACAGAGAGCCCAGAAATACTTCTACAAGTGTATGTTCAAATGATTCTCATCCAAGTTGCCAAGAACACACAAAAGGGAAAGGACATCTCTTTAATAAATGCTGTTGAGAAAACTGGATATCCTATGCAGAAGAATGAAACTGGACCCTTATATCAAACCATATACAAAAACCAATTCAAAATGAATTAAAGACTTAAATGTAACACCAGAAATTGAAAACCGCTGGAAGAAAACATGAGGAAAAAGCTTCTTGACGTTAGTCTTGGGAAAGATTTTTTTGAATAGAACCTGAAAAGAACAAGCAACAAAAGCAAAAATAGATAAATATGATTGTGTCAAACTAAAATCTTCTGTACAGAAAAGGAAACAGTCAACAGAGTGAAGAGACAACCTATAGAATGGGAGAAAATACTCATGAACCATAAATCTGAGAATGGCTTAATATCCAAAATATATAAGGAACTCAACTCAATAGCAAAAAAAAACCCAATTAAACAATGGGCTATGGACATGAATAGACATTTCTCAAAAGAAGACATAGTAATGGCCAACAGGTATATGGAAAAAAATGCTCAACATCACTAATTATCAGGGAAATGAAAAATTAAAACCACAATGAGATATCAACTCACACCTGTTAGAATATTTATTATCAAAAAGACAAAAGATAACAAGTGTTGGTGAGAATGTGGAGAAAAGGGAACCATCGTACACTGTGAGTGGGAAAGTATAGCCATTATGGAAAACAGTGTGGAGGTTCCTCAAAAAAAAAAAAACTAAGAATAATCATATGATCCAGCAATCCCACTTCTGGATATATATCCAAAAGAAATGAATCAGTATGTCAAGGAGTTTTCTGCACTCCCATATTCATTGCAGCATTACTCCCAATAGCCAAGATATGTAGAATCAACCTAAGTGTCAATCAACAGATGAATGATAAATAACACACACGCACACACACAAAATGCGGTTCTCCCTTTAAAAAGAAGGAAATCCTGTTATTTGTGACTACATGGATGAACCTAAACGATATTATGCTAAGTGGAATGAACCAGGCACAGAAAGACAAATACTGCATGATCTCAATTATATGTGGAATCTAGAAAAGTCAGACTCATAGAAGTACAGAGTAGAATGGTTACGAGGGATTGGAGGGGACAGGGTAGGACAATTGAGAGATGTTGATTAAAGAATACAAAGTTTCAGTTAAACAGGATGAATAAGTTCTGGAGATCTATTGTATAGTATGATGACTGTAAATAATAATAATATATACTTGAAAATTGCTAAGAGGCCGGGCGCGATGGCTCATGCCTTATAATCTTAGCACTTTGGGAGGTCGAGGCGGGCGAATCACTTGAGATTAGGAGTTTCAGACCAGCCTAGTCAACATGGTGAAACCCTGTCACTACTAAACAACAATCAGCCAGGCGTGGTGGCACACAACTGTGGTACCATCTACTCTGGAGACTGAGGCAGGAGAATCACTTGAACCCAGGAGGTAGAGGTTGCAGTCAGCAGAGATGGGGCTATTGCATTCCAGCCTGGGTACAGAGTGAGTGAGACTTCCATCTCCAAAAAAAAGAGAGAATTTCTAGGAGAGTAGATCTTAAATATTCTTACTACAAAAAAAAATACATGAGGTGATAGATATGTTCATTAGCTTGATTTAATCATTCACAATATGTGCGTAGATATGTATATCAAAATATTACATTGTACACAATAAATATATACAATTTTAATTTGTCAATTATACCTTAATAAAGCTGAAATAAAAAAGAACTTATGTTGCCTTGTCTCACCTAGCAAAGCTCAACTGGAGGAAACTTCCTTTTCCCTTCTCCAGCAACTGAAAAACCACATCACTGTCTCATGTAGCTCATTTTATTACTGTACAGAAGACCAATTGTGAAAATATTATAATGTAAAAAATGTAATTTCCAGGGACATTTCATGAAATTTTCTTAATGTTTCCTTCTTATTCATTAGTAATTCACTTACATTGTTCTAAATTCTCTTACTTCTGAAGTCGTCTTTTACCATATGCTTTCCAGAAGAACAGTAAAGTGTAGTTAAAAAATAACATAAGGCAGGGCGTGGTGGCTCACGCCTGTAATCCCAGGCATGGATTTAGGAGGCCGAGGTGGGCAGATAACCAGAGGTCAGGAGATCGAGACCAGCCTGTCCAACATGGTGAAGACCCGTCTCTACTAAAAATACAAAAAAAGTTAGCTGAGGTGGGGGCGGGTGCCTGTAATCCCAGCTACTTGGGAGGCTGAGTCAGGAAAATCGCTGGAACCCAGGAGGTGGAGGTTTCAGTGAGCCAAGATCGTGCCACTGCACTCCATCCTGGGTAACAGAACAAGCCTCTGTCTCAAAAAAAAAATTAAAATTAAAAAGAAATATAAAATTTAAGATGAATTTTAAATGGTAAGCTTCTAATACATTTAATCATTGTGATATTATATTTTCTTATAGTGGCAGAAATCTGAAGCTATCATGGAACAATTGAAGTCTTTTCAAATAATTGCTCATCTAAAGCGTCTACAGGAAGAAATTAATGAGGTAAAAACTTGGTCCAATAGGATAACTGAAAAACAGGATATACTGAACAACAGTCTGACGACGCTTTCTCAAGACATTACAAAAGTAGACCAAAGTACAACTTCCATGGCAAAAGATGTTGGTCTCAAGATTACAAGTGTAAAAACAGATATACGACGGATTTCAGGTTTAGTAACTGATGTAATATCATTGACAGATTCTGTGCAAGAACTAGAAAATAAAATAGAGAAAGTAGAAAAAAATACAGTAAAAAATATAGGTGATCTTCTTTCAAGCAGTATTGATCGAACAGCAACGCTCCGAAAGACAGCATCTGAAAATTCACAAAGAATTAACTCTGTTAAGAAGACGCTAACCGAACTAAAGAGTGACTTCGACAAACATACAGATAGATTTCTAAGCTTAGAAGGTGACAGAGCCAAAGTTCTGAAGACAGTGACTTTTGCAAATGATCTAAAACCAAAGGTGTATAATCTAAAGAAGGACTTTTCCCGTTTAGAACCATTAGTAAATGATTTAACACTACGCATTGGGAGATTGGTTACCGACTTACTACAAAGAGAGAAAGAAATTGCTTTCTTAAGTGAAAAAATATCTAATTTAACAATAGTCCAAGCTGAGATTAAGGATATTAAAGATGAAATAGCACACATTTCAGATATGAATTAGTTTGACATTATTGAGATTAGACTAAGGTAATTTTTTTAATGGGACCTCTCATGAGAAGACTGGTAAATCAAAAATAATGATATTTTGGAGCAAAAGTCATTTTATATTTAATCCTATTTTGTACAGTAAAAATAAAACTTTAAAACAGGTTGATTTTCCAAAATAAATATGCTAAAACCTATTTTTGCAACTTTACATAGCAAGAACTTTATCCATCCTTCTGACATACATGTTGTTACCCACACACACACACACACACACACACACACACACACATAGGAGAAGCAGAATGTGCTAGTTAGCATGGGGAGATCTCGAAGGGGCAGGATCTGAATCCCCACTTGCCCTCTCTGGCTGCCAGGGAGCCCAGCATGTGTGTTTAGGGACCTAACTGAAGGGACCCCTCAGGGGACAGGGCTGCGGCATTCATTATCCAGTTAGAGGAAGAGAAACTAGAAAGGTCACAGTGAGCTGCAGGGGAAAAAAAATAAAAGCCTATCTGGGTCCTTCATGGCTTTAGGAAACAGGGAAAGGAACAGTAGTGTCTCGGTCTATTTGGGCTGGTGTATAATAGTATAGCAAGAACTTTAGGTAGCCTGTAACTAACAAATTTATTTCTCACTGTTCTAGAGGCTGGAAAGTCTGAGATCAAGGTACTGGCAGATTCAGTGTCTAGTGTGGGCCCACTTCCTGGTTCATAGCACCTTCTAGCTGTGTCCTCACGTGGTGGAAGGAGCAAGCAGCAATCTGGGGCCTCTTTTATAGGGGCACTAATCCTGTCCATGAAGACTCCTACCTTATGACCTAATCACCTCCCAAATGTCTCACATTGGATTTCAACGTATGAATTTTGGGGAGACACATTCAGGCCATAGCAAGTAGGTTACTTAATAAAAGGGGCTGGAAAGTGGCTTCTAGAGCAAGGGTTGTGGGGGAGGGTGTAGATTGAAGGGGGCTTGCCAAGCCTCAGACAGACTCTGCCTCAAAGCAACACAACTCGTCTGATGAGGATGTGACCAGAAGTAGCCAAAGCAACTAGAAGAGGAGGCCCTAAATCTGGGCGCCGTGGCTCACGCCTGTAATCCCGGCATTTTGGGAGGCCGAGGCGGGTGTAACACCTGAGGTCAGGAGTTTGAGACCAGCCTGGCCAACATGGTGAAACCACGTCTCTATTAAAAATACAAAAATTAGCCGGGCAAGGTAGTGGGCACCTGTAATCCCAGCTACTCGGGAAGTTGAGGCAGGAGAATCGCTTGAACCCAGGAGGCAAAGGTTGCAGTGATCAGACATCCCACCATTGCACTCCAGCCTGGGAGACTGGGAGACAAAGCAAGACTACATCTCAGGGGGAAAAAAAAAAAGGGGAGGGGGGAGCTCTAACAGCATTGGCAAAAGTTTTATCAATTCCAATTACATAAAACTTTAGAAAATGCAAAATAATCTAAAGTGACAGAAAGTAGATCAGTGGTTGCCTGTTGCATTAGGATTCTCCAGAGAAACAGAGCCAATAGGATGGATGGATAGACAGATGATTGATAGGTAGGTAGGTAGGTAGGTAGGTGGGTGGTGGATGGATGGGTGGATAGATTAGATAGATAGATAGATAGATAGATAGATAGATAGATTCTAGGAATTGGCTCACATGATTATGGAGGCCAAGAATCACACAATCTTTCATCTGCAAACTGGAAAACTAGGAAAGCCAGTGGTTTAATTCAGAGTGAGTCTGAAGGCCTGACAACCAAAGGAAGTGATGGCCTAAGCCCTCGTGAAAGACCAAAGGCCCAAAACCAGGAACACTGATGTCTGAGGGCAGGAGAAGATAGATGTCCCAGTTCAAAGAGTAGCAGATTCACCCTTCTGCCTTTTTTCTATCCAGGCCCTCAATGGATGGGATGATGCTCACCCACATTAACGAAAGTGATCTTCTTTATGCAGTCTACCAAGTCAAATGCTAAGCTCTTCTGGAAACACTGTCACAGACACACCCAGAAATAATGTTTTACCAGCTATCTGGGCATCCCTTAGCCCAGGCAGCTTGAAACAAAATTATCCATCACAACTGTAGATAGAGATGGAGACAGGTATAGATTACAAAGAGCCACAAGGAAAAGGAGTGAAGGATGTTTATTATCTTCATTGTGATAGATATATGTCAAAACTCATCAAAGGGTACACTTTTTAAATTTTTATTTATTTTTATTTTTGAGACAGGTTCTCACTTTTTCACCCAGGCTGGAGTGCGGTGGTGTGATCATGGCTCACAGCAGCCTTGACCTCCTGGACTCAAATGATCCTTCCACCTCAGCTTCCTGAGTAGCTGGGACTACAGTCTCAAGCCACCATGCCTGGCTAATTTCTTTTTTCTTTTTTTCTTTTTTTTTCTTTTTTTTGGTAGAGATGGAATCTCCCTATGCTGCCCAGGCTGGTCTTGAACTCCTGGGTTCAAGTGATTCTTCTGCTTTGGCCTCCCAGAGTTCTGGCATTACAGTATACACTTGAAATATTTGTGTTTATATGTGTAATCTCTCATCAATATATGTTTTTAAGTACACTATAATAACCTAAAGTAAACCCACACAGCATTAGCCCCAGTTTCAAATGCCTAGCGTGAAGGATATCCAGATCCACAGAGCTGGTCACCTCAAAAATAAGAGTTTATGAATTCTGTGTGTTTGTTGTTGTTGTTGTTGTTGTTGTTGTTGTTGTTTTGAGACAGGGTCTTATTTTGTTGCCCAAGCTGGAGTGCAGTGGCATGATCATGCCTCACTGCAGCCTCTTGTCTCCTGACCTCAAGCAATCCTCCCACTCAGCCTCCTGAGTAGCTAGGACTACATGAATTCACCACCAACCCTAACTACTTTTTTAATTTTTTTTTTTTTTTTTTTTTTTTGGTAGAGATGAAGTCTGCCTATACTGCCCAGAGTGGTCTCGAACTCCTGAAGTCAAGCAATCCTCCTGCCTTGGCCTCCCAAAATGCTGGGATCACAAGTGTCAGCCACTGTGCCTGGCGAGTTTATGAATTCTCTTTTATTTTTATTTTTTATTTATTTATTTTTGTTTTTTTGAGACGGAGTTTCGCTCTTGTAGCCCAGGCTGGAGTGCAATGGCACGATCTCGGCTCACTGCAACCTCCGCCTCCCGGGTTCAAGTGATTCTCCTGCCTCAGCCTCCCGAGTAGCTGGGATTACAGGATTGCGCCACCATGCCCAGCTAATTTTTGTATTCTTAGTAGAGATGGGGTTTCACCATGTTGGCCAGGCTAGCCTCGAACTCCTGACCTCAGGCGATCCACCCGCCTCAGCCTCCCAAAGTGCTGGGATTACAGGCATGAGCCACCGCGCCGGGCCTCTTATATTTTTTTGAGAGGGAGTCTGGCTCTGTCGCCCAGGCTGGAGTGCAGTGGTGCAATCTCGGCTCACTGCAAGCTCCGCCTCCCGGGTTCACGCCATTCTCCTGCCTCAGCCTCTCGAGTCGCTGGGACTACAGGCCCCCACCACGACACCTGGCTAATTTTTTTGTTGTTGTTTTTAGTAGAGACGGGATTTCACCGTGTTAGCCAGGATGGTCTCTATCTCCTGACCTCGTGATCTGCCCGCCTCGGCCTCCCAGAGTGCTGGGATTATAGGCGTGAGCCACCATGCCCGGCTGAGTTTATGAATACTTATATCAGAGTGGCTCATCACCAATCCTTGGGCTTTTTGCCATGGAAAAGTTAACTATGTACTCTGACTTGGTTCACCTTCTCCAAGCTATTGCCAGGAAATATTTCATATGTTCTGTCTTATTTGAAAAATTGATAGCCAGGAACAGTGGCTCACACCTGTAATCCCAGCATTTTGGGAGGCTGAGGCAGGCAGATCACTTGAGCTAATGAGTTTGAGACCAGCCTGGCCAGCATGGTGAATTTCAGCTCTACAAAAAAAATTAACCAGTGTGGTGTGCATCTGTAGTCCCAGTTAATGGGGAGGCTGAGGTGGGAGAATCGCTTGAGCCCAGGAGGTAGTCTGCAGTGAGCTATGATCTGCACTCCAGCGCTGGCAACAGTGAGACCCTGTGTCAAAAAAAAAAGAAAGAAAAATTGAGTCATTATTACCAGAAACTTGTGTAGTAGTCAGGATTCTCCAGAGAAACAGAAGCAACAAGATGTAGGGGAAGAGAGAGAGAGAGAGGTTTAAGGAATTGGTTCACATGGATTATAGAGGATGGCAAGTCCAAAATCTGCAAGGTGGGCCATCAGTCTGGATCCTCAGGGAAGAGCTGGTGTTGCAGTTCAAGTCTGAAGGCAGAATTCCTTCTTGCTTGGGTGGGAGTTGGGGGATTACTCTTCTGTTCTATTCAGGCCTTCAACTGATTGAACGTGGATTGCCACTCACATTATGGAGGGCAATCTGCTTTACTCGAGGTCCACTGATTAGAATGTTAATCTCATCCAAAAAAACACCCTCACGGGAACATCCAGTATAATGTTAAGCCAAACGTCTGGACATCATGGCCCAGCCAATTGATGGATAAAATTAACTATCACACCTTATCATTGTCTCACCCTTTTAAAGAAGGCTATGGGATATAGCTTACTTGTGAAATAGTTATCTCACCTATGGCCTGTCTCAGTTCCACCTCTGTCTAGTATTCAGACACTGAGGTTACATCTAGAACAGGTTGATCAATATTCCGTGTCCCATTACTTGTGTCCACTCATGGGCCCATGACTCTGGTTCTGCCTCTGGATAAATAGCAGATAGTTTTACCCTTAGTTGTTTCATTCATTTGTTCAAAAACATTTATGAATATGTGTAGAATGCCAGGGTAGGTGCTTCAGTGGATACACAGTGGGCAACTACTAGCTATCATCAAGTGTTCCCTGATTTCACAGAACTTACAGTCAGCCACAACGGGGGTTAGTCAGGGCTCTGTTTTTTGTTTTTTTTTTTTTTTTTTTTTTTTTTTTTTGAGACGGAGTCTCGCTCTGCTGCCCAGGCTGGAGTGCAGTGGCACAGTCTTGGCTCACTGCACTCCGCCTCCAGGGTTCACGCCATTCTCCTGCCTCAGCCTGGGAGGAGTAGCTGGGACTACAGGTGCCCGCCACCATGCCCAGCTAATTTTTGTATTTTTAGTAGAGACGGGGTTTCACCGTGTTAGCCAGGATGGTCTCGATCTCCTGACCTTGTGATCCGCCCGCGATCTCCTGACCTTGTGATCCGCCCGCCTCGGCCTCCCAAAGTGCTGGGATTACAGGCGTGAGCCACCGTGCCCGGTCGACAGGGCTGTTTTTTTTTTGTTGTTGTTGTTTGAGGTGGAATCTTGCTCTGTCGCCCAAGCTGGAGTACAGTGGCGCCATCTCGGCTCACTGCAACCTCTGCCTACCAGGTTCAAGCAATTTTCCTGCCTCGGCCTCCCAAGTAGCTGGGATTACAGGCACACACTGCCACACCCGGCTAATTTTTTGTATTTCAGTAGAGACGGGGTTTCACTGTGTTGCCCAGGCTGGTCTTGAACTCCTGAGCTCAGGCAAGCCACCCGCCTCGGCCTCCCAAAGCACTGGGGATTACAGGCGTAAGCCACCGCGCCCAGCCAAGAGCTCTGGTTTTAAGAATCAGCTCATGAAAGAAAAAAAGAAAGAAAAAACAGGCAGGGCATGGTGGCTCACCTGTAATCCCAGCACTTTGGGAGGCAGAGGTGAGGGATCACTTGAGTTCAGGAGTTCAAGACCAGCCTTGCCAACATGGCGAAACCCTATCTGTACTAAAAATACAAAAATTAGCCGGGCGTGGTGGCAGGCGCCTGTAATCCCAGCTACTCGGGAGGCTGAGGCAGGAGAATCGCTTGAACCTGGGAGGCGGAGGTTGCAGTGAGCCAAGATTGCGCCATTGCACTCCAGCCTGAGTGACAAAGCGAGACTGCGTCTAAAAAAAAAGAAAAAAGAAAAGGAAAGAAAGAAGAGGATTTCTTATAAGTATCTCACCAGCATCCCCCCAAAAGAATTGTGGTATAACGCGTCCTCCTGGGATCTGGAACAAACGGCCAGCGTCAGTAGAGGCACTTTCTCTACCTCAGGAGCCATGTGATCTTGGGAGTTGTTCCTGTTTCTCCGTAGACCCACCTCACTCTGCCAACTTGCTTCCTCTGTGGGTCCCCATCGACCAAACGCCAAGCTTGAGAGGAAGTCTTTTTTTCATTTTTTGAGACGAAGTCTAGCTCTGTCACCCAGGCTGGAGTGCAGTGGCACGATTTCGGCTCACTGCAACCTCTGCCTTCTGGGTTCAAGCGATTCTCCTGCCCCAGCCTCCCGAGTAGCTGGGATTACAGACGCCCGTCACCATGCCTAAGTGAATTTTTGTATTTTCAGTAGAGATGGGGGTTTCACTGTGTTGGCCAGGCTGGTCTCGAACTACTGACTTCATGATCCACCTGCCAGGGCCTCCCAAAGTGCTGGGATTACAAGTGTGAGCCACCGCGACCGACCATAATCTTCCTTAAATGCATGTATAGCTCATATTTATTTAATGCTTAATATTAGAATTGTTTTGGTCTTTATTAGTTTGGTTATATTTTCGTGACCAGAAATATGTTGTAGGAACTTAACTCATTTATATCAACTAGGCTGTGGTAAAAATAGTTTCATTATTTGTGATTTCACTTAACGTAACAGTTCCCAATAACCTATTAACATCAAGTACAATGACATTTTACCGTCAAACTTATCCATGAGTAAAAGTTGGGTATACCATATTTTCAGATGTTAATGCTTCCTTGAGATTTAGCAGTTTTAACCTTGACTAATATAGCCCTCTAGTGTTAAGATCATGGGTCTTGGAATAATGATATGGCCTGTCACATGAATTATTTTCCATCTTCAAACTTTGCAATACACTGGATTCTGCAAAGCAAGCTGGCTGATTTGAACATCAAATTATTATTCACAGTATTAGGTAGGAATTATATCTTGTGTAAGAGACACATCCCCAAGGCTCTTTCATTCAGTGTAGCAATACTTATTAAGTGACTATTGCATACTGCACTTCAGTGTCTATAAAAACACACATGAAAACTCTGGAATAGCTGCTTTCTAGGAAACTTGTCAGGTCACACCTTAATAACCAGGAGATTCATAAACCTTATCAGTGGTGAGGTTAACATCTCATGCACTTCTATGAACACCTCTGAGAATGTGAAGTCAGGGCTGGCTTGTAAAAGACAAATGATTCAACACATAGTTTGAACTTTTATTTATGTTTAATTTTTTAATTTTTACAAGATGCCGATAGTAGCTGGCTTATTAATGTACATTATTCTTTGATATTTCAGGAAGCCACAGTGTTCAACTGTGAACTACAGAGTCCTGTAAGTTTAAAATAACTTTGTTTCTCAACTATGTGATATCCAGGATTTTTTACAATTACTTTGAGATTTTTCCTCATCAGTAATGCAAAGAAAATTGCAATATGATTATACAATTTATTTTTATTTTTTTAGACAGGTTATCACTCTGTCGCCCAGGCCGGAGTGCAGGGGTGTGATTGTAGCTCATTGCAGCCTCAAACTCCTGGGCTCAGACGATCCTCCTTCAGCTTCCTAAGTAGCTGAGATTACAGGCACGTGCCACCATGCCTGGCTAATTTATTTTTTGTAGAGAGAGGGGTCTCACTTTGTTGCCCAGGCTGGTCTCCAACTCCTGGGCTCAAGTGATACCCAGCCTGGGCCTCCCAAAGTGCTGGGATTACGGGTATGAGCCACTGTGCCCAGCCTGATATACAATTTCTTCCTCAGACAGTCTGGCTCTGTCGCCCAGGCTGGAGTGCAGTGGCACAATCTTGGCTCACTGCAACCTCTGCCTCCCGGGTTCAAGCAATTCTCCTGCCTCAGCCTCCCGAGTAGCTGGAATTACAGGCATGCACCACCATGCCTGACCAATTTTTGTATTTTTAGTAGAGACCTGGGGTTTCATCATGTTGGCCAGGCTGTTCTTGAACTCCTGACCTCAAGCAATCCGCCCACCTCAGCCTCCCAAAGTGCTTGGATTTCAGGAGTGAGCTTTTGCACCTGGCCTGATATACAATTTCTGATGCTATAGAAGCAATGTATAACTCCTAATTTACTAGTGACTGCTATGCGCTTCATTAACATTATGGACATGTCGATCCCAAAAATCATATAGAAATGTTACTTTTTTTTTGAGACAGGGTTTCACTCTGTCGCCCAGGCTGGACTGCAATGGCGTAAACATGGCTCACTGTAGCCTCAACCTCTCGGGCTCAAGCAATCCTCCTGCCTCAGCCTCCCAAATAGTTGAGACTACAGGCATGTGTCACCACACCCCTTAATTTTTGTATTTTCTTTTCTCATTATGTTGTCCAGGATGGTCTCAAACTCCTGGGCTCAAGGCATCCTCCTGCCTTGGTCTCCTAAAGTGTTAGAATTACAGGCATGAGCCACTGTGCCCAGCCAGAAATGTTAAACTCACTTTATGGTTTCAGAACAAGGATCAAATAAAATAAAAATATAAAAAATAAAATATGGTTGGCCAAGTGTGGTGGCTCAGCCCTCTAATCCCAGCCCTTTGGAAGGCCAAGGCAGAAGGCTCGCTTGAGCTCAGGAGTTCAAGACTAGCCTTGGCAACATAGCAAGACCTCATTTCTGCTAAAAATAAAAAACATTAGCCAGACATGGTGGTCCACACTTGCAGTCCCAGTTATTCAAGAGGCTGAGGTGGGAGGATCACTTGAGCTTGGGAGATCGAGGCTGCAGTGAGCTATCATCGTGCCACTGCACTCCAGTCTGGCGACAGAGCAAGACCTTCTCAAAAATAAAATATGGTCGAAACGGGACAGACAAGGCGGCTACCTGTAACCCTGGCCGCTTTAGGAGCTGGGGCAGGAAAGTTGCTTGAGGCCAGGAATCCGAGACCAGCCTGAGCAACAGCAGGACCCGTCTATGAAAAAACAGGAGCAAGTAGTGGCACATCCCAATTGTGTCAGCTAACTGGGAGGCTGAGGCAGGAGGATCGCTTGAGCCCAGGAGTTCAAGGCTGTACTCCAGCCTGGGCGACAAAGCAAGAACCCTGTTCTCTAGGGAAAAAAAAAAAAAAGTCAAAACATTTCATAAAACTTTCACACAATGGAGGTTTAGTTAAGCTGTTACTCTTCTGTTCAATTTTGTTGCACCTATCAGAAGGCATAATTTCATAAAATCAGGATTCCTTGGCGTTTTAACCACTCTCAAAATATTTGATCCTACTGGAAGTTACTATGCAATGCTATCTTGTCCCTGAATCAACATAATTCAACTATCAGCTTCATATATATATATATATATATATATTTTTTTTTTTTGAGACAGAGTTTCGCTGTTGTTGCCCAGGCTGGAGTGCAATGGCGCAATCTTGGCTCACCACAACCTCCGCCTCCCGGGTTCAAGCGATTCTCCTGCCTCAGCCTCCTGAGTAGCTGGGATTACAGGCACGCACCACCACCGCAGCTAATTTTGTATTTTTAGTAGAGACAGGGTTTCTCCATGTTGGTCAGGCTGGTCTTGAACTCCCGACCTCAGGTGATCCACCCGCCTCGGCCTCCCAGAATGCTGGGTTTACAGGCATGACCCACTGTGCCTGGCAGTTTCGTGTATTCTTACTCCACTGGGTTCTGCTTTATCGTATTGACAGTAGACATTTCATTAAATGAAATGTAAAAAGAACACCAATACATACATATTAAAATTTTCTTACTAGAATCTTTTAGTATAATTTAAAAACCTGAAATGAGAATTCGCATCACTTTAAGTGGGCCTCTTGGGTTTTGAGGATGAAGTGGCTTTCTCTCAGAAATAGCTTTGAACCGTAACTCTAGTAACTACAGTGGCAGGCTCCATAGCTTGAACACAGCGTATTTTGTATCAATGCCCACAAATAAAACCTATTATAACTCTTAGGAAATAAAACTTGAATCCTGATTGGCAGAACTGCCTCAGTAAGGGCTGGCTGAACTGCATACCCAAAATGTTTTAGATCTACGGTCCACTTTCACGTTGGCTGGACTAATGCGTTTCTACTGCTCCTCTTACACGTTGACTGACTTTCCTCTCAGGAAGAGGTAGAGACTATGTTCCTTTTTTCCTCAATCTGGGACTTGGTTTCTGAGACATCACTGTTGTAACCAAGAGCATGGTAAAAGTGATGTTATGTGACATTGAAGGATAAGTCCTAAAAAGCCAACTCTGCCAAGCTCTCCTGGAGCCCCAAAATACCACCTAAGTCCAGCTGCCCTGAAGCCACCATGCTAGAGATTTTCGGGAAAGACTATACCACTAATAGTGAAAAGCACAAAGAGCATCCTTTCAGCTCAGAAGTGAAAAGCTTCATGAGACTCAGAACCAGAAGAGTCTGATACTCCCGAGTTCTTCACCCACAGAAAAGCTTATCATACACCATTGATCTTTGGATGCTTTGCTAACATAGCAAGAAATAATATACAGTTGATACTGCTAAGCACCACAGCCACCACTTGGTTGGGTTCAGAAGACATCCTACTTTACCTTTTTAAAGTTTGGTCCAAATTTGTACCTACAACTTTTCCTTTTTTCCTGCAGCACAGGTAAAATGTTGGAACCTTTAACAAGTTCAGGCAATGATGATATAAAGAAGTTAACATGCAACTAGCTGCACTGGCTTCTAAATTGAGTTCACTGACCTTACCATGAGTTTGTAGTAACATTTCTCTCCAATCTCTGAAAAAGTTTTTCTCTCCAGGCCATCTGTACGCTTTACGTAGGGACTGTTAACCAACCCACGTATTACACATAAGGACTCTAGGTAAAATCTAGTGTTTGAAAAACAGCATGTTATATATTACACTAGGTTTTTCGTTTTTTTTCCAGTGGTGGGCTGTCATTACAAAAGATTGAACTTTTATACACTTCCTAATCAAACTTAAGGGGAATCTAAACACAAAAACTAATTCACTTTCTAGGAGCTCTTTAAAAATGGGCTTAAACCTACAATCCAATCTCGTATCTAAGTATGATGGAATGCTTTTTCCCCAGTGGCATTCATATAGTTCAGCTGTCAAGCAGTACCTTTCTTAAAATACCAGACTGAAAATAGTTCAATTTTCTGTAAAAAGTCAGAGCCGGGCACGGTGGCTCATGCCTATAATCCCAGCAGTTTGGGAGGCTGAGGCGGGCGGATCACCTGAGGTTGGAAGTTCGAGACCAGCCTGACCAACACAGGGAAACCCCGTCTCTACTAAAAATACAAAATTAGCTGGGCGTGGTGGCACATGCCTGAAATCCCAGCTACTTGGGAGGCTGAGGCAGAACAATCGCTTGAACCTGGGAGGCAGAGGTTGCCGTGAGGCGAGATCGCGACACTACACTCGTCTGGGCAACAAGAGTGAAACTCCGTCTCAAAAAAAAAAAAAGTCAGATCTGTGTAAAGAGAATTAGTGTACCTGAAAATTGTTTTCAGCTGTCAATCACTTTGGTCCTTTACTGTCATTCTAAGAATCAGCCTAATTTGGTTTACCTTGTCTTACAAATAAGGATTAGCAAACTCACCAACATAAAAAAGGTGTAGTACATGCTGCAAAAATGTAAGTATACACTGACATTTACTTGCCAAAATAACCACAAATGACTACACATATTTAACTATAATTAAATCAAGTTTTTAGAAATTTAAAGTCTGCTTCCCTAGAAATACAGGAACTTTGTGTGATAAAACTTGAGACATATGACAATTTCTGAATAGCAACTGGAATATTCAACCAACAATGGTCATGGTCAGTTTTGTATTTTTTCCTTAACTTATATACTTCATTCTTTCCAACTATTTTAAAGCTAAATCTTTTTTAAAAAAGTTTTAAAAATAAGTCACAGGCAAATCATGAAGAGTTGGGTTTATTTCAACAGTAAATCTGAAACTCTTGCCTTAAGCAAGAGTACTACAGTAATTATATCAGGAATAGACAATTTCCTACACTGTCAAATATATAAAAGTTCCTTTTGCACTTTCTTCAACACTGATCAACAAGCAGATTCAGTCCACATTTGCTTTGATCTAACTACTGAGTTAACCCAAGCTTCTTCTTCAGAGACTCTGGCATCTCGGGTGGAGGAGGGCGAGGAAGTCTGAAGTAGACCTTCACGGAGTCATAGATAAACCACTGTAGTGCAGTCAGGGTACCAATCATGATGATACGGGCAAACAGTCCCTTCCATACACCTGGTTCAAACAGGAAAAGCAAATGAAAAAAATGCAACATATCCAAAACTGTTGTTCTTTCTTTCAAGAAAAAAACATCATCCTACCTTTAAATCCAAGTCTCTTGAGGACCAGAGAAGCACTGCTACCTTTTTCTTTATTCAACACAGATACCACAGAATCAGCAGGGTGAGAAACAATTGCACAAAAGACTCCAGCTGAAAAAAGATAAAGGATCCCATACAGTGCCAGTTAAAAACAAAACTTCACAGAGCCAATAATCATTTTTATGATTTTAAAATAATATTTTTCTAGTTCTAAAATAAAAATCAGACTCAGGGTGACACGGGTACAGTTATCAAGCTGTCTATCCTATGTAAAACGGAACAATCTTTTAAAGTTTTTCAGATTTTATTCAACACTTTCTGTATAAAATTCTTAATAAACAACAACAAAAAAATGGTGCAACAGTAAGATCAATACATTCCCAAGCCTAATAATGACATCCCATGAAACAGCCCTTTTAGGAACTAGTTAGCAAGTATTTATGAATCCTAAAAAGCATATAAAATGTTATGGGAAGATAAAACTGCTTTATAGGCCAGGCACATCACCTGAGGTCAGGAGTTTGAGACCAGACTCATCAACATGGTGAAACCCCATCTTTACAAAAATCAGGCCAGGCGCGGTGGCTCACGCCTGTAATCCCAGCACTTTGGGAGGCCAAGGCAGGCAGATCACCTGGGGCCAGGAGTTTGAGACCAGCCTGGCCAACATAGTGAAACCGTCTCTACTAAAAATACTAAAAATTAGCCGGGCGTAGTGGCAGACGCCTGCAATCCCAGCTACTCAGGAGGCTGAGACAGGAGAATCGCTTGAACCCAGGAGGCGGAGGCTGCAGTGAGCCAAGATTGCACCACTGCACTCCAGCCTGGGCAACAAGGGTAAAACTCCATCTCAAAAAAAAACAAAAAACAAAAACAAAAATCAGCCGGGCATGGCGGTGCATGCCCGTCCCAGCTACTTGGGAGGCTGCGGCAGAAGAATCACTTGAACCCAGGAGGAGGAGGTTGCAGTGAGCTATTATCATGCCACTGCACTCCAGCCTGGGCAACAGAGCGAGACTATGCCTCAGGGAAACCAAAAAAACAAAAACACTGCTTTATAACCTTTGGAGTATTTTTCCCTCTCAAAAAACGCCAATAATGGAAATGATTATTTGTTCATAATTTCAGACAAGTGTGTTCTAAGTAATTCGTACCTATGTAACCTGCTACAAATGTTACAACCAGCTGCTCTGGCTTTGAACATTCACTGCGGGGCTTAGGAACCACAAACTTGTACAGTGCTTCAACAGTACGTTCAAAGCAGGCGAACTTCATCATGGTGTATGGTATCTGTCTCATCCAGAGAGGAGCAACCCCCTTGTAGAATCTAGGAAATCAAGAGACTTGTTTTACACAGTTGCATACACTCATCTATCAGAGACTGTCATTATTAACAGAAATGTCCGCACACGAGTCGAGTCCTGATAGTAACAAATGGCAGCATAAATGCATGTCATTTCTATCAGAACGTTAGACTAACATGCAGGTATATTTCTCTTACATGCCAATGACTCAAGCACCTTTGACTATACAACCAAAAAAGTTGCTGGATGTTTCTTTGACTACTGGAACCACAAGAAACAAGAAGTTTACAAGTGGAACTCAGTTCAAGATTCATCCACAAAGGTGGATCTAAGGAAGCATGTTGTGGTCATGGAAATTCTTAACTGTGAATAGATCACAAGGATACTAACAAGCCCTCCCTAAAAGTTAATAGTAAATGTTTAGGCCAAACATCAAGTCATTTGTAGACCGACAAATGGTCCTTACTCTAGGGAAAAAAAAAAAACTCAGTCCAGGGCTCAAACCATGTATTAACTTATCTTTACCTCTCAAGTTTATGTTCTACATACAGGTAAATAGACATTAAATGTTATAATAGTCTTTTTAAAAAGTCTGGTAGGCTTAATACTAAAAAATGAAGTTCACAGCCAGACGCGGTGTCTCACGCCTGTAATCCCAGCACTTTGGGAGGCCGAGGCGGGTGGATCACCTGAGGTCAGGAGTTCGAGACCAGCCTGACCAACATGGAGTCTCTACTAAAAATACAAAATTAGCCAGGCGTGGTGGTGCATGCCTGTAATCCCAGCTATTCAGCAGGCTGAGGCAGGACAATCACTTGAACCTGGGAGGCGGAGGTTGCAGTGAGCTGAGATAGTGCCATTGCACTCCAGCCTGGACAACAAGAGCAAAACTCCGTCTCAAAGAAAAAAAAAAAAGAAGCCGGGTGCGGTGGCTCACACCTGTAATCCCAGCATTTTGGGAGGCCAAGGTGGGCGGATCATGAGGTCAGGAGATGGAGACGGTGAAACTCCGTCTATACTGAAAAATACAAAAAATTAGCTGGGCGCAGTGGCAGGCGCCTGTAGTCCCAGCTACTTGGGAGGCTGAGGCAGGAGAATGGCGTGAACCCGGGAGGCGGAGCTTGCAGTGAGCCGAGATCACGCCACTGCACTCCAGCCTGGGTGACAGAGCGAGACTTTGTCTCAAAAAAACAAAACAAAAAAAAAAACAAAAAAAAATGAAGTTCACTTAAAATAAGTACTTTCATAGTATAAATTTTTAAGTGTTTACTTACGCTTTTAGGCCTTCTTCCTTATACATTTTGGGAGCTGCATCCCTCAAAGTGTTGGCATAACCTGGCTGGGTTTGAATTCGAACCTTAGCAGCTTCCATAGGAGCCAGGGCAATGTCAGCAAAGAATTCAGCACTGGCAGAGGCAGCCAAATATAGTGATGTGCGCCAGAGATAAGTATTCTCCTAAAATCCAAAACACAAGGAAGGGATGTGAATTGCTGTTGTGTTGGTTTTCAATTGAAGTGACAGTTCTAGAAAACAACTAAGCTTCAGACATTTTATAAAGTAACACACGATGATATGGAATATATATGTGGTCTCATAACCTCATTAACAAAACACGTAACTATGTGAACAACATGAATATTCAAAAAATATCTAGATGCCATGCCCCGGAACTACGCAAAGGAGTCCCAGAGCCCTTCTCTAAAAAACTCAAAATCCAACTTACTTAGAAAACAAGATAGTATATTAAAAGGAGAATTGTAATTTAATGAAATACATTTATCAACCTGTCTCTGCTGACACAGGCATACGATTTAAAACAAGTTGCTCACTTTGTAGGACCATTTTCTTCAGTGCTAAAATAAGGCAAGACAGACAAAAATCTAAGAACACTCGGAAAGTCTTAAACACTCGGAACATTCAATTTTAAAGTTAATTACATACCTCTCCAAGCATATTGCTATACAAGACTTTAAAGACTTCATAAAAGCCAAACTTGCAGAGTCCCTGCATGGAGTAGCCAAGGAAAGTCGGAGCCCATCCTTTAGCCAAACCACGAACACCATCCTCTTTAAGTGTAACTGAGAATCCGTTAAATATGCCCTTGTACTTTTGGGGGTCCACCTTTATTTAAAACAAGAAAAAAAAAATTAAATGCACCAAACAGCTAACATAAAAATTTAATCTCATGATTATTTTTGTTTGGGTTCCATAATAAATTTCAGCAACTACACAAAAGGTAACTACAGTAATTCCTGCCAGGCACGGTGGCTCACATCTGTAATCCCAGCACTTTGGGAGGCTGAGGCAGGTGGATTACCTGAGCTCAGGAGTTCAAGACCAGCCTGGGCAACACAGTGAAACCCCATCTCTACTAAAATACAAAAAATTGGACGGGCATGGTGGCGTGCACCTGTAATCCCAGCTACTCGGGAGGGTGAGGGTGAGACAGAACAATCGCTTGAGCCTGAGGGAGGGAGGTGGAGGTTGCAGTGAGCCACGATGGCACCACTACACTCCAGCCTGGGCAGCAGAGCAAGACTCCATCTCAAAAAAAAAAAAAGAAATACAGTAGCTCTCCCTTATCCAAGAGTTCATTTTCTGTGGCTTCAGTTATCCAAGGTCAACTGACATCTGAAAATATTAAGATATTTTGAGTGAGGAACTACATTCATATAACTTTTATTAGTTTATGCTTATCACTGTTTATTATTGTTCATTTGATTACTTTTATAAATAGAAACTGTTGTACATTAAGGTCTAGCTTTCTGTGTCAAACCTAAGTCTTGGAGTGATAGTTAAGAGGGTAAAATTTCAACAAAAGCTTTCTGTGTCAAACTTAAGTCTTGGAGTGATAGTTAAGAGGGTAAAATTTCAACAAAAATACGTAACAAAACTGATTCTTAACAGATTTCTTACCACCCAACTCCTACTACTTTTTTTGTGTTTTTTGTTTGTTTGTTTTTTGAGTCTTGCTCTGTAGCCCAGGATGGAGTGCCATGGTGTGATCTCAGCTCACTGCAACCTCCACCTCCCAGGTTCAAGCGATTCTCCTGCCTCAGCCTCCCGAGTAGCTGCGACTACAGGCACGCCACCATGCCCAGCTAATTTTTGTATTTTTAGCAGAGATGAGGTTTCACCATGTTGGCTAGATTGAGTTCTGATCTCGAACTCCTGACCTCAAGTGACCCACCTGCTTCGGCTACCCAAAATGCTGGCATTCCAGGTGTGGGCGACCATGCTTGGCCCACCTCCTACTTTTTAAAAGCTACTGTCTAGATAATAGATATAACTGTATTCCTAACATATGCTAGTTCTTTAAGTAGCTTATAGCATAAAGTTTTGTGAACACTAAACAAACTAAACACAAGTTAAAAAAAAAAAGCACATAAACTAAATTCACTTCAAGAGACATGCATAACACGTTTTAGCAAAGGTACATTTCATATCCATTACATTAACTAATGGGGGGGGAGGAAAAGCTTATCTATTTCTGCCAGTACTAGAAGGGATGGTATACATCACCTTCCTCTCCCTCCTAATATTTCAAATTCATTTCTCTTTTAGGTAAGTAGACTTCTAATCCAGTTTGGAACAAATAAATTTTCGATGTCTTGTTTTTGTTTCAATGATCTTAATTAAAATATATTCAAATTATTTTAAAATGTTGTGTAAATAAACAAGAGGCTAATCTGACAAAATTTTCATACTAAGATATTAAGAGCACTTTAAATAAATCTACATGTACTCTTTGCCTTGGTCTTATTAGTAGATAAAGGACATTGTTACTTCACATAATACACAGACTTGTTTACCCACTCCAACACATAGGTGCTTGTTAAATGACTATTTGGGGCACTAGTAAGCTTGAAGAACTCCGGCCAGAAGTGAAGAGCAGCAGCAAAGAGCCATTTACAGCCAGACTCTAAAAGTGAACAATTTACTCAAACAATAGAGGCATTTATTGGATTTAAAACACTAGTCAAAATAAAGCCCACAATTTAAAGAAATTCTATGTGGTTTCCTACTGAAGTTTCTAGCAGTTGTGATGTCTTCAAATTCTCATTTAAGATTTTATTTAGAGTTAAGTCACATGAGAGATACTTTCAATGTTGTCATCTCAATACAAACCTGCATACGGCATTTCACTAAATCCAGGGGAACCACAGCAGTGTGTGTCAGACCACAACTTAAGACCCCACCAAAGCCACACAGTGCATAATACTTCGCGGAGCCAAATTCACAACTGTACTCTGTAGTAAGAGAAGACACACCATGCATTTTAATATAAAACTCATGTTACTGGTCATAAACTTACCTCCTGGACAGTTAGGTTTCCACACAGCTTGTTAGATGACTATATCTTATAACTTAACAGTCAGTCATGCTTCAATATGCTCTAGTCCAGCATGCAAAACAAACCTGCATTCTGCATTTAACCAGATCTAGAGGAACCAATGCTGTATGTGTTGTGCCACAGCTAATAATTCCTCCAAGTCCACAAAGGATAAAGAATCTGCCAGATCCATAGTCACAGCTATACTGCTCTGTTTGATTGGAAAAAAAAAAATCAAGTAAGTATTTCTTCAGAGATGACTAAGGCCACTGGAATGAAAGAAAATGTTTCCCTGTGAGATACTATTATCACAGCTGAATAGCTTTGGCCACAATTAAGTGGCTTAAAAAAAAATTCACTGCCAAATTCAGATCATTTAAAAATTATGAGGGTTCTGTATCTGATACTATTAATAGCTCGTATTCTGCCATATTAATTTTTTTAAAAGTTTTCTACATTAACGGCTTTTACAATTAAAGTCAAACTTCAAATTATTAACCACTGGTAAGAGCACACTTCAGAGTACAAACGAAACTCAGAAAGATCACTCGACATGTAAAAGGCTTGCAAACAACTTCAAAGTTTATCCCAGCCACTAACCAATACTATCCCCACTTAAGAACTCCTGTAACATAAAAACGGATACGCACAAATTCCTGCAGTCAAATACATTTAATACACAAATAATGTTAGCTTTAACTTTTAAACTGAACGACAGATAGTGTAAATAAGGACTCTATCCATACTAAAGACAACAGAAGCACATGAATGATTTAAAGAAAAAAATCTTTCGATTTTACAGGCACAAGGTAGATAACATTCTTAGGACTCCTACAATTCGGTTTTCAGGTTTCTCTGTATGTACATACTTCACTAGGATTTAAAACACACACAACTAAGTTAAAGCTGGGCCCAACCACCAAGAATCCCAAGAGATAATCACACCAAAGGGACGCCCACCAATTATCTCCTTTCTATTGCCTATGTAGGGCTGCAAGCTGCCTCCTCCAGTCGCACGAAAACAGGACATCTAGTTATCTCATATACAATTAAGTGCAAAAATGACTGACCTGGCGTCGACAAATATAAAACTTAGGAAAGGACTATTTTTAAGAAAACTAAGGGCAAATCAAAGGACAGGTAATATAGTTAGTAGAACTGTGGGTGGTCAGTAGTTTCGGGAGGAGAGTTTACCCAGTACTTAGTTTGCTGACCAAGCGAGCTCACGGCGGAGAAAGAGCTAGTCACGGCCTCTCTTCCCTCGGGCACACGGAGGTCACGAAGGGACACAGGGCCTCAGCGCTTCCACGCCCTTGAGGGAAGGCCAAGGATCTGACACCCGCCTATGGTGGAAAAGGCCGATACCCCAGGGCAAGCAACTGGGCGCCGTCCTACGGTGCAGCGGGCTGGACTCGTCCTTCCCTGTCCTCCAAGCCGGGTCCAGGCCTCAAAGGCTGGGCGGCCCACAAGTAGACCACACGACTGTATTGGGCAGGGTCTGATCTCACCTTCCACGGCGGCGGCTGCCAGGTTGCGAGGGCGGCGGGGCTGGCCCGTGGGCCCTGGGGAGCTGCTGCGGAGGTCCCCGAGACCATCGTGCACCAGCTGCAGATGTGGCGTGTTGAAGGGGTTCGCCCGCGCCAGGTGCGCCACGGACGAGAACATCTTTCTAGGGGAGGAGGGAGCGACGGTTAGAGGACAGGCAAGGCGCCGGTTAACGTTACCGGCGCCCTGGAACCCCAACCGGGGCCTTTTCCTTCCCGTCTCCACGCCCTTGAAGAGGTCACGGCGGCCTTCGAAAGAGGCTGCTCCCGGCTGGGCCCACCGCCAAAGCAGCGGCCCCACAGGAGCTCTGGGCTCCGCTCCCCACACCCGCCACAGGAGAAGGCCCGGCCACACTCACTCCCTAAGATGGCGATCACACAACCACTCCCTTGGAAAGGTTGCGGCTCACAGAGGCCGGACGTCCTCCGGGTCCTAAGATGTGTGCCCTTCGCGCGTCGTCGGCGTGACGCACACAGCGCGCCACTGCAAGTACGCGTCGCCCATTGGTGGAGAAGAGCGCCGAGCCCGTAGCGTCATCGCGTTCTCCTAGCAACCTTATTCCCGCCCCTGCCCGCCCCAGCTCTTCCGCCCGGCTTGTGCGCGGGAGGATTCGTTCTGCGCAGGCGCGCGTTCCGGGTCTATATTTTTTGAGAGGGGTCGGGCTCGAGCTCTTACCCTGCTCGCTTTGTCCCTTCACCTTCAGGTGTCTCTCCTTGACCACGGGCTTCAGTTCGCTTCACTTAAGTGAATCACAGTATCTAGTAGTCACTTAAAAAACAAAACAAAACGCGAATGCTTGATAATATATTTAGGTGTTGGAGTTACAACATCACTGCAGTACTTTGTGTCACAACTTCTGCCATTACAGTACTTTTTAAAATAAGTTCCATCCATTGACATTAAACATAGGTATGTCTGTATTTTTCATCAGACTCCTGGAGAATATTTTAAAAAGAAATGTGCAGCAAGAAGTCTTACGACAGCTTGCCGCGTTATCACAGTAATCTACAGAACACGTTGAAACATTGAACTCCTGAGATGTTACAGCGATGAACTACTGAAAGTGACTGATAGCAGATTGTGCGTGTGTGTGGTTAATACATTTAGGAAGCTTTCATTAGATTCAGCTCAACAGGGAGGGGCGTAGTTTAGTTGGGGAGAGTTTAATAGGGATTCAACCTGTTAGACTTCTGACTCTTATATTTTCCAAGCTCTTGACAAAGTAACCTTGGGAATTTACTTCATCTCTGTGTACCTGTTCCCTAGATGTAAGATAGGGGTGGGACTGGCCTCATAGGTTCACACTGGTACAGTCACACATGGCCTTACACTTCATTTAATGCTCTGCTGTCATTTTGATTTTTTTTTTTTTTCTTTTGAGATGGAGTCTTGCTCTGTCGCCCAGGCTGGAGTGCAGTGGGGCGATCTCAGCTCACCGCAACCTCCGCCTCCCGGGTTCAAGCGATTCTCCTGTCTCAGCCCCCGGAGTAGCTGGGACTACAGGCGTGCACAACCACGCCCGGCTAAGTTTTCTATTTTTAGTAGAGACAGAGTTTCGTCACGTTGGCCAGTCTGGTCTCGAACTCCTGAGCTCAGGTGATCCGCCCACCTCGGCCTCCCAATGTGCTGGGATTACAGGCCTGAGCCACCATGCCCGGCTTGAAATTCTTAATACATGTATGAACAAGGGGCCACGCTTTTTTTAGTTTGCACTGGACCCTGCAAATCAGGTGTCTGGTTCTGGATGGGAGTAATACTTACCTTGCAGAGTCTATGAGAACTCAATGAGATAATGTCTAAAAGTCTACAGAAGATGTTACCTAAAAAAAGTTAGCATTGGCCGGGCGAGGTGGCTCACGCCTGTAATCCCAGCACTTTGGGAGGCCGAGGCGGGCAGATCACGGGGTCAGGAGATCGAGACCATCCTGGCTAACACGGTGAAACCCCGTCTCTACTAAAAATACAAAAAATTAGCCGGGCGAGGTGGCGGGCGCCTGTAGTCCCAGCTACTGAGGAGACTGAGGCAGGAGAATGGCGTGAACCCAGGAGGCAGAGCTTGCAGTGAGCCGAGATCATGCCACTGCACTCCAGCCTGGGCGACAGAGCAAGACTCCGTCTCAAAAAAAAAAAAAAACAAAAAAACAAAAGTTAGCATTGAGGCTGCGGCATCACGGCACTCTCTAAGCAACCCTATCCCAGACCCAGCCCTTCTGGCCCAACTAAAGTCCTACAGTCCCAGGAAGAATTCCAGAGTGGAGGGCACAGGAAGGGAAGTAGTGACAGATAAAGTTAAAAAAGTACACTAGCACCTGATTGTCCAGGGCCTCACATACCAGACTGAGGAGTCTGATCTTATGTAGACAGAGGTAGTCACTGAAGGGTCTGGACTTTCTCTCTCTCTTTTTTGGTTAATTCAACTTTATGGTGCTTTTCTAATTTAAAAATCCTTTGTCATGAAAAAGTCAAATATTATGTAAAAATATATGACTGTAGTGAATCTTCCTATTCCCTTCCCCCAGCACCGGGTAATACCGTGACCCTTTGCTGCACATTTTTTCAGCTGGAACAGCTGGTACCCTTCACCATGGGGCTGCACATGCTCGTGGCCCAGAACTCACAGAAGTTGATCTAGAAGATACAGTGGTAACTGAAGGAGCTGCAGGCCCAGCTCCTACCCCATGTGGGAGCTGGTGACCTTCAGAATGTAATGACTGTTGCTCCACTTCTGCCTTCCAAACTGCACACATTTCTCTTATAGCTAGCCCTAACCCAAAACTATGCAGGGAAAGGAATCTAGGAAATGTGGTTCTAGCCTAGCTAAGTTGACATGGTAAAAAAAACACCACTGGGCTTTGCAGGCACCGCTGCTGCCAGGAGCCCTGTGCTATCAGCCATGGTCAACCCCACCGTGTTCTTTGACACGGAGCCCTTGGGCCGCATCTCCTTTGAGCTGTTTGCAGACAAGTTTCCAAAGACAGCAGGAAACTTTCATGCTCTGAGCACTGGAGAGAAAGGATTTGGCTATAAGGGTTCCTGCTTTCACAGAATTGTTCCAGGGTTTATGTGTCAGGGTGGAGACTTCACATGCCATGATGGCACTGGTGGCAAGTCCATCTACAGGGAGAAATTTGATGACAAGAACTTCATCCGGAAGCATACAGTTTCTGGCATCTTGTCCATGGCAAATGCTGGACCCAACGCAAACAGTTCCCAGTTTTTCATCTGTGCTGCCAAGACTGAGTGGTTGGATGGCAAGCATGTGGTCTTCAGCAAGGTGAAAGAAGGCATGAATATTGTGGAGACCATGGAGTGCTTTGGGTCCAGGAATGGCAAGACCAGTAAGAAGATCACCATTGCTGACTGTGGGCAACTCTAATAAGTTTGACTTGTGTTTTATCTTAACCACCAGACCATTCCTTCTGTAGCTCAGGAGAGCACCCTCCACCCCATTTGCTCGCAGTATCCTAGAATCTTTGTGCTCTCACTGCAGTTCCCTTTGGGTTCTATGTTTTCCTTGTTCCTTTCCATGCCTAGCTAGATTGCAGAGTTAAGTTTATGATTATGAAATAAAAACTAATTAACAACAGCAACAAAAAAAGTACCAGAGTCTATCGGTTGTCAACATGGCATCAATGAACACCTCTTGTAATCATATTTAACTTCCAGACAAAAACTAAAGAGCAAAATCAGACTTCTACCTAACATGAAGCAGCTGTCCCTTGGACAATTGTGAACAAGCTAATTCTACCCAAAAGAGGATACAAAATCCTTTTATCCGTCTTTAGGTGATGTTATTGCAGCAGGTATGGACTAAGACAAGGGGGTTGGCCTCCTTAACATTCAAGAGGCTCTCGGCCTCCAACCTGACACAAGTAGGGAAATTGCCTGAAGGACCATAACTCTCCACTGTGGAGATTCAAATCTGCCTCCCGGGTTCAAGCAATTCTCCTGCCTCAGCCTCCGGAGTAGCTGGGATTACAGGCACGCGCCACCATGCCCGGCTAATTTTGTATTTTTAGTAGAGATGGGGTTTCTCCATGTTGGTCAGTCTGGTCTCGAACTCCCAACCTCAGGTGATCCACCTGCCTCGGCCTCCCAAAGTGGACAGTAGGTTTTAAGAAGAATCAGCAGATCCCGCCAGGCAACCACCTCAGGTGAGGCCATTACAGATTTCACAGGGACGAGGAACATAACCTCCTCAGACAGGAGAGGAAGGGCTTCTTTGACTGACAAGGAGGCTCAACAGAATTTAGGGGTTCTGGCTGGGCATGGTGGCTCACGCCTATAATCCCAGAACTTTGGGAAGCCGAGGTAGGTGGATCTCTTGAGTCCAGGAGTTAAAAACCAGCCTGGACAACATGGTGAAACCCTGTCTCTTAAAAAAAAAAAAAAAAAAAAGCCAGGCATAGTGGCATGCCCCTGCAGTCCCAGCTACGCAAGAGGCTGAGGAGGGAGGATCACTTGAGCCTGGGAAGCAGAGGTAGCAGTGAGCCGAGATCGCGCCATTGTACTCCAGCCTAAGCAACAGTTAGAGATCTTGTCTCAAAAAAGAAAAAAAAAAAGAATATGGGGGTTCATGGTCCTAGTGGAATCATAATCTGCCCAGGTGTCACTATTCCAAAATTTTGGGTCTCAAAACATTGCCCTAACTTTAAACACTATGAGATTGGGAATTCAATTTGCATTGTAATTCAGAATTAGATTTTGAGTTTGATTTTTAGAAAGTACAGTCTTGCAGATACAGCAAAGCAGTCAAGGCGACCAGGTGCGGTGGCTCATGCCTGTAATCTCAGCACTTTGGGAGGCCAAGGTGGACGATCACAAGGTCAGGAGTTCAAGACCAGCCTGGCCAAGACGGTGAAACCCTGTCTCTACTAAAAATACAAAAATTAGCTGGGCGTGGTGGCGCGCGGCTGTGGTACCAGCTACTCAGGAGGCTGAGGCAGGAGAATCGCTTGAAGCCAGGAGGCTGGCAGAGGTTGCAGTGAGCCGAGATCACACTATCACACTCCAGCCTGGGCAACAGAGCGAGACTCCATCTCAAAAAACAAACAAAGCAGTCAAGGCTTTCTGGTCCTTTATCTGATGTTGAACTGAGAAGTTAAAGCCCTAAGTTATCATTTTCTTTCCCCCAGTTATCCAACATAATTAGAAGAAGCAAACCAATCCAAAGCATCTGCTTGGTCAACCCAACACCTTGCTTTCTTTTTTTTATTTTTATTTCTTTTTTGAGATGGAGTCTCGCACTGTCGCCCAGGCTGGAGTGCAGTAGCACGATCTTGGCTCACTGCAAGCTCCACCTCACAGGTTCACGCCATTCTCCTGCCTTGGCCTCCCGAGTAGCTGGGACTACAGGCGCCCATCACAATGCCCGGCTGATTTTTTTTGTATTTTTAGTAGATACAGGGTTTCACCATGTTAGCCAGGATGGTCTCGATCTCCTGACCGCGTGATCCGCCCGCCTCAGCCTCCCAGAGTGCTGGGATTACAGGCGTGAGCCACTGCGCCAGGCCAGCCTTGCCTTCTTTAGGCACTTGATTACAGGTAATAATTTAGGGCATTGTTTTTGCTAATGCATGCCATAGACAACAGTGTTGCCTTTCTCACTGACTAAAGCTTGTATGATTACCTTCCTGTATTTGCAAGGCTGTACTTTCTGAAAGCCAAACTCAACATCTAACTGAGTTACAATGCAAAATGAATTTCCAATCTCATAGGGTCTCCTGTTAAAGTTGGGGCATTTTTTGGAGTGAAGGTAAAATCCCAAATTTTGGAAAAAGGACACATGGGCAAATTATGATGACATCAGGATCATGAATCCCTAAATTCTGTTGAGAATTTTTTGCCAGTAAAAACAGCCCTTCTTTCTTTTATGTATGTTTTATTTTTTGAGACGGAGTCTTGCTCTCTCGCCCAGGCTGGAGTGCAGTGGCATGATCTCAGCTCAGTGCAACCTCTGCCTCCCAGGTTCAAGCGATTCTCCTGCCTCAGCCTCTAGAGTAGCTGGAATTACAGGTGCGCGCCAACACGCCCAGCTAATTTTTGTAGAGACGAAGTTTTGCCGTGTAGGCCAGGCTGGTCTCAAACAGACTCCTGGCCTTTAGTGATCCGCCCACCTTGGCCTCCCCAAGTGCTGGGGTTACAGGCGTGAGCCACCACACCCGGCCAGCCCTTCCTTCTTTGACTGGGGAGGTTAGTCTCTGCTTTGTTAAACCTTTAATGGCCTCCCCTTAGGTAGTTGTCTTGCAAGGTGTTTAAATATAATCAGATCAGAGAACCAATCCAGACAACGGAGAACAAATTCAGGGAACCCATTCTTAAAGCTTTGTTCTCCTGGAATTGTTTCCAATACCATTGTCTGTTTCAGCGTTTGACCAGAGAAGTATGAGCAGTATAAGTCATGTGGAATAAGAGATTTTTTTTTTTTTTTAGGGGTTAAGTCTCATGAAATTGTGAGCATGGGAAAAGGTCTATGAAGGAGTCTAACATCTCTGTGTCTGGTATTGGTCTTGAAATTTCTGTAAATCAGTACTGCTTACCATTAGGCAGAAAAGCTAGAGTGAACATGGGCAGGAACAAACTGGAGCCCACAAAGAGAATCTGGATCCCATGGGGATAAACTAGACTGAGCATCTGTCTCTTATCACTTACACCTCAATGAGGCAGGTGCCTGCAGTAGCCTGGTGCAGGTGCTTATAGGAGCCATGCGCTGCACCTGCGTCTCACCCAGACTTGCAGAAACAAGAATATTCAGTAGGAACTGCAAGAGCTCTAGACTTAGCTACTCCTCGCACCAGGGTGAGCCAGCAGATGAGCAGCAATGTGCGTGAGATGTGCCTAGTGTCCTAGACTGACCTTCAGACTGTAATGGCTGCTGCTTCACTTCTGCCTTTCCTATCTTCACAGATTTCCCTTGTGGCTAATCCTAACCAAGAATCATATTTGAGAGATAAAGTCAAGGTTGTTAGAATTTGAGATGTTAGGACATTCAAGTGGAACTTTGCCAACAGACGTGTAAACTTAGAGCTAGAGGTCAAGGATGCACTTGTAGATTTTTTTTTTTTTTCAGACGGAGTTTCTACCCTTGTTGCCCAGGCTGGAGTGCAATGGTGCAATCTCGGCTCACTGCAACCTCTGCCTCCTGGGTTCAAGTGATTCTCCTCTCTCAGCCTCCCGAGTAGCTGGAATTACAGGCATGCACCACCACGCTCGGCTAATTTTTGTATTTTTAGTAGAGACAGGGTTTCACCATATTGGCCAGGCTGGTCTCGAACTCCTGACCTCAGGTGATCCACCCACCTCCACCTCCCAAAGTGCTGGAATTACAAGCATGAGCCACTGCGCTCGGCCACACTTGTAGATATAAGGATCATTTCTAACATGGAGAATAACAAGAAAATCCTTAAATAATTCCTGGTATAGCTCTAGTAAATTATGCAAGGTAGACCAAAGCCCCTCATGATAACCCTTTTCATATCTACCCTGAGAGAAAAAATGAGTAATATCCACTAACACCTTGGTTATTGTCTTTTTTGATTAGGAATCTTGGTGTTTTTTTTTTTTTTTTTTTTTTTTGAGACTGAGTCTCGCTCTGTCACCCAGGCTGGAGTGCAATGGGGTAATCTCAGCTCACTGCAACCTCTACCTCCTAGGTTCAAGGGATTCTCCTGCCTCAGCCTCCCAAGTAGCTGGGATTACAAGCGTGGGCTACCACACCCAGCTAATTTTTTGTATTTCTAGTAGAGATGGGGTTTCACCATGTTGGCTAGGCTGCTCTCGAACTCCTGAGCTCAAGTGATCCACCCTCCTCGGCCTCCAAAAGTGCTGGGATTACAGTCATGAGAGACCGTGTTCGGCCTGTTTTTTGTTTGTTTGTTTGTTTGTTTTTTGAGATGGAATTTTGCTCTTTCGCTGAGGCTGGAGTGAAGTGGCACGATCTTGGCTCACTGCAACCTCCGCCCCCAGGTTCAAGCGATTCTCCTGCCTCAGCCTCCCGAGTAGCTGGGATCATAGGCATGTGCCAACATGCCCGGCTAATTTTGTATTTTTAGTAGAGACAGGGTTTAGCCATGTTGGCCAGGCTGGTCTTGAACTCCTTACCTCAGGTGATCTGCCTGCCTTGGCCTCCCAAAATGCTGGGATTACAGGCGTCAGCCACTGAGCCCAGCCTTTTTTTTTTTTTTTTTTTCTTTTTAATGGGGCCATAATTTCCATTCTGGACAGTGTTAGAAAGACAAAATGCCCCTATCCTTTTTTTGAAGGGTATCCTAAGTTCAGCCTTGAGAGCAGACCCAGCTCTGGGGCTGAGGTTCAGACTCTTGAATTCATCCATGTTTGTGCAAGGGGTTGAAAGCAATGAAGTTATTCTTGCATATTCAGGGACATTGTATTTTTTATTTATTTTATTTTGTTTTGTTTTGAGATGGAGTTTCACTCCTTTTGTCCAGGCTGGAGTGCAGTGGCATGATCTCGGCTCACTGCAACCTCTGCCTCCCGAGTTCAAGCGATTTTCCTGCCTCAACCTCCTGAGTAGCTGGGATTACAGGCACCCACCACCATGGCTGGCTAATTTTTTGTATTTTTAGTAGAGATGGGGTTTTGCCATGTTGGCCAGGTTGGTCTTGAACTCCTGACCTCAGGTGATCCACCCAGCTCAGCTTCCTAAAGTGCTGGATTACAGGCATGAGCCACAGCACCCAGCGGACATTGTATTTTATAGGAAATAATAGGCATGTGAATTCTTTTGCCCAGTTTCTTCCTTCTTAATATCTTGAAATCTTCTTTCTGCCATTGCAGTCATAGAATAGTGTTTGTCCGCTAGTGGGGAAGCATCTCTAGATATGGCAGACCCTAAAATAGTCCCTACAGAAGGTATATGCATATGTGGCAACTTTAGTCACTCAGTGATTATAATCCATAAGGTTAAGAGAGCTTTTGAGTGAGGCATGGCCATCACAAGTGAAGGTTCCCAAATCTGATTTCTCATTAAAGCGCCTGCCAAGACACAGATGGTTTTAGGCTTCAAAAGATTCTGTTTTACTAAGGCTGATGAAGTGTCCTGGAATCTGCCATTTTTAAAAGATCCCCAGGCAAAGCTGGACGTGGTGGCTCATGCCTGTAATTCCAGCTCTTTGGGAGGCTGAGGCAGGTGGATCACCTGAGGTCAAGAGTTCAAGACCAGCCTGGCCAACATGGTGAAATCCTGTCTTTACTAAAAATACAAAAATTAGCTAGGCACGGTGGTGTGTGCCTGTAATCCCAGCTACTTGGGAGGCTGAGGCGAAGAATCACTTGAACCTGGGAGGCGGAGGTTGTAGTGAGCTGAGATCACATCATTGCACTCCAGCCTTGGCCACAAGAGCAAGACTCCATACTCCATTTCAGAAAAATAAAAATAAAAAAAAAAAGATCCCCAGGCAAAAGATCACAGATCTTATAATCAACCATGTTTTGAGACCAATGATCTAAGGAATTCCAAGATCAGCATGAGTGACATAGCATGTGGAACGAGTTTGAGAGGGGTGTCTCTCCTGTAAAACGAGACAGCAGTTTAAATTACCCAGTTTGCCATAAATATAAAAAGTGCTCAGTTTAAAAAAAAGAAAAAAGAAATCGGCCGGGTGCGGTGGCTCATGCCTATAATCCCAGCACTTTGTAAGGCCAAGACTGGTGGATCACTTGAGGTCAGGAGCTTGAGACCAGCCTGGCCAACATGGTGAAACCCCGTCTCTACCAAAAAAAATATGAAAAAAAATTAATCAGGCATGGTGGTGCGCGTTTGTGGTCCCAGCTACTTGGGAGGCTGAGGAAGAAGAATCACTTGAGTCCGGGAGGTGGAGGTTGCAGTGAGCTGAGATCTTACTACTGTACTCCTGCCCGTGCAACAGTGAGACTCCATCTCAAAAAAAAAAAAAAGAAAGAAAGAAAAAGAAATATCTGGCCGGATGCAGTGGCTCATGCCTGTAACCCCAGCACTTTGGGAGGCCAAGGTGGGTGGATCATCTGAGGTCAGGAGTTCAAGAGCAGCCTGGTCAACATGGTGAAACGCTGTCTCTACTAAAAATACAAAAATTAGCCGGGTATGGTGGCAGGTGCCTGTAATCCAAGCTACTCACAATGCTGAGGCAGGAGAATTGCTTGAGCCTGGGAAGCGGAGGTTACAGTGAGCCAAGACCATGCCACTGTACTCCAGCCTGGGCAACAAGAGCGAAACTCAGTCTAAAAAAAAGAAAAGAAAAAGAAAAGAAATATCATTGAAAAAAGTAAATCAGAAACGAGGCAAGGTAATGCCACATATCTTGAAAAATTTGGTGATGGCCAGGCGCAGTGACTCATACCTGTAATCCCAGCATGTTAGGAGGCTGAGGTGGGCAGATCACGAGGTCAGGAGATCAAGACCATCCTGGCTAACACGGTGAAGCACTGTCTCTACTAAAAATACAAAAAATTAGCCAGGCGTGGTGGCATGCGCCTGTAGTCCCAGCTACTTGGGAGGCTGAGGCAGGAGAATTGCTTGAACTCAGGAGGTGGAGGTTGCAGTAAGCTAAGATAGCACCACTGCACTATCAGAGTGAGATTCTGTCTCAAAAAAAAAAAAAGTTTTTTTTGTTGAAAGATTTGGGAGTTTGCTTTATGACAGTGGTTCCAGGGTAATTGGAAAAGAAGTTAGAGACGTGTTTTGACTGTTAAGATGTTTAATGTAGCATGATTATTAAAATATGTAAATATGTCTAGGAAAAATAGAAGCAAGACAGTCTTTAGATTTCAATAATTAAAAACCCAATGTATTAGCCAGGTTAACCTGGGCTATCTATTTAAAATTACTTAATATTTACTGAACATCTAGTTGAGAGTACTGTGAATATTTTCAAAGTTCTCTTTGACCTCTCTTTTTTTACATTCTCTTCCCAGTAATCTCCTTTACTCCCATAGGATCAGCTTTCATCCTTAATGGGAAAATTCTCAATCTTTTATTTTTCATATTTTAGGGTTTCATTTATTTATTTATTTATTTTTATTGACGTAGAGTCTCACTCTGTCATCCAGGCTGGAGTAGAGTGGCACGATCTCGGCTCACCACAACCTCCGCCTCCTCCACCTCCCCGGGTTCAAATGATTCTCCCGCCTCAGCCTCCCGAATAGCTGGGGTTACAGGCATCCACCACCACACCTGGCTAGAAGTAATTTCAATGCTATGGAAAAGATGCAGGAATAGTAAAAAGAATTTCTGTAACCCTTCACCCAGCTTCCCTGATGTTAACATTTTACTATATTTGCTTTATCATTCTGTCTCTCTCTGTCTTTCCCTCTCTCTCTTCTCTCTTTCTATCTTCATCTATATACATATTTATAATAAATATATACACATATATATACACACATAGAGATACATGTATATACCCATATATAGATATACAGATTGTACACATATAAAAATGTATACCTACACACATACACACACATATACATATTTTTCCTGAATCATTTGAGAGTTAAGTTAAATACATGGTGCGGCATAACCCTTAAATACTTTCCTAAAGGACCAAGCACAACCATCAGCATCAAGATTAACATGGATATAATGCTACCAAATCCTCCAAATTTCCTAATAATGTCCTTTATGGCAAAAACAAATCAAAACAAGACAAAATTACTTCTTATTTTAGTCTATTATCGAGCAACACACGTAGTATTGATTTTCATGTCCCTTTACCCTTCTTCAGTCTGAAGCAGTTCTTCTAATCTTTCTTTGCGACTCATGACCTTGGCATTTTTGAAGAGTACGGGACATTTATTTGGGAGAGTGTTACTCACTTTGGGTTTCTCTGATGTTTTCCCACGATCAGATTTAGGTTATGCATTAGGCAAGAATGTCATAGAAGGGATGCTTTGTTCTTCTTGGCATATCATGTCAAGAAGTACATGATACTGATTTGTTCTATTACTGGTGAGGTGAACATTGATCATTTGATCAAGGGGTTGGCGGCCAGGTTTCTTCATTGTAAAGTTACTATTTTTCTGTGTTATTTATAAGTAGTTTATGGGGAGATACTGTGAGACCATGTAAGTATTCTGTTCAGCACACTTTCACCCACTAATTTTTATATCCATCAATGATTCTTGCCTGAATCAGCTAGTACTGTGATGATTGCCAGGTGGTAATTTTTTAACTCCATCAGTCCTTCTACATTTAGAAGTTGGTATTCCACTGTAAGGAAGTGACTTTCTTTCTCTACATTTATTTAGTTCATTTTTCATTTAGTTTTATAAGTATTGATTAATGAATCTTAATTTAATTCAAGTGTTATAATCGAACACTAACATTATTTACTTTGATGCTCATATTGTTTCATATTTGGCCAGTGGGTACCCCTTTAATCTGATCCTTTATTCTTTTGACAAATCTTTTTTTTTTTTTAGGAGACAGAATCTTGCTCTGTTGCTCAGGCTGAGTGCAGTGGTGTGATCATAGCTCACTATAGCAGCCTTGAACTCCTGGGCTCAAGCAATCCTCCTGCCCTGGCCTCCCAAACCACTGGGATTACAGGCGTGAGCTGTTGCATCTGGCCCTCATCACTTTTTAATCACTTCCTCACTTCCTGGCACAGCAAGATGTTCCTAGCTAAGCTTATACTTTTTTCTACTCCCCTCAGCCTTGGAATCAGCCATTTCTCCAAAGTGCTCTTGTCTCTTTTAGAGGAGAACAGCATCTATAAACCAAGATCTGGGAGCAAAATATGCTCATTGCTTTTGCAAAGCTGTTGCCTCTAGGCTCTTTCAGGGGATATATATATATACATACACATATACATAATGCATGTACAGTTGTCCCTCGTATCAGTGGGGGATTGGTTCCAGGACTGCCCCCCACCACTCTCCTGCCCCACAGATACCAAAATTTGCATATGCTCAAGAAGAGCCTTACATAAAATGGTATAGCATTTGCATATAACTTACACACATCCTCTGGTATATTTTAATCATCTCTAGATCACTTATAATACGCACTATGATGTAAATGCTATGTAAATAGTTGTTATACTGTATTTTTTATTTGTTTTTTTTATTGTTGTATTGTTATTTTTTATTCCTAATATGTTTGATCTGTAGCTGGCTGAGCCCATGGATTCAGAACCCATGGACATGGAGGGCCAACTGTATAACGTACACATCTATATCTATCTATCTATCTATCTATCTATCTATCTATCTATCTATCTATCTATCTGTCATCTATTTCTCTATCATCTCTATCTACCATCCATCTCTCTATATCTATCATCTATCTCTGTCATCCATTTTTTTTGTTTTTTTTGTTTTTTTTTTGAGACGAAGTTTTGCTCTTGTTCCCTAGACTGGAGGGCAATGGCACAATCTCCGCTCACCGCAACCTCTGCCTCCCCGGTTCAAGCGATTCTCCAGCCTCAGCCTCCCCAGTAGCTGGGATTATAGGCATGTGCCAACATGCCCAGCTAATTTTGTATTTTAGTAGAGACAGGGTTTCTCCATGTTGGTCAGGCTGGTCTCAAACTCCTGACCTCAGGTGATCTGCCTGCCTTGGCCTCCCAAAGTGCTGAGATTAGAGGCGTAAGCCACCATGCCTGGCCAATTTCTTTTTTTTTTTTTTTCTTTTGAGACGGAGTCTTGCTCTTGTCGCCCAGGCTGGAGTGCAATGTGGCACAATCTCGGCTCACTGCAACCTCCACCTCCTGGGTTCAAGCGATTCTCTTGCCCCAGCATTCCAAGTAGCTAGGATTACAGGCACCTGCCACTACGCCCGGCTAGATTTTTGTATTTTAGTAAAGACGAGGTTTCACCATGTTGGCCAGGCTGGTCTCTAACTCCTGACCTCAGGTGATCCGCCCACCTCGGCCTCTCAATGTGCTGGGATTACAGGTGTGAGCAACCACGCCCAGCCTCATCCATTTATTTCTGTCTATGCATCTCTGTCTATCATGCCTATCTATCTATCTATCTATCTATCTATCTATCTATCTATCTATCATCTATCTCTGTCATCCATTGATCTATATCTCTGCCATCCACTTATCTCTATCCATCTCTATCATTCATCTCCATCTATCTGATCTATCTCTATCATCCATCAATCTATATCTATCTTTGTCTGTCATCCATTTATCTCTATCCATCTTTATCCTATCATCTATCTATCTATCTATCTATCTATCTATCTATGTCTATCATCTAACTTTTCTTTTAAAAACCATGAGTTCTGAATGGGCACAGTGGCTCACGTCTGTAATCCCAACACTTTGGGAGCCCGAGGCAGGGGGATTGCTTGAGGTCAGGAGCTCGAGACCAGCCTGGCCAACATGGTGAAACCCTGACTCTACCAAGAATAGAAAAATTAGCTGGGTGTGGTGGTCACGCCTGTAATCCCAGCTTCTCGGGAGGCTGAGACAGCAGAATCGCTTGAACCCTGGAGGCAGATGTTGCAGTGAGCAGAGATCATGCCATTGCACTCCAGCCTGAGTGACAGAGTGAGACTCTAAGAAAAAAACAAAACAAAACAAAAAACCACATGAGTTCACACTGATATCTCCAATTTCAAATCTTCAAATCACAACACCACAGGGTTCATTCCAGTCTATTTTTCTTTCCACATTTGTAACCCCCTTCTCTGACAGAGATAATAAACCTGGCTTTCATTATCTTCAATACGTTTACTTACTTATTACCCCCGTATGTAACCAACTTCCTAACCCTGCTGGGTGCCTCCTTGGTACCAACCTTACAGGTCTCACTGGCCGTGCCCTGCCTGAAGAGAAGAAAATAATTATAATAATAGTAATAATAATGTTTTTTAAAGACAAGAAAAAGGAATAAGAGGGAAGAGAAAGAGGAATGGTAAGTCGATATGGCTATCTTGAATGAACGAATTAACCTAAAATCTTAACAATATAACACAATAAATAATGCAATAACATTTCTTGCTCCTGTAAGGTTTGGTGCTGATCAGGTGGTTTTCCAGAGAACTCTCCCTGAAGCGGTGACTCAGGGATTCAAGCTGCTTTCATTTTATGGTTCTGCCACCTCTACATGACCTCTACAGGTTCAGCTAAAGGGGAAGAGGTGGAACAAGAAGGCACATCTGCACTCAACTGCCTCAGAGTAAAAGTGACACATCACTTCCATTTATGTTCTTTTGGCAAGAATTAATCCTGTGACACCACCCAGGTACACAGGACTGAGAAAATATGGAGGAGCACATGGATTTTCAGATAGTACTAACAGTCTCCTCCACACTCAATAGATACATTGGAATGGATTTTGAATCTAGATAACATAAGCTATGTGTAGCTTCCTGGTGGACATTCTTAGAAGGTAACAATGAGGTTCACCAGGAAACAATGAGCAAAACTATTATATCCAACTTTTAGTTATAAGGTAGTGAAATGCAACAGTCATCCATAAAATATGATTTTGGTTTTGGATTAGTTGAGTTAAAGCCATTTTTTCTAGCAGTAGTTAGCAGGATCATGTCTATCACAGCCACACCTAGTCCAAAGGCTAGCATGTTTTTTCCTGGTGGCCGTAGTAAGTATCTGGATGTAATCATTCAGAGTTCATTCAGAAACTACAGTATAAAATACAGCCCTGTGCTTCCTCCTCTAATTATAATTGTTTTTAAATTTTCAAATAATTTCAAACTTACAGAAAAGATGTAAGAATAGTACAAATAACTCATATATACTTCATCCAGATTTACCAGTTTTTAATATTTCGTCACAACTGCTTTAATAGTTTTTTTTCCCATCTATCTCTATGTCTGGCTATCTATTTATCTATCTACCTACTTACCTATTATCCCTCCACCCATCCACCTACCCATATAATTTGAACCATTTGAGAGTAAACTGCAGAGTATACTGTTTAGCCCCTAAATACTTCAGGTACATTTCTTTTTTTTGTGGGGGAGGGGGATGGGGAGAGTCTTGCTCTGACACTCCGGCTTAGAGTGCAGTGGCACGATCCCAGCTCACTGCAACCCCCACCTCCGAGGTTCAAGTGATTCTCGTGCCTCAGCCTCCTGAGTAGCTGGGACTATAGGCATGTGCCACCACACCTGGCTAGTTTTTGTATTTTTAGTAGAGATGGGGTTTTGCCATGTTGGTCAGGCTGATCTCAAACTCCTGGCCTCAAGTGATCTGTCCGCCTCAGCCTCCCAAAGTTCCGGGATTACAGGTGTGAGCCACCGCACCCGGCCTCAGAGTGCATTTCTTAGGGACAAGGATATTCTCTTACATAAGCAGAGTATAATTATCAAAATCAGGAAATTTAATACTAATAATCTAACCTATAATCTACATTCAAAATTTGCTAATTGTCCCAACAATGTCCTTTATTTACAACAATGCCTTTTTTTCTGGTCCGTATCTAATCGTGGATGACACATTGCATTTAGTACACATGCCTCTTTAGCTCCCTTTGCTAAAACTGGACTGCGGTGGCAGCACCATCTCAGCTCACTGCCACCTCTGTTTCCCTGGCTCAAGCAGTCCTACAATCTCAGCCTCCCAAGTAGCTGGGATTACAGGTATGAGCCACCATGCCTGGCTAATTTTTGTATTTTTAGCGGAGATGAAGTTTCACCATGTTGGCCAGGCTGGTCTCAAACTCCTGAGCTCAAAGTGACCCACCAGCATGGGCCTCCCAAAGTGCTAGGATTACAGGCGTGAGCTATGGCACTTGGCCTTATTTATTTATTTATTTTTGCTCACTGTCACCCCTAGATAATTTTTTTTTTATACTTTAAGTTCTGGGATACATGTGCAGAACGTGCAGGTTTGTTACATAGGTATATACGTGCCATGGTGTTTTGCTGCACCCATCATGCTGTCGTCTACATTAGGTATTTCTCCTAATGTTATCCCTCCCCTAGCCCCCCTTTCCCTAACAGGCCCCAGTGTGTGATGTTCCCCTCCCTGTGTCCATGTGTTCTCATCATCCAACTCCTCCTTATGAGTGAGAACATGCGGTGTTTGGTTTTCTGTTCCTGTGTTAGTTTGCTGAGAATGATAGTTTCCAGCTTCATCCATGTCTCTGCAAAGGACATGAACTCATCCTTTTTTATGGCTGCATAGTATTCCATGGTGCATATGTGCCACATTTTCTTTATCCAGTCTATCATTGATGGGCATTTGGGTTGGTTCCAAGTCATTGCTATTGTGAATAGTGCTGCAATAAACATATGTGTGCATGTGTCTTTATAATAGAATGATTTATAATCCTTTGGGTATATGCCCAGTAATGCGATTGCTGGGTCAAACAGTATTTCTGGTTCTAGATCCTTGAGGAATCGCCACACTGTCTTCCACAATGGTTGAACTAGTTTACAGTCCCACCAACAGTGTAAAAGCGTTCCTATTTCTCCACATCCTCTCCAGCATCTGTTGTTTCCCAACTTTTTAATGATCGCCAGAATCTACAAGGAACTTAAACAAATTTACAAGAAAAAAATAAACAACCCCATGAAAAAGTGGGTGAAGGATATGAACAGACACTTCCCAAAAGAAGACATTTATGCGGCCAACAAACATATGAAAAAAAGCTCATCATCACTGGTCATTAGAGAAATGCAAATCAAAACCACAGTGAGATACCATCTCATGCCACTTAGAATGGCCTGACATTTTTTAGGAGTACAGGCCAGCGATTTATGTAAAATTTCCTTTAGTTGAGAGTTGTCTGAAGTTTTGTGATTCCATTCAGGTTGTGCATTTAGAGAAGGGATACTGTGTGAGTGATGTATTCTGCTCAGTGCACCCCTCAGGAAACACTTGGTGATTTATACCATTCCTAGGGTGAGGTTAACTTTGATCACTTAGTTAAAGGTGGTGTCTATCAAATTTCTTCACTGTAAAGTTATTATTTTTCCCTTTGTAATTAACCAGTAATTTATAAAGAGATACTTTTGAGACTATGTAAATATCCTGTTTTTCAAAAATCACATACCCAGTAATTTTCACATCTATTGATTATTCTTGCCTGAATCAACAATTACCATGATTACATGATTTTCTAAATCTTTGCTTCAGGCCAGATGCATGGCTTATGCCTGTAATCTCAGCACTTTGGGAGACTAAAGTGGATCACCTGAGGTCAGGAGTTTGAGACCAGCCTGGCCAACATGGTGAAACCCCATCTCTACTAAATATGCAAAAATTAGCCAGGCACCACACCGTGGTGGTGGGCACCTGTAATCCCAACTACTCGGGAAGCTGAGGCAGGAGAATCACTTGAATTTGGGAGGCAGAGGTTGCAGTGAGCCGAGGTAGTGCCACTGCACTCCAGCCTGGGCAACAGAGTGAGACTTTTTCTCAAAAACAAAAACAACAACAACAAAAAATAAATCTTTGTTTCTTCTATATTTTTTTTTAGCTGACCATTCTACTATAAGTATGAGCTTCCACTGGGCACGGTAGCTCACGCCTATAATTCCAGCACTTTGGGAGGCCAAGGCAGGCAGATAACTTAAGGCCAGGAGTTCGAGACCAGCCTGGCCAAAATGGCAAAACCCTATCTCTAGTAAATATACAAAAATTATCCAGGCATGGTGGCACACACCTGTAGTCCCAGCTACTCAGGAGGCTGAGGTGGGGAGGATCACTTTAACTTGGGAGGTAGAGGTTGCAGCAAGCCAAGATCACACCACTGCACTCCAGCCTGGGTGACAGAGCAAGACTCTGTCTCAAAACAAAACAAAACAAAAAGAATGAGCTTTCCTTTTTATTCATTCATTCATGTGTTATCAGTATAGATATGGACTCTGGAATCTAGATTATAACACATTACTAGTTAGGTGTTTCGCTGGCTTTTTTTTTTTTTTTTTTTTGACACGGGCTTACCTGGGCTGGAGTGCAGTGCTGCAGACTGGCGGAATCATAGCTCACTGCAGCCTCAAACTTATGGGCTCAAGCAAACCTCTCATCACAGCCTCCCAAATAGCTGGGACTACAGGCGCATGCCACAACACCTAGCTTATTTTTGTATTTTTTGTAGAGACAGGGTTTCACCATGTTGCCCAGGCTAGTCTTGAACTTCTGGGTTCAAGTGATCTGCTCTCCTCAGCCTCCCAAACTGTTTGGACTACAGGTGTGAGTCACCGCACCCAGCCTACTTTTGTTTTGATGTTCAAATTATCCTATTTGGGAGCCCCTGCCAGCTGGCTCCTGTGTACTTTTAACATGTCCCATTACTTTTTGAGCATATCTTTACTTTCTTTTAGAAAATATTTATATATTTATTTTTAATTTTAATTTTTAAAAATTTTTATAGAAACAAGAGTCTCGCTATGTTGCCCAGGCTGGTCTCAAACTCCTGGGCTCAAGGGATCCTACTGCCTCAGCCTCCCAAAGTGCTGGGATTACAGGTATGAGCCATGGCTTCTGGCCTTCCTTACTTTCTGATGCAAGATATTTCTCGCTTATCTGTGCTTTTCATGCTCTAACCCTAGCATCAGTCATTTCTCCAAGAAGCCCTGGTACATTTTATAGGGCGATGTTATTTAGGAACCTGGGCACTCCTTAATCCTTTCTTCAGGAATAACTCACCTTATTGAATCTATTCATTTCAGGCATTCTGAACTGCAGGGTTGAATTGGTCCCATTTACTCAGGCTGAGAAAGCATTTAGTTCCTTTACATTAGTCATAAGATCCTAAGTTCTACAAGAGTCTGGTTTGCTCATCGGTGGACTCTTGCCCCTAGGGTGCCAGCCATGTGTATCCAAAATGTTCTATAAATATTTTCTGAATGATTTAATGCTGCCAAGCCTACCTTAGAGAAACCTATTTGAGATATGGTTCCAGTTCTAAGTTCAAGGGTCACTAGAGAGCAGTTACATTCTTTGTACTCACCATGTTACAGAGTCATAGCCTAAAATAGACTTATCTGTCCTACAGTTTACCTTAGTATTTATATTGTATTAGAAGCCTGCAGAAGCCAACAGCTTAGTTTACAACAATTGTTTTTCAGGGGACCCTTTTCCAAGATGCCTTGTTTTCAAGATTTTCTAAATGGTTAAGAAGCAATTTTAGGCCAGGTGCGATGGCTCATGCCTGTAACCCCAGCACTTTGGGAGGTCAGAAGTTTGAGACCAGCCTGGCCAACACGGTGAAACCCGTCTCTAGTAAAAATACAAAAATTAACTGGGCATGGTGGCATGCACGCCTGTAATCCCAGCTGCTCAGGAGGCTGAGGCAGGCAAATTGTTTGAACCCAGGAGGCGGAGGTTGCAGTAAGCTGAGATCATGCCATTGCACTCCAGCCTGGGTAATAAGAGCGAAATTCCGTTTCAAAAACAAAACAAAAATTAGCTGGGTGTGGTGGCCCTTGCCTGTAATCCCAGCTACTCGGGAGGCTGAGGCAGGAGAATAGCTTGAACGCAGGAGGTGGAGGCTGCAGTGAGCCGAGATCATGCCACTGCACTTCAAGCCTGGGTGACACAGTGAGAATTCGTCTCAGAAAAAAAAAAAAAAAGAAGCAATTTTAGCAAATGTGGTTACTTTTACTAAAACTGTGCCAGAACTAACCTATAAAATCTGAGGCGCGTGACATATATATAGGTTTTGATCTATGGTTCCTGGCTCATAACTCCCATAGCCCCTGTTACAATAAAGAGAATCTCTCTGATCTTCTCCGGCCCTCCCTTGGCCTGCCCATGGCAGGACTCTAATCTCATCATTCTAGAGAGAATCTTGTCCCATAACTTGGAGGAAGGAATGTTGCACAGAGTGGCCAAGAAGAATCTTGCTGGACCAACACTTTGGGAGGCCAAGGCGGGTGGATCACTTGAGCTCTGGAGTTCCAGACCAGTCTGGTCAACATGGTAAAACCCTGTCTCTACAAAAAATACAAAAATTAGCCGGGTATAGTGGTGTGCACCTGTAATCCCAGCTACTCGGCAAGCTGAAGCAGGATAATTGCTTGAACCTGGGAGGTGGAGGTTGCAGTGAGCCAAGATGGCGCCACTGCACTCCAGCCTGGGCAATGGAAGTACAAGCCTGTCTCAAAAAATAATAATAATAATCTTTCTGGGTTTAGAGCATACACCTTTTGTCCAATCACACGGTTGTCCATGCTTCAATCATGCCTATCCAATGAAGTCCGCATAAAAAGTCCCAAGAGGGCAGGGGAACATGTGGAGTTTCCTGGAGAGTGGTGTGCTTGGGGAGAGCATGGAAGCACTACGCCCCCTCCCCCATAACTTGCCCTATGCAGCTCATCATCTGTATTATTTGTAATATCCTTTATGATAAACCAGTAAATGTAAATAAATGTTTCCTTGAGTTCTGTGAGCCACACATGCAAATTAATTGAACCCAAAGAGGGAATTCTGGGAACCCCAACTTGAAGCCAGTTGGTCAGAAGTTCCAGAGGCCCAGACTTGCTAGGGTGTCTGAAGTGGGGGGCAGGTTTGGAGACTGAGCCCTCAACCTGTGGGATCTGGCACTATCTCCAGGTAAATGATGTTGGAATTGAATTAGAGGACATTCAGCTGGTGTCTGCTGCAGAATTGATTGCTTGTTTCTTGGTGGGGAGAAATCCTCCACATTTGGTCACAAAAGTCTGCTGTGTTTATTGTTGTTGTGTTATTGAGTGAGACAATGGGAAAAACACAATTATAATTTTTCCGAACAAGGTATTAATTAAAAATACACTGTATATAGTTAAGTAGAGCATTTTATGCTCTTTTCCTTGATAAAACTGTGACTATAATCATTCTATCAGGAAAAAAAATAAACCACACCATTATTTTAACAGTGTTGCCTATGGGAATAGATTAAATGGGCACTGGAGAAGTTTAAAGGCACCGAGAGAAGACTGAGTCTGCACACATAATAACTGCAGAAAGAGCTACCACCCCTAGTGGTGGAGGCACAAAGGGAAGAGGTTGGAGTTAGAATTTAGCAGCGGGCAGTTCCCTGTGGAACTAGGACCCAAACCTCTGAGAAGGCACTGCCTGGCTAGAGCTTGTCTCCAAAGGAACTCAATGAGGCTGATTCTGGAAATGCTAGAAAAACTGGGTATGCTAGCCAAAATATCCTTTTAACATTTTTGCTCATATCAAAGTACTTTCCAGGTTATCTAGTGTAAAAATAACCCAAACATACTGGCTGTATCACAAAACTCTTCTAGTTGTTTACCAGCTGGGCTATTTCAAGACACCACAATTTCAACCTTCTCCCTTCTATTAAGATCTAATGGCATAGGCCGGGTGCAGTGGCTCATGCCTGTAATCCCAGCATTTTGGGAGGCCGAGGCTGGTAGATAACCTGAGGTCAGGAGTTTGAGACCAGCCTGGGGAACATGACCACGTCTCTATTAAAAATACAAAATTAGCTGGGCATGGTGGCACATGCCTGTAATCCCAGCTACTTGGGAGGTTGAGGCAGGAGAATCGCTTCAACCTGGGAGGTGGAGGTTGCAGTGAGCTGAGGTCGTGCACCCCTTGCACTCCAGTCTGGGCAACAAGAGCCAAACTCCGTCTCAAAAAAAAAAAAAAAAAAGTTAGTCAGTCATGGTGTCATGTGCCTATAATTCCACCTACTCTGGTGGCTGAGGCAGGAGAATCCCTTGAACCTGGGAGGCAGAGGCTGTGTGGTGAGCTGAGATTGCGCCACTGCACTCCAACCTGGGTGACAGAGTGAGACCCTGTCTCAAAAAAAAAAAAAAAAAAAAAAAAAAAAAAAAAGGCCAGGCCTGGTGGCTCATGCTTTTAATCCCAGCACTTTAGGAGGCCAATGCGGGCAGATCACGAGGTCAGGAGTTCGAGACCAACCTGGCCAACACAGTGAAACCCCATCCCTACTAAAAATACAAAAATTAGCCAGGCATGGTGGCGGGCACCTGTAATCCCAGCTACCCGGGAGGCTGAGGCAGGATAATCTCTTGAATCCGGGAAGCAGAGGTTGCAGTGAGCCAAGATCGCACCACTGCACTCCAGCCCGGGCAATGGAGCTAGACTCTGTCTAAAAAAAAAAAAAAAAAAAAGCTGGGTACAAACCAACTGTTGCTGCCAGAGTGAAGGGAGGAAGAAGTGATGTGAAGAGGTGGGACAGGAGCAGCAGCCAAGTCCCATCCTCCTCCTGCCGTCCAATCTCCTTTACTACCCCCTGTTCAGGTGAGCCTATAATAGTCTTTTGCATTGTCTCAGCCCAACTGTCAGAAACTATAGAGGAGTGGGTTTGGAGCGGAGAAACAATAGCTTAACCAGCACAGCAATATAGGAGTTCTGTTTGAAAGCAATCTATTGTAGCAACACATTTAGACCCTGAAATAACATACTATAGAGAGAACATTTGAATGCTCACTTGATGGATTTAATGCATACATAAACTCAATTCTTTATGTTCAGCTTTGTTAAAGTCCTCTTACATCAAGATTTATATGGTTAATTAACAAAACAACATTAAAGCAGCTGGGCACGGTGGCTCAAGCCTGTAATCCCAGCACTTTGGGAGGCTGAGGCGGGTGGATCACCTGAGATCAGGAGTTCGAGACCAGCCTCAACATGGAGAAACCCCATCTCTACTAAAAATACAAAATTAGCCAGGCGTGGTGGTGCATGCCTGTAATCCCAGCTACTCGGGAGGCTGAGGCAGGAGAATTGCTTGAACCTGGGAGGCAGAGGTTGCAGTGAGCCAAGATCATGCTATTGCACTCCAGCCTGGGCAACAACAGCGAAACTCCATCTCAAAAAAAAAAGAAAAATTAAAGCCTCACTGGGAAGAAAACACATACAAAGACTGTGAATAGGCAGGGCACAGTGGCTCACGACTGTAATCCCAGCACTTTGGGAGGCTGAGGCAGGCGGATCACGAGGTCAGGAGGTTGGGACCAGCCTGACCAACATGGTGAAACCTCGTCTCTACTAAAATACAAAAATTAGCCGGGCATTTTGGTGGGCACCTGTAATCCCAGCTACTCGGGAGGCTGAGGCAGGAGAATCGCTTGAACCCAGGAGGCGGAGGTTGCAGTGAGCCGAGATTGTGCCACTGCACTCCAGCTGGGGCGACAGAGCAAGACTCCCTCTCAAAAAAAAAAAAAACAGACTGTGAATAACTCAGATTACAAATTTGAAACAAAAGTAGAATTCTGATCTCTAGTTTGAGAAATAAATCATAATGTTAGTGAGTACAGTTTGATCTTTTCTTGGCTGAAACCTAGTAAGCTTGGAGATCAGCATTTTGAACCACCAAAAGGTTAGAAGATAAAAATTAATAGGGATCAAAGGAGAGGCTATTAGATACCGAGTCAGCTGGCAGCTAAAAGGAGGGATAGATAACAGATAAAAATGAGAAGAACCAGAATTTTAAAACCTCATAATCTAAAATAATACAGCTGGCTCCAGCCCCATTTAGGATTAAACAACTGTATTAATCTGTTTTCGCAATGCTGATAAAGACATACCTGAGGCTGGGTAATTTATAAAGAAAAAGAGGTTTAATGGACTCACAGTTCCACATGGCTGGGGAGGCCTCACAATCATGGTGGAAGGCGAAAGGCATGTCTTACATGGTGGCAGACAAAAGAGAACTTGTGCAAGGAAACTCCCCCTTATAAAACCATTAGATCTCCGCCAGGCACGGTGGCTCACGCCTGTAATCCCAGCACTTTGGGAGGCTGAGGTGGGCGGATCATGAGGTCAAGTGATTGAGACCATCCCGGCCAACATGGTGAAACTCTGTCTGTACTAAAAATACAAAAATTAGCCAGGCGTGGTGGTGGGCGCCTGTAGTCCCAGCTACTCGGGAGGCTGAGGCAGGAGAATTGCTTGAACTGGGGAGGTGGAGGTTGCAGTGAGCCAAGATCACGCCATTGCACTCTAGCCTGGGTGACAGAGCAAGACTCTGTCTAAATAAATAAATAAATAAATAAATAAATAAATAAATAAAACCATTAGATCTCATGAAACTTACAAGAACAGCATGGGAAAGACCCAACCCCAGGATTCAATTACCTCCCACTGGGTCCCTCCCACGACAGGTGGGAATTGTGGGAGCTACAATTCAAGATGAGATTTGGGTGGGGACACAGCCAAACTACATCAACAACTTTACATGGTTATAGATATTTTTGTTTATAACAACAACACACACACGTGCGCACCCCTATAAGTTGAGAGGGCAGAGAAAGTGACAGTAAGAGCATCCTGGCTGTCAAGGCATATTATGCAGACAACATCTGTCTATCAAAAATCACAAGCCAGCCACGGTGGTGTTTTCTTGGGGTTCCAGCTACTCCAGAGGCTGAGGTGGGAAGATCACCTGGGCAACGTAGTGAGACTTCATCTCTTTCTCTCTTTCCCTCTCTTTCTGAGACAGAGTCTCACTCTGCCACCCAGGCTGAAGTACAGTGGCGCCATCATGGCTCACTGCAGCCTCTGCCTCCTGGGCTGAAGTGATCCTCCCACCTCAGCCTCCAAAGTAGCTGGGAGCACAGGTACATGCAACCATGCCCGGCTAATTTTTGTATTTTTTTTTTTTATAGCGACGAGTTTTCGCCATTTTTCCCAGGCTGGTCTCAAACTCTTGGGCTCAAGCGATCCACCCACCTCGGCCTCCCAAAGTGCTGGAATTACAGATGTGAGCCACCACGCCTGGCCAAGACCCTATCTCTTAAAAGAAAAAACTCATAGACTCTTTGGTCCATTTATTTCATTTTGGGGAACTATTCTTACAATTACAGCACATGTGCAAAATGATATGGGTACAAGATGATTCATTGTAGCATTACTTATAACTACAACAGATGGGAAACAATGCAGTAATCGATCAATAGGGTTAAATAAATTATGCTACAGCCACACATGGAACACTATGAAACTGCTAATAAATATAAATAAATAAAATGAAACCTTTTGTACTGACGTCAAAAGATTCCAAACATTGTTAAATGAAACATTAAAGGTATTAAATAGTAGGTAGATTATGACACCACCTATGAAAGAGAAGAGTAAAATTGTGTGTGTGTGTGTGTGTGTGTGTGTGTGTGTGTGTGTGTGTGTGTGTGCATGTGATATCTCTGGAAAGATACACACACAAAAACTAATAACATTGGTTGCCTATGGGGTGGGGAACTGGAGAGTGGGGGTCAGAGGTGAAAGGGAGACTTTTCATTGTTTCTTTTTTCTTTTTCTTTTTTTGAGACAGGGTCTCACTCTGTCACCCAGGCTGGAGTGCAGTGGTATAATCACAGCTCCCTGCAGCCTTGACCTCCTGGCCTCAAGGGGTCCTCCTGCCTCAGTCTCCCGAGTAGCTGGGACTACAGGTACACGCCACTACACCTGGCTAATTTTTAAATATTTTGTCGGCTGGGCGAGATGGCTCACGCCTGTAATCCCAGCTACTCAGGAGGCTGAAGCAGGAGAATCGCTTGAACCTGGATGGCAGAGGTTGCAGTGAGCCGAGATCGCACCACTGCAGTCTCCGCCTGGGTGACAGAGCAAGACTCCGTCTCAAAATAAAAAAAAATAAAAAAGTAATAATAAAAGAAGACCAAAACTAACAGCAATTCACTTTTTGTTTTGTTTTGTTTTTTTGAGACGGAGTGTCACTCTGTCGCCCAGGCTGGAGTGCAATGGCGCCATCTCAGCTCACTGCAACCTCCACCTCCTGTGTTCAAGCGATTCTCCTCCCTCAGTCTCCCGAGTAGCTGAGATTACAGGCGCCGGCCGCCACACCCAGCTAATTTTTGTACTTGTGGTAGAGACAAGGTTTCACCATGTTGGCCAGGCTGGTCTCGAACTCCTGACCTCAGGCAATCCCACCCGCCTCAGCCTCCCAAAGTGCTGGGATTACAGGTGTGAGCCACTGCACCCGGCCTACAATTTTTTTTTTTTTTTTTTTTTTTTAAGACATGGTTTCACGCTTTTGCCCAGGCTGATCTCCAACTCTTGAGCTCAAGCGATCCGCCCACCTCAGCCTCCTAAAGTGCTGGGATTACAGGCGCGAGCCACCTCACCCAGCCAGCAACTCACATATTAATAACAAATGACAGACTACTTCACAGAGCTCTCCTATAGCAGAACGATTACAAACTACACTGAGTTTCACAGCGACATCTAGTGTACTCTTTTTGTAAAATCATAAACTCAATGGCTGGAATACCAGTTTGTGGCCATATGACTACGTATTATTTTTTAAATCCTGAAGTAAACGGCCTAACTAAAGCCTGCTTATTAATTCTTATTGTGCGAAATGTTTGGGGTTCTCACTGTCCATGTTTTAGCTGGATTAGAATTTACTACAGCAGTTGACACTGCAGTATAAAAATAGTTACTTTTGGTTGCTTCAAAATTTTACCGTAAAATTTACATAGTTTGTAATGAGAAAAAGATCAGGAATATTACGAATTCATCTGCAAATTTTTCCTCAATTCGAAGCTACCTAATACAGGGTAGTATAGTATGAAAATACTGTAGAAAGATCTCTGCACACAAAACTAAAATTCTATTTGTAGAATATTGGGAAGTTAGAAATTACCCAAGTAAAAATGTCAGCAACATTCTTGACTAATAAAGGAGTACCAGACAATAATAAGCAAATACTTTGGGACTACTATCAGACATTCTCTTTGGTATGGTAAAAATGCACAATAGCCCAAAAGTGACTTATTTATAAAAACAAAACAATCTATAAGAAAACATTTAGTTATAATACCATATATATAATGTTTTTCTGTTATATCTACTTTATTTAAAAAATTGTTTTGACTTTTTTTTGAGACAGGGTTTCACTGTATTGCCCAGGCCTGGAGTGCAGTAGAGCTATTCACAGGTGTGATCATAGCACACTGCAGCCTCAAACTCCTGGACTCAAGGGATCCTTTGGCCTCAGCCTGCTGAGTAGCTGGGGCTACAGATACACACCACTGAACCCAGCCCTATTACATCTATTTTGTTTTTATTTATTTATTTTTTTGAGATGGAATCGCACTCTGTTGCTCAGGCTGGAGTGCAGTGGTGCAATCTTGGCTCACTGCAACCTCCGCCTCCCAGGTTCAAGCGATTCTCCTGCCTCAGCCTTCAAAGTAGCTGGGACTTCAGGCACACACCACCACACCCTGCTAATTTTTGCATTTTTAATAGAGTTGGGGTTTCGCCATGTTGGCCAGGCTGGTCTTGAACTCCTGAACGCAGGTGATCCACCCACCTCAGCCTCCAAACTGCTGGGATTACAGGTGTGAGCCACCGTACCTGGCTATTATGTCTACTTTAAATAGCCTTAAGGAACTGAAGGTGGTGGCTCATGCCAGTAATCCCAGATACTTAGAAGGCTTAGGCAGGAGGATCACTTGAGGCCAGGAGCTTGAGATCCATCTTAGGCAACATAGCAACAGGCCATTTCCAAAAAAACAAAACAAAACAAAAAACTGTCACTGTTATGATACCTTAAAACATACCTGAATAAACCTCAATTGAATATCTTCTGGTCCCTTAATCAAAGAAAAAATTCCACATGTTCTGTTATCTGATGGTGGCAGTCTTCATTCCATTAATTAAAGATATCCAGAGCCTAGCCTGGTGGCTTATGCCTATAATCCCAGCTCTTTGGGAGGCCAAGACCGGCAGATCACCTGAGGTCAGGAGTTCAAGACCAGCCTGGTCAACATGGTGAAACCCGGTCTCTACTAAAAATACAAAAATTAGCTGGGTGTGATTGTGCGCACTTGTAATCCCAGCTACTCAGGAGGCTGAGACAGGAGAATCACTTGAACCCAGGAGGCAGAGGTTGCAGTGAGCCAAGATTGCACCGCTGCACTCCAGCCTGAGAGACAGAGCAAGACTCCGTCAGAAAGAAGAGAGGGAAGGAAGGAAGAAGGGAAGGAGGGAAGGAGGGAAGGAAGGAGTCTTGCTCTGTCGCCCAGTCTGGAGTGCAGTGGCGTGATCTCGGCTCACTGCAAGCTCTGCCTCCCGGGTTCACGCCATTCTCCTGACTCAGCCGGGACTACAGGCGCCCACCACCACACCAGGCTAATTTTTTTTTTTTGTATTTTTAGTAGAGACGGAGTTTCACCGTGTTAACCAGGATGGTCTCAATCTCCTGACCTCGCGATCTGCTCACCTTGGCCTCCCAAAGTGCTGGGATTACAGGCCTGAACCGTTGCGCCCGGCCTGATTTAAATTCTTTTGGATATACACCCAGAAGTGTGTTTGCTGGATCATATGGCAATACCATTTTTAATTTTTTTAGAAACCTCCATACTGTTTTCCATAATGGCTATGCCATTTTACATTCCCACCGGCAGTGCACAAGGCTTCCAATTTCTCACATCCTTGCCAATACTTGTTATTTTCTGTTTTTTCAATAGTCCTAATAGGTATGAGGTGATATCTCCTTGTATTTTGATTTGCATTTCTCTAATGATTAATGATGATTTTCATATGCTTATTGGCCCTTTTTTTTTTTTTGAGATGGTGTTTTGCTCTTGTTGCCCAGGCCAGAGTGCAATGGCGCGATCTCAGCTCACTGCAACCTCCACCTCCCAGGTTCAAGCGATTCTCCTGCCTCAGCCTCCTGAGTAGCTGGGATTACTGGCATGCGCCACCATGGCCGGCTAATTTTGTATTTTTAGTAGAGACGGGGTTTCTCCATGTTAGTCAGGCTGGTCTCGAACTCCCGACCTCAGGTTATCCGCCCACCTTGACCTCCCAAAGTGCTGGGATTACAGGCATGAGCCACCACGCCCGGCCTCTTTGTCTGTTTTCTTCAGAGAAATGTTTATTCATGTCTTTGGCCTATTTTAAAATTAGGTTATTTGGATTTTTTGTTGTTGAATTGCAGGAGTTCTTTATATATTCTGGATATGTATCTCCCATTCCATAGATTGTCTTTTGATGCACAGATGTTTTTAAGTTTCATGTAGCTCCATTTGCATATTTTAGCTTTTGTTGCCTATGCTTTTGGTGCCATATGAAAAAAACATTGCCAAATTCAATGTCATGATGCTTTTCCCTTATGGTTTCTTCTAATAGTTTTATTATTTTAGTGTTATGTTTAGGTCCTTAATCTTTTTTTTTTTTTTTTTTTTGAGAGAGGGTCTTGCTCTGTCATGGAGGCTGGAGTGCAGCCTTGACCTCCTAGATGTGATCACTCGATCTTCCCACTTCAACATCCCGAATAGCTGTGACTACAGACACATGTCACCAGGCCTGGCTAATTTTCTTTATTTTTTGTAGAGATGGGGTTTCACTACGTTGCCCAAGCTGGTCTTGAACTCCTGGGCTCAAGAGATCTTTCTGTCTCAGCCTCCCAAAGCCCTGTGATTACAGGCATGAGCCACCTTGCCTGGCCTCCTTAATCTATTTGAATTAAATTTTATACATGGTTGAAGGAAAGAGTCTACCTTCATTCTTTTACATATGGATATCCAGTTTCCCAACACCATTAGTTGAAGAGACTGTTCTTTCCCCATGAGCAGTCTTGGCACGCTTAATGAAAATTACTTGACCATATATGCTAGGGTTTATTTCTGGGCCCTCTATTCTATTCCATTGGTTTATATGTCTGTCTTTATGCCAGTACCACACTGTTTTGACTACTATAGCTTTGTGGTATGTTTTAAAATCAGAAAGTGTGTCCAGGCATGGTGGCTCATGCCTGTAATCCCAGCACTTTGGGAGGCCAAGGCTGGTGGATCACCTGAGGTCAGAAGTTTGAGACTGGCCTGACCAACATGATGAAACCCCATCTCTACTAAAAATACAAAAATTAGCTGTGTGTGATGGTGGGCACCTGTAATCCCAGCTACTTGGGAGGCTGAGGCAGGAGAATCACTTGAACCTGGGAGGCAGAGGTTGCAGTGAGCAAAGATTGCCCCATTGCACTCCAGACTGGGCAACAGAGTGAGACTTTGTCTCAAAAAAAAAAAAAAAAATTAGCTGGGCATGGTGGCGCATGCCCTGTAGTCCCAGCTACTCAGGAGGCTGAGGCAGGAGAATCGCTTGAACCCAGGAGGCATAGGTTGCAGTGAGCCAAGATCGCACCACTGCACTCCAGCCTGGGAGACAGAGAGAGACTCTATCTCAAAAAAAAAAGATAAAAGATAAAAAAATACTACTAATAAAACAAAATCAGAAAGTGTGAAACCTCCAACTTTGCTCTTCTTCAAGATTGTTTTTGCTATTCAGCTAAGACACAACTCACTTTTTTTTGTTGTTGTTTTGGAGACAGGGTCTCACTCTTGCCTAGGCTGGAGTGAGGTGGTGCGATCTCAGCTCACTGCACTGCTGGGTTCAAGTGATCCTTCAACCTCAGCCTCTCAAGTAGCTGGGACTACAGGTGTGTGCCACCATGCCCAGCTAATTAAGTATACAATTTCGTGACCATGAAGCAACACCTATTTAACCACCACCCTGATCAAGAAACACAACACTCCCCAGTTCCTTCCCTTTCTCCTGCATCCTTTCCTGATTACAATTCCCTCCTTTCCACAGGTTATCAGCAGTCTGATTTTTTTGGTAATTATTTTCTTCTCTTTATAGTTTTAACACTTAATTATGCATCCTCAAACAATATAATTTTACCTATTTTTCAACTTGAATTTAAATCATATCATGTAATACTTTTAACTTGCATATATTACTGAACATCATGAAATTCATCCATGCTGTGTAGCAGTAATTCACACATTACATATATTATATTTCTGGCTTTTGGTAACTATGAACAGTACTGCTATAAATTTTCTTTACATGTGTTCTGGTCTGCAGGTGTAAGAGTTTACCTAGAGGCCATGCGCGGTGGCTCATGCCTGTAATCCCAGCACTTCGGGAGGCCGAGGCAGGCCGATCACTTGAGTCCAGGAATTCGAGACTAGCCTGGCCAACATGGCGAAACCCTGTCTCTACTAAAAATACAAAAAATTAGCTAGGTGTGGTGGTGGTGTGCCTGTAGTCTCAGCTATTTGAGAGGGTGAGGTAGGAGAATTGCTTGAACCTGGGAAGTGGAGGTTGCAATAAGCCGAAATGGCACCACTGCACTCCAGTCTGGGCAAAAGAGCAAGACTGTTAAAAAAAAAAAACAAAATTTACCTAGGGTGTATATCTAATCATGGTATTACTCAATTGTTGGATACACTATGCTGAATAGATATGTCAAACCGCTTTTCAGAGTTGTTCCAATTTATACTTCCACCAGTGCACCTGGGTATCCCCCAAGGATCACTTGAGCCCAAAAGTTTGAGATCAGCCTGGGCAACATACTGAGACCCCCATCTGTATTTAAAAAAAAAAAAAATTCCAACAAATAAATGAAGAGACAATATTTTGCCAAAAAAGGACAAAAGTCTTTAACAAGCAGTTCACACATAGCTAATAAACATTAAAAAGTGTATGGCATGACTGGTAAGTAAACCACAGAGAGATATCATTACACACCCATCAGCCGGCTAAAAATTAAATCATGCAATAGCAAAAGAGTATGTGGGGCCAGGAACGGTGGCTCATGCCTGCAATTGCTTAATTGCTTATTATTATTATTCCATTATTCCACATGCTCTTTTGTTTTTTTGTTTGTTTATTGTTTTTTGAGATGGAGTCTCACTTTGTGGCCCATGCTGGAGTGCAGTGGCATGATCTCGGCTCACTGCAACCTCCACCTCCCAGGTTCAAGAATTCTCCTGCCTCAGTAGCTGGGATTACAGGTGCGTGCCACGACACCAAGCTAATTTTTTTTTTTTTTTTTTTTTTTTTTTTTGAGATGGAGTCTCGCTCTTTTGCCCAGGCTGGAGTGCAGTGGTGTGATCTTGGCTCACTGCAATCTCCACCTCCCAGGTTCAAGTGATTCTCCTGCCTCAGCCTCCCGAGTAGCTGGAACTACAGGCACCTGCCACAGCATCCGGCTAATTTTTTGGGTATTTTTAGTACAGGTGGGGTTTCAGCATGTTGGCCATGCTGGTCTCGAACTCCTGACCTCAAATGATCCACCCGCCTCAGCTGCCCAAAGTACTGGGATTACAGGTGTGAGCCACTGTTCCTGGCCCCACATACTCTTTTGCTATTGCATGATTTAATTTTTAGCAGGCTGATGGGTGTGTAATGATATCTCTCTGTGGTTAATTACCAGTCATGCCATACGCTTTTTAATGTTTATTAGCTATGTGTGAACTGCTTGTTAAAGACTTTTGCCCATTGTTGGCAAAAGGTTGTCTCTTCGTTTATTTGTTGGAATTTTTTGTTTGTTTGTTTGTTTTTAAATACAGGTGGGGGTCTCAGTATGTTACCCAGGCTGGTCTCAAACTTCTGGGCTCAAGTGATCCTCCTGCCTCTGCCTTCTCAAAGAACTGGGATTACAGGCATGAGCCATTATGCCCAGCCTATTGGTAGAAGTTCTTTATATGTTTTGAATATTTATCGCACATTTAGGCATCCAGTTTTGTGAAAGCCCTCAGTTTTGGATCACTTTTATATTAGTTTTTTTTTTAGATCAGTTTGTAGAAGTTCTTTATATATTTTTGATATGACTGCTTTATCAGACCCATGTACAGCAAATATTTTCTCCCACTCTTTGGTTTGCCTTTCCACTCTTTCGGTGATGTCTTTTGGTGAACAGAAGTTTTTAATTTTACTACAGTCCCATGTATGAATTGTTTTAATTATGATTACTGCCTTTCAAAAACATTTAAGAAAGTTTTACCTACTCAAAGTTTATGAAAATATTCTTCTCCTATGCTCTCTTCTAAAATATGTATTGCTTTACCTTTCCAATTTTAAGGATAATACAACTGAAACTAACTTTTTTTAAAAGTAACTTTTAGGCTGGGCGTGGTGGCTCACGCCTGTAATCCCAGTACTTCAGGAGGCCGACATTGGGGATATCACCTGAGGTCAGGAGTTCGAGACCAGCCTGGCCAACATGGTGAAACTCCATATCTACTAAAAACAAAACTTAGCCAGGTGTGGTGGCAGACACCTGTAATCCCAGCTACTCGGGAGGCTGAGGCAGGAGAATCACTTGAACCCAGGAGGCGGAGGTTGCAGTGAGCCGAGATTATGCCATTGCACTCCAGCCTGGGTGACAGAGCAAGACTCCATCTCAAAAAGAAATAAATAAATAAAAAATAAAAGTAACTTTTAAATGATTGTGAGGTAGGGATCAAGTTTAATGTTTTTCCATAGGGATATTCAATTGGCCCATCCCAAAAAGACCGGCCTTTCTCCACTACACAGCAGTGTTGACTTTGTCATCTATCAGGTGACCCTTCAGCCTGTCTGTGGACTCTTTGTTGTGTTCCATTGGCCTGTTTGTCTATTGTTGGAACAAAACCACACTGTCTGAATTGCCACAGCTTTATAATAGGGCATGCTATCAAGCAGTCAGTGTCATTTTACAGGTTTGTTCTTCTTTAGGTTTGCCTTAGCTATTCTTTGGTCTTTGCATTGCCATCTAAATTTTAGAATCAACTAAGTCAAAATGTTGTATCACTTTCCACACCAAAAATCTGCTGGAATTTTGATTGGGATTATATTAAATTTGTAGATCAATTTGGGAAGAAATAAGATCTTTACAACATTAACTCTTCCAATCTATAAATGTGGTATTTATTTTTTCTTTATTTTTTTCTCAGTGGTTTGTAGTTTCTAGTGCAAAGGTCTTTGACATCGTTAGATTTAATGTTTTTTGATATATTTTGGTGTTATAAGTGATACTTTTCAAAATTTCATTTTCTATTTGTTTCTTGTTGACACAGCAACACAACTGGTTTTAGTGTAATAATCTTATATTTAGAGCCCTTGCTAATTAAACCTATTAATTATAATAGTTCTTCTATAGATTCTTTCAGCTTTTTTGCATATACGATCATGTCATCTGTGAGTAATGACATGAACCCAGGAGGCGTTCTTTCCAGGCTTTCTTTTTATAGTCATGTACTGCTTAACGACGTTTTTGTCGATGATGAACTGCATATACAACAGTGGTCCCATAAGATTATAAAGAGGCTGAAAAATTCTTACTGCCTAGTGACACTGTAGCCATCATAATGTAGCACAATTCAGTACTCACATATTTCTGGTCACACAAACTTACTGTGTGGCCAGTCATACAAAAGTATAACAAAATCATGTACAGTACTTAATATTTGATAATGATAATAAATGAGTGTTACTGGTTTATGTGTTTACTGTACTTTTTATCATTATTTTAGAGTATTTCTCCTACTTATTTAAAGAAAGTTAAGGCCAGGCGCGGTGGCTCATGCCTGTAATCCCAGCACTTTGGGAGGCAGAGGTGGGTGGATCACAAGGTCAAGAGATTGAGACCATCCTGGCCAACATGGTGAAACCCCGTCTCTGCTAAAAATGCAAAAATTAGCAGCTGGGCGTGGTGGTGCGTGCCTGTAGTCCCACTACTCAGGAGGCTGAGGCAGGAGAATCACTTGAACTTGGGAGGCGGAGGTTGCAGTGAGCCGAGATCGCACCACTACACTCCAGCCTGGCAACAGAGCAAGACTCTGTCTCAAAAAAAAAAAAAAAAAGGAGGTTAATTGTAAAACATTCTCAGACACATCCTTCAAGAGGTATCCATAAGAAGGCATTGTTATCATAGGCAGGCGGATCACCTGAGGTCAGGAGTTCAAGACCAGCCTGGCCAAAATGGCAAAACCCCGTCTCTCCTAAAAAATACAAAAATTAGCTGGGCGTGGTGACATATGTCTGTAATCCCAGCTACTCGGGAGGCTGAGGCAAGAGAATCACTTGAACCTGGGAAGAGGAGGTTACAGTGAACTGAGATCGTGCCACTGCACTCCAGTCTGGGTAACAGAGTGAGACTCTGTCTCAAAAGAAAAAATTATCTATCTATCTATCTATCTATCTATCTATCTATCTATCTATCTATCTATCTCTATCTGTCTGTATAATGTTATATATTTTAAAAGTATATATTTTTAAAATAGAAATGAGGTTTCACTATGTTGACCAGGCTGGTCTTGAAATCCTGGGTTTAGGCAATCCTCCTGCCTCAGCCTTCTAAAGTGCTGGGGTTACAGGCGTGAACCACTGTGTCCAGCCCCTTTTTATTCTTTTTTTTTTTTCTGAGACAGAGTCTCGCTCTCTCATCCAGGCTGTAGTGCAGTGGCACGATCTTGGCTCACTGCAATCTTAGAGCCTCCCAAGTTCAAGTGATTCTCCTGCCTCAGCCCCCCAGATAGATGGAATTAGAGGCACGCACCACCATGCCCAGCTAATTTTTGTATTTTTAGTAGACAGGGTTTCACCATGTTGGCCAGGCTGGTCTCAAACTCCTGACCTCAGGTGATTGGCCCACCTCGGACTCCCAAAGTGCTGGAATTACAGGCATGAGCCACCACGCCCGGCATACCTTGCTTCTTTTACTCAGCGTTTTTGAGATTCACATATGTTGTTGTGTGTATCAATACTTCTTTGTTAAATCTGACTGAATGCATATACTAGAATTTAACCACTGTCCTTTGTTAGATATTTGGGTTATTTCTAGTTTTTTGCTATTATGAATAAAAGATTTGTAGACACGTTTCCACTTCTCTTCAGAAAATACTTAGGAGTGGAATTATTGCATCTTATGGTAAGTGTATGCTTAACAATATACAACAATTGCCAAACTGTTTTTCAAATGTTTTACACTCCCACCAGCAATGTATGAGTTCCAGCTTCTCCACATCCTCATCAATATTTTGTTGTCAAGCTTTTTAATTTTAGGCATTCCAATGGGTATGTAGTCCATTGTAATTTTAATTTGCATTCCTCTGAATACTAATAATGTTGCACCAGTGGTTACTAGCCATTCCTATATTTTGTTAAATATCTACTGAAACCCTCAATTCTTTTGGCTTTCTTTTTAGTTTTTTCTGAGATGGAGTCTTGCTCTGTCACCCAGGCTGGAGTGCAGTGGTGCAATCTCGGCCCACTGCAACCTCTGCCTCACGGGTTCAAGTGATTCTTCTGCCTCAGCCTCCCAAGTAGCTGGGACTATAGGCGCGCACCACCACACTTGGCTAATTTTTTATTTTTAGTAGAGACAGGGTTTCACCATATTGGCCAGGCTGGTCTGAAACTCCTGACCTCGTGATCTGCCCGCCTCGGCCTCCCAAAGTGGTGGGATTACAGGTGTGAGCCACCATGCTTGACCAATTCTTTAGGTTTTCTTTATATATTCTGAATACAAGTTCTTTGTCAGATCTATATAATGGAAATATATTCTCTGTGTATGCAGATACATGTGATTATATTAAATTTGCATGATTATTTGAGTTATCATTTGGTTCAAAATACTTTCCCTTGTGATTTCTTTGGCCCATGGATTTAATTATGGTATTTAACTTGAAATATTTGAGGATTTTCCAGATATGCTTTTGTTATTGACTTTTAATTCTATCCTGATGAGGAAGTATAGTTTGTTTCAATTTTTTTGAGACTTTATTGAGACTTATTACCCAACAAAAATTATATCTTTATGAATGCTCCATGTGCCCTTGAGAAGAATGTGTATTCTGCTGTCATTGGATGTAGCATTCTATAAATGTCAATTAGGTCAAATTAGTTGAAGGTACTGTTAATGTCTTTTATAAACTTGCTGAATTTTTGTTATACCAGCTACTGAAAGAAGAGTGTTGAAATCTCCAACTAGACTTTGGTATTTGTCTATTTCTCCTTTTGATTCTGTCACGTTTTGCTTCATGTATTTGGAAGTTTTGTTACTGAGTGCATACACATTTAGGACTTTGTCTTTTTAATACTGACCCTTTATGAATGTCTTTTTATTCTTATTTTATTTTTTGAGACGGAGTCTCGCTCTGTCGCCCAGGCTGGAGAGCAGTGGCACGATCGCAGCTCACTGCAAGCTCTGCCTCCCGGGTTCACGTCATTCTCCTGCATCAGCCTCTCGAGTAGCTGGGACTACAGGCGCCCGCCACCACGCCCGGCTAATTTTTTTGTATTTTTAGTAGAGACGGGGTTTCACCGTGTTAGCCAGGACGGTCTCTATCTCCCGACCTTGTAATCTGCCGCCTCGGCCTCCCAAAGTGCTGGGATTCCAGGCGTGAGCCACCGTGCCCAGCCTGAATGTCTTTTTAAAAATCTACAGTAATAGTCCTTTTCCTAAAGTCTACTTTGATATTAATGTAACCATTCTGGATTTATTATAGTTTTTTTCATGGTGTACTCTTTCATTCATTTTAAACCTGTAACTCAATATTTTAAATGTTTCTTGTAGACAGCATATAGTTGGATCTTACTTTTAAAAATCCAATCCGACAGTATCCACCTTTTAATTTAGACCAAAGTTGTCCAACCCGCAGCCCACGGCTGCATGTGGCCCAACACAAATTCATAAACTTTCTTAAATCACTTCTAATACAATGATATACAGACAGTCCCTAATTTAAGATAGTTCCAGGCAGGGCGCGGTGGCTCATGCCTGTAATCCAACCACTTTGGGAGTCTGAGGCGGACAGATCACGAGGTCAGGATATCCAGACCATCCTGGCCAACATGGTGAAACCCCGTCTCTACTAAAACACAAAAAACTAGCTGGGCGTAGTGGCGCATGCCTGTAGTCCCAGCTACTTGGGAGGCTGAGGCAGAATCGCTTGAACCCTGGAGGCGGAGCTTGCAGTGAGCAGAGATTGAGCCACTGCACTCCAGCCTGGCGACAGAGCAACATCCGTCTCAAAAAAAAAAAGTTCGATTTACCATTTTTCGATTTTATGATGCTGCTAAAGCAACACAAGTTCAGTATACTCCTTGACTTATGATGGTGTAACATCTGGATAAACCCAATGTAAATCAAGGAGCATCTGTAGTTGGATTTAAGACTACCATCTTATTACTTGTTTTCTACTTTTCCCAACCCTCCAGTGTTTTTTCCTCTTTTCCCATTTTCTTTTGGATTGAGTCTTTTTCTTAGTGTTACATTTTATGTACTCCATTAGTTTACTAGCTATACCTCTGTTTTGTTATTAATGGCTACCTTAGGGTTTACAATATGCATCTTTAACCTATTACAGTCTATCTTCAAATAATATTAATCTACATATAAGAACGTGATAACAATATTCATTTTTTATCTTTATTGACATACATTTTACATTTCACATCCCACAATACATGACTACAATTTTGTATTGAACAGTAAACTACTTTTTAAAGAAAAACAATAAAGTCTTTAGCCATAAATTTACCATTTCTGGCACTCTTCATTCCTTTGTGTAATTCCAGTTTTAATCTAGTATTCTTTTCCATTTGTAGTTTAATCTGAAGATACCTTTATTTTGAAGGATATTTTTGCTGGGTATCTACACTGATATTTCTTTCATCACTTTAAAGATGTTTCATTACTGTCTGACTTGCACTATTACTAATGAGTAGTAGTAACTAATTGCTGATTACCCATGTCATGTGTACAGTTTTCTCCAGTTGCTAAGTTGTCTTTCATTGTTTTTCTTCCCCCACCCTTTATCATAAACTGGTACGCAATAGCTTCACTAAAGTTGCCTTGTTTTTTTTTTTTTTTTTTTTTTGAGACGGAGTCTCACTCTGTCGCCCAGGCTGGAGTGCAGTGGCGCGATCTCGGCTCACTGCAAGCTCTGCCTCCCGGGGTTCACGCCATTCTCCTGCCTCAGCCTCCAGAGTAGCTGGGACTACAGGCATGCACCACCACGTCTGGCTAATTTCTTTTTGTATTTTTAGTAGAGACGGGGTTTCACCGTGTTAGCCAGGATGGTCTCAATCTCTTGATCTCCTGAACCGCCCGCCTCGGCCTCCCAAAGTGCTGGGATTACAGGCATGAGCCACCGCGCCCGGCCACAGTTGCCTTGGTTTGACTTTGTTTTGGGGTCACTTGAACTTCCCATACTTGGGCTTATATAGTTTCTGGGAACTTAGTAAATTTTCAGCCATTTCTTAAGAAATTATTTTTCCCCCTGCACTCTCTCATCCCCTGGTATTACCATTACATCTATGAAAGACTGCTAGATATTGGCCCGGCGCGGTGGCTCACGCCTGTAATCCTAGCACTTTGGGAGGCCGAGGCGGGCGGATCACCTGAGGTCAGGAGTTCTTGAGACCAGCCTGACCAACATGGAGAAACCCCGCCTCTACTAAAAATGCAAAATTAGCCGGGCGTGGAGGCGCATGCCTGTAATCCCAGTTATTCGGGAGGCTGAGGCAGGAGAATCGCTTGAACCCAGGAGGCGGAGGTTGCGGTGAGCCGAGATCGCGCCATTGCACTCCAGCCTGGGCGACAAGAGCGAAAACTCCGTCTCAAAAAGAAAAAAAAGACTGCTAGATATTGTCTCACACACAGGTTACTGAGGCTTTGTTGAGGTGCTTTTTAGCCTTTTCCTCTCTCTGCTTCAGTTTGGATAAATTTTTTTTTTTTTTTTAAAGATAGGGTCATCTCCTGAGTAGGTGGGACTATAGGCATGAGCCACCACACCTACGTATTTCCTGAAGAAAAACAAAAGAAATAGGGTCTCATTATGTTAACCAGGCTGGTTTTGTATTCCTGGGCTTAAGTGATCCTCCTGCCTTGGCCTCCCAGGAGCTGGGAATACAGGCAAAAGCCACAACGCCTGGCCAAGACACAAACATTTCTATCACCTTGCAAGAATCTCTCATACTCAGTTAATAGCCACTCCTCCCTAAAGGTATGTAGTATTCTGACTTCTATCGCCATGGACTATTTTTGCTTTTCTACATTAGGAATTCTGAATGGAACAATGCCCTACTTTTTCCCAGGCTTGCTCCATTCAACATTGTCTGTTGGGTCCATCATGATGTGACATGTAGAGATGCTCAACTTATGATGGGGTATATGTGCCAATAAACTCATCATAAACGTAAGTTGGAAATGCATTTATAGCTCCTAAAAGCTTACATCCCCTTCCTCCAAAAGGAAGGAAAATGTATTCACTGTCACAAGACCAATGTGTCAATTTCTGGACAATAAAGTCATTAGTGGTCTATTGTCAGGACTGAATTTTCATACTTAGCTTTTATTTATTCCAAAATAAGCAAATTTTTAGTTATTTGACTATAAGGTCATTAGTTTCTCTCAATACAATGAACAATAGCAATATTTAAATTGCTAATAAACCTATATGGCTATTAGTTACTAGAATAGACAATATGTTTCAATTTTATTTTTATTATTTTTTAAGATGGGAGTTTCGCCTTTGTTGCCCAGGCTAGATTGTGCCCAGGCTGGAGTGCAATGGCAAGATCTCGGCTCACTAAAACCTCCACCTCTCGGGTCCAAGCGATTCTCCTGTCTCAGCCTCCTGGGTAGCTGGGATTACAGGCACATGCCACCATGCCCGCCTAATTTTTGTATTTTTAGTAGAGGTGGGGTTTCATCATATTGGTCAGGCTGGTCTCAAACTCCTGACCTCAGGTGCTCCGCGTCTCGGCCTCCCCAAGTGCTGGAATTACAGGCGTGAGCCAACGTGCCCAGCCCGTTATTATTTTTGGGACAGAGTTTTGCTCGTCACCCAGACTAGAGTGCAATGGCACGATCTCGGCTCACTGCAACCTCCACTTCCCAGGTTCAAGCGATTCTCCCGCCTCAGTCTCCTGAGTAGCTGGGGCTGCAGGGGTGCACCACTACCCCCAGCTAATTTTGTACTTTTAGTAGACAAGGTTTCGCCATGTTGGCCAGGCTGGTCTTGAAACTCCTGACCTCAGGTGACCCACCCATCTCGGCTTCCCAAAGTGCTGGGATTACAGGCATGAGCTACCACACCCAGCGTCAGATGCTTTTAAAAAAAACAACTTCCCCAAAGAGTGCCTCAAGTTCACAGAAAATTCTAAAACTGCACCCAAGCACCGTCAACTACACATTGTTATTCACCACAGAGAAAGTATCAAATGTCTGTTGCATTAAGTGGCAAAATTTGGTAACTAATAAATTTCAATCCATTTAAAAACACTGTAAATATAGTATAAATGTTGTCGATTCAACTAATGATTCCATAATTAGGAGAACTTAACAAAACACATGGAGACCCCTTGCACTCAAACCCTATGTCTGCTCCTCTACTTTCTCCCCAAATCTTTGGTGGAAAGGATATGTGAATCCCGAAAAGCTCTCAGTGACCATCAATTCAAGGTGACAGGCTGACCACATGCTTACAGCCTATTTCTACTGAGACTTGAATACTGATAAGGGAATAAAAAAGGGTTTAACACAATGACAAAGAGGTAGAGTGAGATAGCAAAAGATACTTCAAAAAGCTGCCTGGAAGATAAAAAAAAAACAAACAAAAACAAATTAGGCCAGGGGTGGTGGCTCACGCCTGTAATCCCAGCACTTTGGGAGGATCACTTGAGGTCAGGAGTTCAAGACCAGCCTGCCCAACATGGCGAAACCCCGTCTCTACTAAAAATACAAAAATTAGCTGGGCATGGCGGCGCACCTGTAGTACCAGCTACTCGGGAAGCTGAGACAGGAGAATCACTTGAACCCTGGAGGCAGAGGTTGCAGTGAGCCAAGATGGCGCCACTGCACTCCAGCCTGGGCGACAGAGCAAGACTCTGTCAAAAAAAAAAAAAAAAAAAAAAGATTAAGAAACAGAAAAATTAGCAAAATTAAATAAGGCTTAAATTTATTATTACTGTTGTTGTTTTGAAATGGAGTCTCACTCTGTCACCCAGGCTGGAGTGTTACCTCTGCCTCCCAGGTTCGGGTCATTCTTCTGCCTCAGCCTACCGAGTAGCTGGGATTGCAGGCACCCACCACCACACCTGGCTAATTTTTGTATTTTTAGTAGAGACTAAAAATTGTCTTGCCATGTTGGCCAGGCTGCTCTTGAACTCCTGACCTCAGGTGATCTGCCTGCCTCGGCCTCCCAAAGTTCTAGAATTGTAGGTGTGAGCCACCATACCTGGCCAGAAGATTTAAATAGCCACAGAGAAAGATTAAGTGAGACCTTGTCTCAAAGAAAACAAAAACAAAAACAAGAAAAACTAGGAGTGAGCTACTTTACCCAAAAGAACGCTTCAGAGGTTTGAAACTCAGAAGGCACCACCAAAGTTGTGAAAGGAGCAGGGCTGAACACAGAACTGGTTTAAAGCATGTAAACAGAGAATTGTTTGTTTTAGGTTCCCTCTGCCATATTATATGCAACCAGAGCCATCACTTCTCAGCTGTGTGCAAACATGAAGAAGCTTCCTAACACCTCTAACCATCAGTTTCCTCATTTGTAATGATATTACGAAAATGCCTACTCCATAGGATTATCGTGAGGATTGAGTGAATCAATACATATTAAGCACATAGAAAAGTACCTAGCACATGGTAAGCATGCAATAAAACTTGTTGTTTTAAGCCTTTGATGCGATTTGCCTTATAATTAATTATGGTGTCTATACTACCTTGAGAAACACTAATTTAAGTCAAATCACCTCTGGGGACACATGAATGAGGAAGACATAATGGCACTTTCATCTTGTGAGCACAGCTCCATGACGTATCACAGTGACACGGGCTTAGTCTCAAAGCAAGACTAACAATCATAAGGGTCATAGGTAAATACTAAAGACAGTAAAAGTGGTGGGAAAAAGGAACTAGGTGTGGGAGAGGTGCCTTGGAGCGCTTAATGTCATTCTGTGAGTACAGTAGCTACACATTGCTTACCTTTGAATAAACGAGAACCCGATTACAATAAGAAGTAAAACATATGAACAGACTGAAATAAAACACAATAATCCATAAATATCACATAAGAAATGTTATCCAGAAATCACAGTTTGTGCTATCTGAAAACCATTTATTGCAACGACAAAACTAGAGGTTAATTACTTTTTATTATTGAATTATATTGTAAAGTCTACATCTACAATTTAATCAGGAAGAAATGCTTTGCATTTACATCAAGGACACATTTATTCTAATGGAATAAAACAGACACACACAAAAGACCAAGTACATGTTTTTAAAAAATGACTACATGTTTCACCTGGTCCTATTTTTGCTATTTGGACCATACTTTTAAGTGAATTGATCTTACATACATGTTAAGTCTGATTTATCTCCCCACATTTTTAAACACTAAATGAAGCTTCTCACAATTTCTAATTATAAACAAAAGGCTGAAAACAGTATGGGAAACAAAGTTTCAAAACAAAGAAAAGTTGAGTAAAAGGTGCCCCCTCTATGGCTCATCTGAAAGAAACATTTTACTCAGAGAGGCAAACATTTCTGATCTAGGAGTAAGTTTCCCACTCACTTTGCAAGGACCCACTCATTCTGCAGAAAGACCTACAAGTCTTTCTGGTCTCAATTGCAAAGTACGTGAAAATGTGTATGAAAGATCTAAAAGCTAAATATTAGAATAAGGCTAATTGAAATCAAAATTGTGTGCTGGTCTAAATATACATCTTCGGCTTCTTCCTTTTTAGTAAGTATTTTTATTTCAGATGTATTTAAAAATAACTTACATTTTTAGTGTGCTTTATGGTCAATGACTGTAAAGTTGAAACTCAAATGAGTCAGTTTAAAATTTTTGTCTCATTTGATTCTATTGAAATTTTAATCACCTACTACTTTAATCAAGTTATTCATGAGGTAAGTTTCAGCTTAAAAAAAAAAATCATCCACAAAGATAACCATTTCAAGAGTACACAAAATCATAATGCCGGCCGGGTGCAGTGGATCACACCTGTAATCCCAGCACTTTGGGAAGCTGAGGTGGGCTGATCACTTGAGGTCAGGGGTTCGAGACCAGCCTGGCCAACATGGTGAAACCCCGTCTCTGCCGAGGCAGGAAAATTGCTTGAACCTGGGAGGCAGAGGTTGCATCGAGCCCAGATCGTGCCACTGCACTACAGTCTGGGTGACAAGAGTGAGACTCCATCTCATAAAAAATAAAAAAATAAAAAATAATCATAATGCCCACCTCTTAAGAGTATACAACTTTATTAACTACTGCTTATGATGTAATATAAAAGCAAGTACTTTTTGTACTTTTTTATTTTTTTTGAGATGGAGTCTTGCTCTGTCGCCAGGCTACAGTGCAGTGACGTAATCTCTGCTCACTGCAACCTCTGCCTCCTGGGTTCAAACGATTCTCCTGCCTCAGTCTCCCTAGTAGACAGGACTACAGGCGCACATCATCACGCCCAGCTAATTTTTTTGTATTTTTAGTAGAGACGGGGTTTCACCATGTTGGCCAGGATGGTCTTGATCTCTTGACCTCGTGATCCACCCGCCCTGGCCTCCCAAAGTGCTGGGATTACAGGCGTAAGCCACCGCGCCTGGCCCTTTTTGTACTTTCTAATCAAATTATGCTGGGAAATATAGGGCAAAAAAAGCTCGGCAAAATTTGTTTCTGGTAACAAGACAATGCAATAATGAATCCAAATGAAACATAAGACCAGTGTTTACAATTTCTAACTTCTAAACAAACATACACACACTTATCTAAAACATATTTTGGTAGCAAACTGGATGACTGAATAAATGTTTTGCTGTAAATAAAAAATACAAATTTCCAATTATAGCCTTATAGCTAGCTAAACAGCTTTTCAAAACATGTACAGCTAGCCAACAATTCTCTAAAATATGTATGTTACACTAAAAGATCTCTGCTAAAAATCTACTGTATGTAAATGGGTCTTACTGAAATAGGACTTTCATGATACTGTGTCTTAAAAAGTGAGTATGATAGGGCTACAACAACATTACTATTAATAAAGGTTACAGAAGAGATTATTGCTGTACTTTTCCTCATAAACACCATCAAACTTTGTTGCAGTTACAAAAAGTACAACCAAGTTACTTTTCCTCTTACTGAATTTCATTATGTTTCACATATTTGCAGTTTTTATTCAGCAGAGAATAATTCTTAAAATCTTTTCTGTAAGAATTCTAAGTATTTAAATGTGTAGCTTCACATTATACTACCATGTTTCACCCTTCGTTTCCCAAATACACAAAAAACATATACATTTTTTCAAAAATGAAATAAGATGCCCACATTAAAAAAATAAAGCCTACAAAAAGTTCCAGAGCTAAAAAAGATTATTCATATGGCACAAAGTGATCTCCTACTAGTCCAAAGTTCAAAAACATTTTAATGAAGTCCATTTATATATATTTTGTTTGCTTTTCAATGAAATACTACATTTATTGAGGCGAAATCACATTATTTTTAGTTCTTGGAGTCAACAAGTGTACACAAATGTTTTTCAACAGTTATTGAAAATAGGAGACCAAGTTGAACGTGCCAAAGAGATACCATTCAGTTGGATTTTCTAGGGTCAACATGAAGAAAATTAGAGAAGGGATTTACTTGGTTGGTTTCCATAGCTTGATAGACCAAAAACAAAAAAACTGCCACAACAACAAACAGCAAAATTTTTATCCATACGGGAATGGAGCGTCCCTTTTTTGTCTTTTCTGACTTGACATCTGCCAAGGGAACATACTTAGGAACATATTTAGATGAAAAAGACTCCTCCATCCTGAAATCACTGAGTTCTAATGGCCGGCCTGCAGCCCCTTTGATTGGTCTGCGGCAACTAGCACTGTTGGGAGTGAAAGGAGGAAAAGAAAAATAATTTTAGATAAAGGCATGATTTAGAGAAATAACATAAAATGTCATTGCCACTCCTAATTCCAAGCACATTCCCTGAGGTAACAGTAGAAAATTGATACATATAAAGCAGTGAGGTCAGTCAACCTATTTAAAACTTCTACATATTTTCTATTTTAAAAGTTAGATGGGCTGGGCATGGTGGCTCGCGCCTGCAATCCCAGCACTTTGGGAGGCCAAGGCGGGCAGATCACCTGAGGTCAGGAGTTCAAGACTAGCCTGGCCAACATGGTGAAACTCTGTCTCTACAAAAATACAAAAATTAGCCGGGCATGATGGTGGGTGCCTGTAATCCCAGCTACTCAGGAGGCTGAGGCAGGAGAATCGCTTGAACCCAGGAGGTGGAGGTTGTAGTGAGCCGAGATCACGCCACTGTACTCCAGCCTGGGCAACAGAGCAAAACTCCGTCTCAAAAAAAAAAAAAAAGTTCGATGCATCCTTTATTAGAAAAGAATATTCAGAACACTGATAAATAGTCACTAAACCTGCCTTCTTAAAGGCTCTTCAAAGCTCATGTTTAGGAGTAAAGAGGAAAAACAAAACAGTTTTGGCTGTGTTTCTTTCAGTTAAAAATTAAGATACATAAACACAGCCTTTTCAATTAGAAAAGAGAAACTTAGGGGGGAAAAACTATTTCTCACTAGATTTTCGTTTAGATTTTAACATATGAATTTAAGTAGTAAGTAAGTGATTTATTTAAAATCCTCCATTTACCAATCGCAATTTTGAAACTCATTCAACTTTCAAGAATATTTACTGGTGGGCTTAGGGGAATTAAACTGCTCCCAAAAGAACAGTTCGTTCACTTATTTATTTAAAAGTCGGTGGGTAGACAGAGTCTCATTATGTTGCCCAGACTGGTCTCGAACTCCTGGGCTTAAGCAATCCACCTGCCTTAGTCTCTTGAGTAGCTGGGACTACAGGCATGTACCATTGTACCTGGCTCCAAAAAAACAGCTTAATTCTGAGCAGAAGTACAGTAACTTTGTGATGAAGAATTAAAAATAAAGATTCCCTACTAGAATACACTAGTACTTGTTTAAATGTATCTGAATACCTAATTCCTGTTGGTGTAGATGCTTCATAGGGGAACATTTCCTTAAGAATATCCCTTTCTACTCTTCTTTCCTCTGTTTTTTCTCCCACCTAATAAGAAACAGACAAACAAACAACCACAAGTTAAAATTTAGTGTAAACATGCAATAATTAAAACATAAATAGTAAGTTTTAGAGAACAAAATGCCTTTAAATCTATCATAGATTTTACAGCTGCCATTTCTAAATTATTATTTAGGTATCCACATGCTTCCAAGGCTCTCTTCAAATTTCTTGAAGATACCTTATATATGTGGTTATTGGAGTGAAAAACTGCCACACATTTAAATAACTGGGGGGAAAAAATTCAGTAATCTAACATGGCAATGCTAATTCCCTCATTGATTTTGTTTTTTACTATTAAGAGTATATTGTTGGGCCGGGTACGGTGGCTCACGCCTGTAATCCCAGCACTTTGGGAGGCTGAGGCGGGTGGATCACCTGAGGTCAGGAGTTCGAGACCAGCCTGACCAACATAGTGAAATCCCATCTCTACTAAAAATACAAAAATTAGCTGGGCGTGGTGGCGGGCACCCGTAATCCCAGCTACTCAGGAGGCTGAGGCAGGAGAATCGCTTGAACCCAGGAGGCGGAGGTTGCAGTGAGCTGAGACCGTGCCACTGCACTCCAGCCTGGGCAACAGAGCAAGACTCCGTTTCAAAAAAAAAAAAGTATACTGTTTCTTCATTTATTAAGAATTCTGTAGTAAAAGATAAAATACAGAAGATACTTAACATGAACCTTTAGCAAACTTTACTATATGTTTTAAAATTATAGTCAATGCAATATGCCCAAATTAAAAAAAATATAATGTTTAGCTTGTTTTACTGTTTACCTTTATGTCCAGAACAAAATAATAAATGTTTCGGCTCCTTTTGTAAAGATTCATTCAAATTAAAATGCACCATGCAGTTAGTACTTTCAAGCTTAATTACACAGGAGTTAACCCATTCCAGCACCACATGAAGTTATGTTAAAGTCTCTTATTTGACCCGTCAACAAAAGAAAGTGTAGCCTCCCTCATAGCCCAGCAGCACTTTCAAACTTGCATCCATGACAAACAGAACATATTATAAGCAGAACAGAAATGACCACTCCCTTGAAAACTGGAACTTAAGAGGGATACAGTGGCAAGAGGATAGTATTAGCATGTCAAACTATATTAGTTAATTTCTGTTTTCACTAATAAAAGTGTCCTTAAAATAATTTATGCATATTTACACACACCACCCAATAAAGAAAGCTCTGCTCCCTCCCACTCCAAAAAAAAAAAAAAAAAACAAACAAATATTTATATTTCCTCTTTGAAAGATCAATGATAGCATCGATCTAAATTGTATTCATTTACTTCAGCTCTTGTCAATGGTTTCTTTGGTGCTCTTCTGGGTATGTCTGAGAATTCAGTGATTGGCAGAATAGGAGATGCATGCTTGAAATTTCCAGTCACCCTATTGACAACCTGCCAAGATTCAAATTATTCAGACTCAGAATTATCCAAACATAACACAGACACTTAAAAAGAAAAGAAAGATATTTTATCTCTGTAATATTAGAAATTTTCCCTTAGTAAAGATTTAAGCAACACAGCCTACAAACACAACTTAGTGCCTCACATATGAAGCCTCATTCTTCAAATATTTTAACAAAAAATATCCTTATACTTTCTTGTACAATGAATTAGATTTCTTTACATAAATTGGATATTATAGGAAAATTCTAAAATTCAGAACTATATGGGGAAAATCAGTTTAAAATTGTTAAAAAAAAAAAACATGTAAATTTGAGATTTGCCAAAATTCACCACCTCCCCATTTCCAATTAAAGGGTAATTTACAAAGAATACCACTTGTATAGTTTATGAAACATATTTACTAAGGATTCGTTGCTTGAAGCCATTATAGTTTCAGCTATGGGAGTACTCTCTGAAATTACTGGACCATCTATACGAAAATGTTCTGAAGTTTCCACCTGTTAGTTTGAAAACAAAACAAAAACAATAAATATAAAATAATACTAAAACCCTACAAATCTGAAAACCCAAGGAATAAGCCTTGCATCACCCTTTTCCTTGGAGTTCTTCTTGACCCTCTTGTAGATTCCCTAGTTAATGCCTGCAGAGGTCCGCCTTTTGAAGATCCACTTGTCCATTCAGTCTCAGTTATTCCAGCTTGAGAATAGCTCTATTCAAGCATCAACACATTAAAAAGTCATATTCTAACATCAAATACTTTAATAACGGCCATACTGGCACACTGAGAAGCCATGAAATAGAAGTCTCCAAATGCCAGCATTTACAAACAAGGCTATGTCCTCAAAATATTCCTAAATGTATTAATTGAACTGATATTTAGGCATCAGGAAACACTTAAAAAGTGCTAAAATACACTAAAGAATCCACCTATAGTAGCTCACAAATTATAAACATTATGGGAAAAAAAGCACATCAACTATCACCAGTTCCCTTTTTGACTCACTGTGTGCTATTTGGCTCTAGTATTGGAGCTACATCTCTGTCTAAACAAAAAGCAGACTGATCATGACTTAGAAAAAAGTCATCTATTATAAGTCAGTTTCCTTTTAAAACAAAAATACAAACTTTTGTAATTGTTAGCATAAACATTATTATTTTCATATGGTTATAATCATTTTAGTAGAATCAGTTTAAATTATAATCCCACATATAGCTTATTTGAACTAAAAAATTCTCAGGTGTCAAATTTTTCTTGGAAACAGATACAAAATTAGGTAGCCACAAAAACCCTGTGGTCACTCTTTAATGAATATGCAAGCCTAACGTCACTTTCAAATCTCAATGCTATCCATGTCACTACAGAAAGACAGAAAACAGCTGCCTCAGATTAATTCTCAGTCTCAGATTAATTTCTATGTTCCACTGATCATTTTTAAAGAATCCAGCATTTCTTACATACTGGTTTAAAACCCATTAGATCAGTTCTTCTTAAATTGTAATGTGCCTATCAATCACTTGAAGCTTCTGTTAAATGCAGATTCTGATTCTGTAGCTGTAGGGCCCGAAATTCCGCATTCCAAGTAGTTTAAGGTTTTCAGTTTTGAAGTCGCTATTACCAGATGATTCTTTTAAATTCTTTTAACTACAGAACATCCATCAATGATCAGTATTATAGTAGAGTGTCCTTCTGTTGTCACTTTTGCTTTCACGCCAATATTTAACCTAGATTACTGATGGTTTTAGGTCCAAGTCAATGTCTATTAAAGACAGATTTTTTTTTTAAACTTTAATCCTGTGACAGGAGTGGTCATCCAATAAATATGCCTAAATGGCTGGATGTAATACTACCAAAACCCCACAAGTTACAGACATAGTCTCATAAATCATGGTTTTGTATTTATCTATATTTGGAATTGATATTATAAGAGTTTTAAGTCACAATCTGAATCTCTGGGTTCCTCATCCTATCAATTAGGAAGTATTTGCTGAATGCAAAATTATTGTCAAAAGAGAAACTTGTAAACAAATTACAGACATACACAGAGTAACTGCTTTTTAATTTTTATTTTATTTATTTTTTTGAGACAGAATCTCGCTCTGTTGCCCAGGCTGGAGTACAGTGGTGCAATCTCCACTCACCGCAACCTCCACCTGCGAGGTTCAAGTGATTCTCCTGCCTCACCCTCCTGAGTAGCTGGGATTACAGGCACGCACCAGCACACTTGGCTGATTTTTTTGTATTTTCAGTAGAGACAGGGTTTTGCCATGTTGGCCAGGCTGGTCTCCTGACCTCAGGTGATCCACCCACCTGGGCCTCCCAAAGTGCGGGGATTACAGGTGTGAGCCACTGCACCTGGCCAGAGTAAGTGGTTTTTAATAGTCAAATTACCAACTATTTGAATAGACGGAAAGGTAGTTTTATAATCTGAGATTCTCAATCCTTGTGGCACAGTACCATCAAGGAGAGCTTTAAAAAAAAAAAAAAAAGCAAATGCCCCCAACTACCATAACCAATTAAATCAGAATCTCTCCAGGTCTGGGAATAGATAATTTCTAAAGCTCCTGAGATAACTAAAAGCCATCTTGAAGGCCTATCAATTTAAGTAAAACATGACCAATATGGTTACTCGTACTAACTTTATTAAAAAACAAAACAAAACAAAAAAGCCTCATATTCCTCCATTTGAGAACAGTACTTTCAAACACTGCTGGTGGGAATGCAAAATGCTTCAACTCATATGCAGAGAAATGTAATGGTGAAATTACCTAGCAATTTTACTGGTACGCTTCCCCAAGATAAACTGGCAAAAAATATGCAGTGACACATGCAAAATGCTGCTCCATGGTTCATCCTGGCATTATTCATAGCAACATACAGCTGAAAACAACTCAAATATTCACCAAATGGAGAGTGGTTAAATAAATTACAGTACATCCATAAAATGCAACACATAAAATGCAGTTGTACAAAGCAATGAGGAAGATGGCTACGTTCCGATATGGAGTGATCTCTAGGTTTAGGTTAAAAATGGAAATGTACAAAGCAGGCTGCATTTTATGTAAAAGGGGAGCATATAAAAATCTATATATTTACTTATATTTTTAAAAAGAAACAAAATATAAATCAAAACAATAAAAATGCTTATCTGTAGATGGAAGGGAAAAGGACAGAAGCCAAAATTCTGACTCTACCTTATTTTGCCTACATAAAACTACATTATACTCTCAACACAATTAAAAAATAATAAAAGAAAAAGCAATCCTAGCATTAGAGAACAAAAAAACCTAACTATTAAGTTGGTGGCTGTATGACACAAAAAAATTCTTTCAAGTGACTTTAAGCACAGTGTTTTGACATTACATTCTAGTGGGATATGTCCTAAAGACAAGGAAAACAAAAGCCCAAATTGCATTTAACAGTCTTATTGTTAGTAGTAATACTGTATTATTTAGAAACACATATATGTTGTGATACTTACATAAGTAACAACATCATTTGAAGAACCAAGATATTCAGCATAAGATAAAAATGATACAAGTATAACATAACCCAAAATTAGCCTGTATTTATAAATTTGAAATATCACCATTAATTCATGATTTACCTAGCACTACCTACTGAAAAGACCCAGAAACAATGACAACCAGTAGGAATGAACATGTCAGCATCCAAATTGTTGCTTCCAAATAGTATTATCTATTAAAAGGATCACGGTTCCTTAGAAACATGGCTGATTCCAGGCATGACGCAGGAAGTATACATGAGCCTGGGACGTCTTACTATTCCAGAAAACAAGAAACTATCAAAGATAAATGGGGGAAGGAATTAAAAAATACAGGAACCAACTTAGTAATTCCTAATGGCTACAGATGGCACAATGTGAACATCAAAAAAGAATGATGACTGTAACTGATCATAAATTCAATACATAAAAAAAACCTCAAAATAATAGACCTAGGCAATAATCATATGACAATGGCTGTTAGAACCATTAAATGAAAGGACAATGTGGATCTTTATAACAGATGGATTAATCTTTCAAAATCTAAATCAATTACTAATTTTAGCATCGCCAGAAAGACATTCTATACCTCCTAAAACGATGTAACAGGAAGGCCGCTATATCATTTAAGTATTCTTGTGAAAGAAACTGGACATGGATCTGACCAACCCTCTGGATCTGTGCCGTCCAATATGGTAGGCCACTAGCCACATATGGTCATTGAAATTTAATTTAAATTAAAATTAAAACATAGTTTCCGCCAGGCGCAGTGGCTCACGCCTGTAATCCCAGCATTTTGGGAGGCTGAGGCGGGTGGATCACCTGAGGTCGGGAGTTCGAGACCTGCCTGACCAACACGGAGAAACCCCGTCTCTACTAAAAATACAAAATTAGCCGGGCGTGGTGGCACATGCCTGTAATCCCAGCTACTCAGGAGGCTGAGGCAGGAGAATCGCTTGAACTTGGGAGGCAGAGGTTGTGGGGAGCTGAGATCACACCAACCTTGGCAAAAAGAATGAAACTCCATCTCAAAAAACAAACAAACAAAAACAAAAACAACAACAACAACAAAGCAAAACAGAGTTTCTCAGCCTCACTAGTCACCATCGAAGTATTCAATAGCTAGTGGCTACTGTAACGGATAGCACAGGTATGAAAAATTTCTATCACAGAAAGGTCTACTGCATAGCCTCACTACAGATCTAACCCACTCTACAGAAAATGCAGCGTATAGAGAAGCTAATTAAATGACATAAAGAAGCAACCTAACAAATCCAGAATGTTGGGAAATTCTGTAATGACCTGGTTTCTTCACCAAATAAATGGAGGGAAGAGAAAAAGTTACAGTGGTAACAGCTACAGACTTGAGAGAGTAAAACAACCAAAAATCAAACCGGATATGTGGATCCTGTCTGGATCCTGATTTGAACAACATAATCATAAACGAAACATTTCTGAAACTAGAGAAATTTAAACATGAATTAGATACAAATAAATTATTAATTTTATTAGGTGTGATATTGGCATTGTCACTGGAATAGCACTTATCTTTCAGAGATATATGCTAAAATGCTGACTTTTTAATGTGTGAAACACTATGTCAAAGACTGCTTTAATATACTCCAGGAAAAAGCAAAATAAAAAAAATCAAAAGCAATTTATTGCCAGGTGCGGTAGCTCATGCCTGTAATCCCAGCAATCTGGGAGGCCAAGGCGGGTGGATCACCTGAGGTCAGGAGTTCGAGACCAGCTTGGCCAACATGGTGAAACCTGGTCTCTACTAAGAATTCAAAAACTAGCTGGGCATGGTGGCGGGAACCTGTAATCCCAGCTACTCAGGAGGCTGAAGCAGGAGAACTGCTTGAACCCAGGAGGCGGAGGTTGCAAGTGAGCCGAGATTGTGCCACTGCACTCCAACCTGGGCGACAGAGTGAGATTCTGTCTCAAAAAAAAAAAAAAAAAAAGTAATTTAAAAAGCTGGAGGGTGTGGGGTGATGAAACCAAACTGGTAAAACACTGACAACTGTGGCACATCTATGACTGGAGGGTCATTAAACTCTTCCCTCCACTCTTCTACATGTTTTAAATTTTCTGCAATAAAGCCACTGTCTAATTCTGCCTGTCATCTAAACCTACACTCCTTTGACTATTTATTCTGCTCCTCAGTTTAGATTCCTCCAACTCAATTATCCCTTAGACCATCTTTATTATTTATTTATTTATTTATTTATTTTTGAGACAGAGTTTCGCTCTTGTTGCCCAGGCTAGAGTGCAATGGCGCGATCTCGGCTCACAGCAACCTCCGCCTCCAAGGTTCAAGCGATTCTCCTGCCTCAGCCTCCGGAGTAGCTAGGATTACAGGCATGCACCACCATGCCTGGCTAATTTTGTATTTTTAGTAGAGACAGGGTTTCTCCATGTTGGTCAGGCTCGTCTCGAACTCCGGACCTCAGGTGATCCGCCCGCCTCGGCCTCCCAAAGTGCTGGGATTACAGGCGTGAGCCACCGCGCCCGGCCTATTTCCTTATTCTTCAGCATGCTCCTGAAGCTATTTGTTAGGACTACTACATAAAAGGGCAATAAAACATGTATTCCAGTATTTGGTTCTATGTTAACAAAGTCTTCATTCATTCAATGCTCTGTATGTTCTTGTCACAAAGCTCATTTCTAACAAATCGTTCTGAAATTCAACTTATCAACTACATCAAATGAAGAGAGAGACTGACTTGCCTTAAGGAATCAAGAATAATTCCTCTAAGGATTTGATTTTAAAACGACAAACAGGCTGGGCGCGGTGGCTCACACCTGTAATCCCAGCACTTTCGGAGGCCAATGCAGGTGGATCACCTGAGGTCAGGAGTTTGAGACCAGCCTGGCCAACACGGTGAAACCCCGTCTCTACTAAAAATACAAAAATTAGCTGAGCGTGGTGGCATGTGCCTGTAATCCCAGCTACTTGGGAGGCTGAGGCAGGAGAATCGCTTGAGCCCAGCAGGGTGGAGGTTGCAATGAGATGGGATCACGCCACTGCACTCCAGCCCGGGTGACAAGAGCAAAACTCCGTCACAAACAAACACACAAAGTGACAAATAGGAGATGGAAAAGATAACCAACTAGACAAATCATCCAGCTAGACATAGCAGGGGTAAGGAAAATGACTCTAGGAATAGCTGTCTTATAAAGCATCAGCCAAATCAATGCTGCATTAGTCAATAATTTGTTCTCTGTAAACAATACTAGGTTAGTCAATAATTTGTTCTCTGTAAACAATACTAGGTTAGTCAATAATTTGTTCTCTGTTCATTTATACCTATGCTTATTTTCTCCTTAGTTTCCTACATTTCCCTTTTGAAAAACTGAAACGCCTCTCCCACAATAGAAAAGGTAAATTTTCATCTGAAATAAGGAAAGAAAACTGTAGTCTTAGGACCAGACTAGCTTCTGAGTTTAGGAAAGAATCGCAGAAGACAAGACAGGCAAACATAAAATCAAAGTCAGAAATCTAGAGACAAAGACACAAATATAAAACCCTTCCATTGCCTTTTAAAGAAATTGTATCAAAAGTGTCTAGATATTTCCACCTTTTAAAATATTTCTTTCAAAACACCATATAACTGGCTTTGAACTACATCTAGCACAGACTCAAACACAAATGAGACATTAAAAATTTGCTTTTGCTGTAATCACAGGCTACACTACTGACAAAACCCACAAAGTTTAGATTTTTAGTATCATTTAACAACAGAATTAAGTTTATTGAGCGTGCTGGAATCTGGGTGTCAACCATTAAAGGCTAAAACATGGATTAGTGTTGTCAGGAGGTTATTTATACCTGTACACGGTGGTAATAAAACTAAAGATACCTGATTGTGCTCAACTCTTCTTTGCTTGAGTGTTACTGGAGTCTTTGCTCTGCCCTTTAGTGGTTCTCTCTTCTCAAGCTTGAGCTCTATTTTAGAGTCTGGAAATAACATTGGAGAAACCATTACTCTCTGAAACACTCAATAAATGATGATGTTATCCTAATATTAATCGGGAACCCTGGTTTTAGGCACATTAAAAGGTGAAAAACAAGTCTACTGGTAATACCTCACTAGTCCAAAATTGTTTAACTGCAATTTGTCTTGAAAACTGTTTCATTATTTATCCCATTTTTGCTTATCTCCCTTACCCTTTCATCTGACAACCACTTCTTCCTACCTATTCTCCTTTCCTTTATCTGGGACTCATAGCTTTGAACATGAAGTGAGTTCAAAATGCTCCCACGAAAGCTTTTCAGTAAGAACAATTTAGATGTGGAAAAAGGCCATTTAAAATAACACAATTGTTACCATTGTTTTGTCCATACAGTATACTACTACTGTACAGCAAAGGTTGACTTACTAAATTAAAATTTGGAACATAGAAGGGAAAGTTTAAAAATGAAAAAAATCCATATAGTACCAAGCTTCTATAAGTAACTGCCATAACATTAATAAGTACAATATAAAAGCTTTTTTGATGTAGTTATAAAAAACCTAGGTACAACTCAGGTAAAGAAGGAATCTTGTTCACAGAAAAATACGACCAATCACAGGTCACTTCTCGTCCCAGTCCTTATAATAAAAATAACATTTCTTTGAAAAGAAGCCAATACTTATACACTTGTCACCATGATAGTTATTAACCTAACAACGCAAGGATATGTATTTTTTAATAGGCTTCAATATTCCAGTCTCCTAGTCTTAAATTCATCATCATTTGAAGATCTAGGTTTTGAAAAGACTGATTTTAGTTAACATCCCTGGCAGGGCATGGTGGCTCACGCTTGTAATCCCAGCACTTTGGAAGGCCGAGGTGGGCGGATCACCTGAGGTCAGCTTAAGACCATCCTGGCCAACATGGTGAAACCCCGTCTCTACTAAAAATACAAACATTAGCCAGGGTTGGTGGCAGACACCTGTAATCCCAGCTACTCAGGAGGCTAAGGCAGGAGAATTGCTTGAACCTGGGAGGCGGAGGTTGCAGCGAGCTGAGATCACACCATTGCACTCCAGCTTTGGGGACAAGAGCGAAACTTCATTTCAAAAAAAAAAAAATCCCTTTTTGTAGACATTTATCATGGTATAGCAAAATTAGTCAGTTGTTATTTCTAAAACTTCTACTACCAAAAATTTAAGTTAGATTACTTTCTTACTGAAGAGACAGAAAGGAAGTCAATTCTAAAGTTTTACATGAACTCTGAACTTGTGTGAAAAAGTGGTCAAGACATCTATATGTGTCTTGCTAACTTTCCAGTGTTAATACTAGTTAGTACAGAATCTATTTAATACTTGCAGGTTCCCAAAAACGAACAGTGATTTTTATCAAGTTAGTTTAAACAGTTCAGTCTTTATTTAGGACTAAGATTTCAAGTCCATCTCCCAACACTTCTATCAATGGATCTGTCAATGTATCTATGTTTGGTACAACCCCCAGCAATATAAAATCTATTTTATGCTTTGTTAACTCAGAATCTAAGAACTAGAAAGCACAAAGTAAAAAAAACCATTAGTAGTGGAATAGAAATCGGTTAAACGAATAAGGTATCTGGTTACAGATTAATTCCTCTTATAAATTTAGATTCCAACAGTCAATAAAAACATGGTCCTCAAACAGAAGAAAAACCATACCATAATCAGAATATTTTCAATTATACCACTGAAATGTCAAAGTGAGTTTCAATGATGAAATGGAAAAGGGGTGTTCATATACAAATATTTAACTTGTTGCAACTCCAAGAATAAAGCACACAGAACAACATGTTTCTGGAGACCACACAACACTGTTCAAATTTAACAACTTTATTGAATTTGCAGAAGCATTCTACAGTAATACATTTTTAAAAATCACATAGCACTCAGTAGGTACATGTATACATGTACATTTCAGAAGACAACAAATAAAATTACTCTCAGAAAGCTGCAAAGATGGACACATATAATCTAAGAATGTGGTAATGGCCAGAGGGAGTACCCAAGAGACCATATTTTATTATGCTTAAGGCTACTACTTTCCACAATACCTCTGCAGTTAAGACTCTTAACTTACAATCACAGAAATGAAAACATGATAATACACTGCTTTATACAGACATACAGATACTGGGATATAGTATAATTTCTTATGGCTTAAAAAAATTTAATTTGCTTTTAGAGTCTATATTGCTAAACTTAACTTTCCACAAAATACAATATATCATGAAAGCAAAGTATTATTTTTTAAAAGGCCCCATTATCTGACAAAATAGATGGTGAACATGCACTATCCCAGGATATCTATTATTATCCAAAGAAGTGTTTCTCAAAGTGTGGTCCATGGTACTGGTCCATGAATTGGTTGCTACCAGTCAATGAAGAGATAAATTACTTGCATCAGAGTGTAAATCAATACATTGCTTTAGCTATTAATAAAATTTTGCTAAAAAATCAAATCCTGTCATTGACCTAAAAAGTATCTCTAGATTTAAATTCTTGTGCATGCTTATCTTGCCTGTGGATAAGTAACAGTTTGTAGACTGGTGCTTTGAGTTGCATTGATCTAGACTACTATGATTGATGTTGCAGACATGAATAAATAACAAAGAAAAGTAAGAAAATATGAGCAAAAATATGGACAAGTTATGGAACGTGAAAAGATACTGAGATAAAAGTATCAAAAAGAACAACATCACTGTTCTGAATGTGTAACAAATGTTTAATTCTGTCCTAGGTATAAAGGAGGATGCATATTATTCTATTGAACAGTAAATACTCCTTATATCCTAATTAGAATTTTCTTAGTTTTGGAGAATTGTAAAAACATAAGTAAAGCAGGAAACAGAAAACAACTTAGAGACTAATATGTGATCTAGAAAGCGTTAAATTGTTTGTACCAGGCTTCCTATCTACGCAAATCTTTAGAAAAGACAAGTAGTTCTACACAGGCAATTACTTTTATACTGTAATTTGATGGGTAGAAGCTTAACATTTTGTAATTAGCCCTATCTGGAAACTAAAACAACCTTAACAGAAAAGAAAATGTTGGCATAAAGTACCTGAAAGATAAGATAGATGTCTTTTTGTCCTTAATTTTACTAGTGTTTATTTCCACGCTTTTTAATTACTTTGCATACTTCTCCTCCAAATAATGTTCCACCTTTAAAGGGAGTGGAAGCCAGCTTATTCTTAGAAGCTAAATTAATTTTGCAATCCTTCAGCCAGAGGTATCGACGACCTACAGTGGCATTTCCCATGGTATGGGCAGCCATCTTCACTTCATCAAATGCAGCTTCACAAATATATGAGGCTGCATCATATGTTTTGCTCAGAATCCCAAGCGCTTGGTGGGTACGACTAGGATCTGAGCTAAGAATCTGTGCAGCTTGACTAATGTCTGCCTGCATAGCCTTAGCTACAAAGGCAGTGTGAGTTGCAATCTGCAATGCTGATGCTGCAGCTTCATATGCTCTACAGAGTGCTAAGTCCAACTGCTGATTGCAAGACTCAGTGGAGGCTGCTTGAATACCTCCTAGTGGAGTGGCTTCAGAAATAAACCCTAGGATTTCATCATCTACTTTTGGAACTGATAATATCTGTGTTGCCTCCCTGGAAGAAACTGGATATTTGCATGCCAGTGAAGGCAGCTGCCTGTCAACTTGCTGCCATTCTTCTTCAATTACTTTTAAAATAGATTCATGGAAGGGAAAAGATAGTTCTGAGGCATCTATTTTATCATGCTGTGATTGCTTAGCCACTTCTAGACCTAAGGTAGTGAGTGAATGAGAGACAACAGTTTTGGCAAAAGAAGACATCAGTTCGGATCCAGGTATGTTCTGAAATGCCACAAAGGAACCTGAATCCCTTTCCTCCACTGACTTCTCACTCAGTCTAGGGACTTTTCTTGGAGGAGACAGGAATTCAGTTTCTTGAAACTTAGACTGATCAATTCTCTTCTGTATGTTTTCTACATCCAGTGGGGGCATAGAGTTAGAAGTTCCAGGCAAACTACCTACCCCACCCTGGACCAACAGAGAATTGACATAATCTCTGATTGCCTGGGCAAGTGGCGGAGAAATTAGTTGTGAGCTCTCAGACTCTTCTAGTGCTTTCCTTTTACTGGAGAGAGGCGATTGATCTGAAATATGGGACCTCTCAGGACATAATGGTTGAATTCCACTTTTCTCTCTACCGCAAATATTTTCTACTATGTCTTTATAGTAACCAGTGGTGGTTTCTTTAATCAGTGAAGGAGAAGCTGCAGTAGAGACCAACATGGCACTGTGTTCAGGCTGAGAAGATGACGAAGAACTTTTCTCTAAACACCTATCATGGCTAGACTTGCATGAAATAAACAAATTCCTTTCAGAGGCTAACTTCTGCAACTGTCCCCTGCCAGGCAAGTTTGTGGCAACAAGAGGCTCCCTAGGTAGGTCTCCCTTAGAAGTATGTACTTTCTTAGCTGCCTGTAGTTCGGTACTGCCCAAAGGAGGACGGGTGGAGATTTCAGGAAAAGAAATACCCTGAAAAAATCCACCACCAGAGGGAGTAGTTCCAAGTTCAGAAAAAGGAACAATATCCCTAGTGGACTTCACTTTCTTGTGTTCTTTCTTCTTTCCTGTAGAGGCAAAAGAGGCAGGAAGTTTAAGCATTACCTGTGTTTGAGCTGATTTTATTCTTTGCCTCTTTGCTAAAAATAGTGCTGTCAAAGGAAAAGACTATAATTTCATATTCTGAACTAATCTGCCAGATTTGCCCTGGTAGACAAAGCTTATTGAGATATAAACAATCTGGATCAAAATAAATAATCACAAGTCATATTAATTAAAAGTTTACAAAAATCAAGTTGTATTTATAATTTTTAAAGGACATTTATTTCACATACTATCCTTAAAAAATATTTAAACATCATGATCAAATTTTAAGATACTATACAGTCTACTAAAAATATAGTCAAAATATTTGCTTTAAAGTTGCCCTGAGGTCAGATTAACAAAAACTGCGAACAATTTAAATGCCTATCAATAGAGAACAGAGAAAATATGCCATATTTAAATGCTACCACTATGTATTAATTATGAAGAATAAACAGATATGTAATTAACAGGATTAGATTTCAAAAATAATGGAGTAAGAAAAAGCAAGTGATAAGATTTAGCATACTGTTTATATAAATTTTTTATTCTTAAAGTATAAAATAATACCATGTATTAGACAGATGTGTATGTGAAATATAAAACTTGAAAGACAGGCATTGAATTAATAATAGTAGTTACTTCTGTGGAGGTGATAGGTACAGGTAAGTACGAGAAACTTTGCCTTTACTTGTAATACTTTATTCTCTCAGAAAAATGAGATTTGTAGCAAAAAAGACAAAGTTAACTTGCAATTTCAGGTGATGGAAAATTATGAATTTGTACTATGTTGCTTCTTAGAATTTTCAATAAAAAGTATTTAAATCAAATTACAGAATTACTCTAATGACACGAATAAAATTTGTGTATCTTGCCAATATTGTTTTAAATTTTACTTTCTTCATGGTCACTGAATTTTGAGTGTGAAAAAATTCCATACATTTGATTAACATCATTTAAAATTTTACCTTCTTCATTGTCACTGTATCTGTCAGAATCATTACTTCCATTCTGCCTTGTATTTTCTGCTGAAGAAGAAATTGTTGGCAGAGGAGTAGAAGATCTTGATTCTGTTCCTTGTTCCCTCAGTTTCAAAAGCTTTTTCTCATATAGCTTCCTGGTTGTTCCTGGATTAAGGCAGAACTTGCTTTAGTACCTGTATTGTTTCATTTAGGATGCAGCTCAGACACTATCTTCAGCAACATTTTAAGCTATTTTCACCCTTTATTTTTCTAAACTCAAGTTCTTAAAAAAAAAAATACCATATAATGCGGCCAGACATAGTGGCTCACGACTGTAAACCCACCACTTTGGGAGGCTGAGGCGGGTACATTACTTGAGGTCAGGAGTTCGAGACCAGCCTGGCCAACACAGGGAAACTATCTCTACTAAAAATACAAAAATTAGCCGGGCATGGTGGCACACGCCTGTGATCCCAGCTACTTGGGAGGCTGAGACAGGAGAATCACTTGAAATTGGAAGGCAGAGGTTGCAGTGAGCTGAGATCGCACCACTGTCCAGCTGGGAGAGGAAGTAAGATGCTGTCTTAAAAAAAAAAAAAAAAAAAAAAAGGACGTGGTGGCTGATGCCTGTAATCCCAGCACCTCCAGAGGCCAAGGCGGGTGGATCACCTAAGGTCAGCAGTTCAAGACAAGCCTGACCAACATGGTGAAACCCAGTCTCTACCACAAATACAAAAAATTAGCTGGGCCTGGTGGTGGGCGCCTGTAATCCCAGCCACTCAGGAAGCTGAGGCAGGAGAACTGAACCCAGGAGATGGAGGTTGCGGTGAGCTGATATCGCACCATTGCATTCCACACAACTATATAATGCACTCTTTTTACAACAGGTGGTTTTTTGGGAAATGACATTTCTTTTAATAGCATGAAATACATAGTAGGTTAATACAGGCCTTTCTATAGACCATCTACTGAAAAGCCATGTATGACTATTTTTGACTGAAGTCTTGCATTTATTTTCTCTACTACTACGTAATAGTACTTGCCAAGGTAGAAAAATCACATGTAAGCGGATTGTACCTCTATGAAAAATAACTATGATTAAATTTCCACAACTCTAAGACATTAATATGCCTGTATTCAGTTATGGGGAAAAGAAAAGTTCTATAAATCAGATTTAAATATAACAACTTTGCAGTTAAAATGACCTTTTATGGAAAACACATATCACAAAGCAAAATTGATTACAAATTCTTAATACATTTGAACATCAGTGACAGTTTAAAACCAAAATAGATTTTGTTTTACATTAACTGTATTATCTTTCCTTAACTCCTGGTAAGATGAGCAAAATGATAATGGATATTTTTTAGAAGCAACATGTGTCCAGAAATGTTATATAAATAGCCTTAAGATGAACAGGTCATACATCAACATATAATTTAATGTAGGCTGATATTATAACACACATTTTTCAGTGTCTCCCTTTTGGAATTTCTTTTTTTTTTTTTGAGACAAGGTCTTGCTCTGTTGCCCAGGCTGCACTGCAGTGGTGCGATCATAGCTCACTGCAACCCTGAACTTGTGGGCTTAAGCAATCCTCCCACCTTTGCCTCCTGAGTAGCTAGGACTACAAGTGTGCACTACATGCCTGGCTACTTTTTTTTTTTTAAATAGAGACAAGGTTTCACTATGTTGTCCAGGCTGCTCTTCAACTCCTGAACTCAAGCAATTCCACCACCTTGGCCTCCCAAAGTGTTGGGATTACAGGCATGAACTACCATGCCCAGGCCTTTTAGAACTTTAAACAAAAACATTTTTTAAAAGTGTTATATATCTGTTGGTACTTGTATATGAATAAGCTTATGATTATTTGGAAGCAGCTTATACATTAAAACAAAATATTCTAAATCTTTATTTGCAACTATACCTATAGCAAAACCTACCAAATCTCTAGCGTCCACAATTTTAGGTAACTTAGAAGATCAAGACCAGATGCAGTGACTCATGCCTGTAATCCTAGGACTTAGGGAGGCCTAAGTGGGAGGACTGCTTGAGCCCAGGAGTTCAAGACCACCCTGGGCAATATAGTGTGCCCCCATCCCTACAAAAACTACAAAAATTAGCCGGGAATGGTGGCACGTGCCTGTGTTCCCAGCTACTTGAGAGGCTGAGGTGGGACTGCTTGAGCCTAAGCTGAGGCTGCAGTAAGCCATGACTGTGCCACTGCACTCCAGCGTGGACAACAGAGCAAAGACCTTGTCAAAAAAAAAAATAATAATAAAATGGAATTTTCTCATCTTGAGGTTATTGCTAAGACCCTCCAAAACTAAGGCATAATCAACACTGCAAAATCTTCATCACCTAAAAGTAATCCAACGATGGAAATCCAGTGTATTTAGTCCTAGGTTTTTGTTTTTTAAGGGTATAATTCCTCAATTCCAATCAAGATAGGACTTTCAAAAGGGTACTTTTAATGATAAATGAAAAAGGGGCTCAGCGCGGTGGCTCACACCTGTAATCCCAGCACTTTGGGAGCCTGAGGTGGGTGGGATCACCTGAGGTCGGGAGTTTCAGACCAGCCTGGCCAACATGGCAAAACCCCATCTCTACTAAAAATATAAAAATTAGCCGGGCATGGTGGCAGGTGCCTGTAATCCCAGCTATTCGGGAAGCTGAGGCTGGAGAACTGCTTGAACCTGGGAGGCAGAGGTTGCAGTGAGCCAAGATCACACCATTGTACTCTAGCCTGGGCAACAAGAGCGAAACCCCGTCTCAAAAAAAAAAAAAAAATAGGGTACTAGGCTAGGAATTTAATAACTTCATTAAGAAGAAGTCTGTCACTAACTCACTTTTTCTTTTTCCCTTATTTATTTATTTTTTTTGAGACAGGGTCTTGCTCCACTGCCCCTGGCTGAAGTACAGTAGCCATCACGGCTCACTGCAACTTTGACTTCCCCCCACCATCTCAAGCAATCCTCCTGCCTCAGCCTCCTAAGTAGCTGGGACAATAGATTTGTGACACCACACCCTGCTAATTTTAAAATTTTCTGCAGAGATGGGATCTCCCTATGTTGCTCATGCTGTTCTTCAACTCCTGGGCACAAGCAATCCTCCCATCTTGGCCTCCCAAAGTGTTGGGATTACAGGTGTGAGCTACTGCGCCCGGCCATTAACTCATTTATTTGGGCAAATTTGCCCAGCTATGTTACCTCAGATTTTCCTCAATTGTCATACAAGACCCACGTCTCAGCAGAAGTACGATATAAGTGGCCAGGCACGGTGGCTCACACCTGTAATCCCAGCACTTTGGGAGGCCGAGGCAGGCGGATCACAAGGTCAGAAGATCGAGACCATCCTTGCTAACACGGTGAAATCCCATCTCTACTGAAAAATACAAAAAATTAGCCAGGCGTGGCAGCGGGCGCCTGTAGTCCCAGCTACTCAGGAGGCTGAGGCAGGAGAATGGCATGAACCCGGGAGGCAGAGCTTGCAGGGAGCCGAGATCGCGTCACTGCACTACAGCCTGGGCGACAGAGCAAGACTCCGTCTCAAAAAAACAAAAAACAAAACAAAACCAAAAAAAAAAAAAAAAAGTACGATATAAGCACCATATAAAACAATCTCAACAATAGAGGTAATTTTGGAGATTATCTAATTCAATCCTCTCATTTTATTTCACTCATTTACAGTCAAAGAAACACAGGTTCTGCTGATAACAAATGATTAATGACAAACCAGTCCTTGGAACCTAAACTGCTAAACAAAAAGGAGAAAATAATTTGGGGTCCTGCTTCAGAGAAAAGATACTGTATTTGAAATTTTATCAACTTACCCACAATAGGACCAGGATTCACTCCGTATTTCACAAGCTGATCCAAAAGATCTTCATTAGTGAGCTCTGTTACATCTAGATCATCTTTATCTTCTTGTCTGGGTTTATCAGTTTTTTTTGTGGCTTTCTGTAAACAAAGTCCAGTAATCATTTCCATATGAATTAAAGTGTTCACTTACTAGATAATAACCTGTATAACATAAACATGCAAACTCACTACCAAATTGGTTTATAGTAATATTAGGCCTTAGCAATTCCATTAAATTAAGAGCAACTCATTATTGGAGAACACTTTCTAAGTTGAACTGTAATCATACAAACCGCACAGCCAAGCAAGTAACTTAAAGACATTGTTGTTAAAATAGTCCATTTTGGATTACCTATCTAAAAGAGATAGTAATGGCATCAAAAATGCAAAAGAGCAACTAAAAGTAAAACTGACTTTGGGTAACATTTTCTTTTAAATAACCTTTTTTTTTTTTTTTTTAATGATACAGGGTCTAGCTATGTCACCCGGGCTGGAGTACAGTGGCTCCATCTCAGTTCACTGCAACCCCCACCTCCCAGGCTGAAGCGATCCTCCCACCTCAGTCTCCCAAATAGCTGGGACTACAGGTGCGCACCACCACCCTTGGCTTTTTGCCTGTGGTTTTTTTTTTTTGTTTTTTTTTTTTTTTGTAGAGATGGGGTTTTTGCCATGTTGCCCAGGCTGGTCTCAAACTCCTGGACTCAAGTGATCAGCCCACCTTGGCCTCCCAAAGTGTTAGGATTACAGTTGTAAACCACTGCACACAGCCTAAATAACCAAAAATTATATTTCATTTCTTAAAGCATATAACTCCAATGGCAACGGAAACAGATCAGCATGAACCATGGAAAGTAAAGCCAGACTGGGCTTAACATTTTTCATCTAAATGATCATGAATGCTACTTACTAACTTTTTGATAATCCTTAAAAATTTAAATTAATCCAGGAAAGTTTAAGACTTTACCATACAGGCTTACACTTAGATACATATATAGAAATGATTTTCTTTTCTTTTTCTTTTTTTTTTGGAGGTGGAGTCTCGCTCTGTTGCCAGGCTGGAGCGCAGCGGTGCAATCTTGGCTCACTGCAACCTCCGACTCCCGGGTTCAAGCGATTCTCCTGCCTCAGCCTCCCGAGTAGCTGAGAGTACAGGTGTGCGCCACCACGCCCAGCTAATTTTTGTACTTTTAGTAGAGACGGGGTTTCAACATGTTGGCCAGAATGGTCTCGATCTCTTGACCTCGTTATCTGCCCACCTCAGCCTCCCAAAGTGCTGGGATTACAGGCATGAGCCACTGCGCCCGGCCAGAAATGATTTTCTTTAAACAGCATATGAGAACTTAAGAAGGCCAAATGAATACAGTTGGCTCTCCATTCTCCCAAATGAATACAGTTGGGTTCTACATATGTGAATTCAACCAACCACAGATCAAAAATACTTGGGGAAAAAAAAGACAATACGACAATAAAAACACTAACAAAAATACAGTATAACAACTATTTACATAGCACTTACATTGTATTAGGCGTTATAAGTAATCTAGAGATGATCTGAAGTATAAGGGAGGATGTGTGTAGGTTACTACACCACTTTATATTAAGGGACTTACTAAAGCATCCCCAGAGTTTGATATCCATGGCCGGGTCCTGGAACCAATCTCCACCCCAAGGATAGGAGACAGGACTGTAAACTCCTTGTAACACAGTTATTTTAGTAGCTAGTTTATGACTTAGGAAGGAAATCTGACAGACTTCATGGTTAAATTATCACCTGTGACACAGTTTAGTCACCAGATTAACTTCTGTACCACCAGTTTACTAAAAATAGTCAAAATAACTTGAAACAAACTTTGAGGGAAAATTTGAAAGTTTTAAAATTAATTTCTACAAAGGCAGTATTTACTGGAAAAACTATAAATTTCCAAGGTTGAACAAATAAAAAGGAAGCAAAAGTACGGATACCTTTTAAGGCTGTGGCAAACAGCCTGACAAATGCCTCAGTGATCACAGAAAAAACATCAGAGTACTGAACAAAAAAATGGCTAATTAAACAATGGCAACATCAAAGTAAATTTTACGAAAAAGGCTAAAATTATCAAGTTGTATGGAATGCTCACTTTCCAATAATATTAGGGGGAAAAATCAGTCATGATTTGACTATGTACTGGAATTACTGTTTTTAACAATAAAAATGTTCTGACCTAGAATTGTCAGGCTCAAATCAAATCTTTTTTTTTTTTTTTTTTGAGACTGTGCCTCACTCTTATCCAGGCTGGAGTGCAGTGGCGCAATCTTGGCTCACTGCAACCTCTGCATCCAAGGTCCAAGTGATTCTCCTGCCTCAGCCTCCTGAGTAGCTGGGATTACAGGTGTGCACCACCACGCCCGGCTAATTTTTGTATTTTTAGTAGAGACGGGGTTTCAGCATGTTGGCCAGGCTGGTCTTGAACTCCTGACCCCAAATGTTATGCCCGCCTGAGCCTCCCAAAGTCCTAGGATTACGGGCGTGAGCCATGGAACCTGGCCTGAAATACTTCAAATAAAGCAAGATATGAGAAATTCTTTTTAAAAAGCTGCTAATGGCTAATCATTCTATAATCAGAAGCCAAAAAACCTTCACCAAAAAAATAGCTGCTCATAAGAACAATTATGTCAACTTACGAGAAATCTTAAATAGACGGCTGTGGAGAGTTACAGTGAGAGTACTTTTAGCAGGCTTTAATTCACATACATTGCACTGACCTAGAACTGTCAGGCTCATATCTGGAAGCAACCCACACCATAATATCCAAATAGTTGCCTAGGGTCTAAGAGTTCTAAGACTTATTTCTTTCAAGAAAAGATTTAATCAAACAAACTTAATCCTATGTTACTGACTTACTCAAATTTTCCAAAAAGTGCAGTCAGGTAGTACAGAAAAACTAAATAATGCTTAAAATAAAAATAAAACATGGAAAAACAATCAATCAGGTTCAAATTATTTGTACATAATCCCCACTACCACGAGAATGTTCAAATTTACTATCAATAAAACATCCAGGAAATTCCAACTTTTCAAACCCGCCTGAGAGGTTTTCAAGAAATCTCTTTGGGCCAGGTGCAGTGGCTCATGCCTGTAATCCCAGCACTTTGGGAGACCAAGGTGGGTGGATCACTTGAAGTCAGGAGTTCGAGACCAGCATGGCCAACACGGTGAAACCCCGTCTCTTTTAAAAATGCAAAAATTAGCCGGGTGTGGTGGCACATGCCTGTAATCCCAGCTACCTGGGAAGCTGAGGCAGGAGAATTGCTTGAATCTGGGAGGCGGAGGTTGCAGTGAGTCGACATCATGCCACTGCCCTCCAGCCTGGGCGATAGAGCAAGACTCTGTCTCAAAAAAAATCTTAACTCTTTTTTTTTTTTCTTTTTCAAGGTGGAGTCTCTTAACTCTCTCGCCCAGGCTGGAGTGCAGTAGCGCCATCTTGCCTTGCTGCAACCTTCTGCCTCCCAGGTTCAAGCAACTCTCCTGCCTCAGCCTCCTGAGTATCTGGGACTACAGGTGCATGCCACCACGCCCAGCTAATTTTTGTACTTTCAGTAGAGACAGGGTTTCACCATTTTGGCCAGGCTAGTCTCAAACTCCTGAGCTCGTGATTTGCCCACCTCAGCCTTCCAAAGTGCTGGGATTACAGGCGTGAGCCACAGCACCCAGCCCAAAATCTTAACTCTTGTTACCTCTATTTGGAAAGGTCTTACCCATTTCTGATTCTTCACCTTGGGCCAGATAATCTGTTTGTAATTGTGTAGCCCAGGTGATCTGGATGCAGCATTGAGGCAAGCAACAGAAAGCAGACGCACTATCATCCTCATATTCTTATTCCAAGCATCTAAACATTTCTAAAAAGACTGATACAGGAATAGCCCCCTGATAAATGTTTTGTCAAATCTGGGGAAGGAAAAAGTAATTTATTTTTGAAAATCCATTTCTTATTAGAAATAACAGGCCTATCAAATCTAAGTAAAAACCAATTCTCGGCAGTGGCTCATGTCTGTAATTCTAGCACTTTGGGAGGCCGAGGAGGGAGGATCTCCCGTTGAGGTCAGGAGTTTGAGACCAGCCTGGCCAACACGGTGAAACCCCATCTCTACTAAAAATACAAAAATTAGCCAGGTGTGATGGCACACGCCTATAGTCCTAGCTACTCGGCAGGCTGAGGCTGGAGAATCACTTGAATTGGGGAGGCGGAGATTGCAGCGAGCCAAGATTGCGCCACTGCACTCCAGCCTGGGTGATAAGGCCAGACTTCGCCTAAAGAAAAAAAAGAAAGAAAGAAAATCAATTATATTTCCTTCAAACATAATGAAAAACATCAGCTGAACAAAGATATCTTAAATAAGTGACCAACAAATCTACATAAGGTAAGTCAGATAAATTAAAACCAAAAACGTGATTTTTTTTTTTTTGAGATGGAGTCTCACTCTGTTGCCCAGGCTAGAGTGCAGTGGCATGCCCTCCATCTCCCAGGTTCAAGAGATTCTCCTGCCTCAGCCTCCCAAGCAGCTGAAATTACAAGCGCGCAACACCATACCCGACTAACTAATTTTTGTATTTTTAGAAGAGACAGGATTTCACCATGTTGGCCAGGCTGGTCTCGAATTCCTGACCTCAGGTGATCCACCTGCCTCGGCCTCCCAAAGTGCTGGGATTACAGGTGTGAGCCACTGCACACAGTCAAACATGTGGTTTTTAATCTGTCAGGAAAAAAGTTCCAGAAAAGTGATGTCATTTTATAAATCTCAGATTTAATAAGGATAAAAAATTAGGAGACAGTGTGCTGTACATGATTAGCAGTTTCAGTCAGGAAAAAGGAAGCATCAGTTGCATTAAATTCTGCCTCCAGAAAGCTTTGTTCCTTTAAGTAGATCACTTAAGAGTTTCACTCAAAAATAGTACCTACTATGCTACCCGATGATCTCTAACGTATTTTTCAACTTCAAAACCCAACAGCTCTATGATATCACCGATGAGCTTCTCTAATTCCTTTAATCTCTACCTCTAGTATAAAGATGTTGAACCATAACAATATATTCTAGTGGGCACTTATTATGTATTACGTACTGAGTTGTGTTCCAAGTGTCTTTGCATTAACTTACAGAGTCCTAAAAATCTATGGAATAAAATGCTAATATCCCCATCTGACAACTCAGAAAACTGAGGTTCAAGCATGCTCTTCACTAACTCAGGAAATCTGCATGCTATGATATACATGTCACTTTCACTTATCTACCTTATTCGTTTCCCAAAATTATATTTTAGTAACATTGCACTATATTGCCCTGACATTAAAGACAAAAATTCAGAAATCATTTAATGGCTATTAATTACTAAGCACTAGACACTTCACATATGCAATGGCATGTACTCCTCAATCTGATTAAGTAGCTATTAGGTTATTCCTCTATTTCAGGTGAAAATAGAGGATCTTAGATTAAGACACTGTTCAGTGTCATATGAATAAGTGGCAGACCTGGAATTTGAATCTATAACTCTATTATTCACAAGTCTGTAAACTTAACACCTTATTATACAGTGGTGGTAAATTTGTGATTTAATTAACATTTCCTATTGGTAGCATGCTTTTATGTTCTTTTCCAGGTCTTCAAATATTTCCTATTGAGAATTCATAATTTGGCCAGGAGCAGCAGCTCACACCTACAATCCCAACGCTTTGGGAGGCCTAAGCAGGAGGATCCCTTGAGGCCAGGAATTCAAGACCAGCCTGGTCAACATAGTGAGACTATCTCTATAAAAATTTTAAAAATCAGCTAGGCATGGTGGCACACACCTGTAGTCCCAGCTATTCCAGAGGCTTGAGCCCAGGAGTTTGAGGCTGCAGTGAGCTATGATCATACCACTGCACTACAGTCTGAGGGACAGAGCGAGACCCTATCTCTTAAAAAAACAAACAAACACACAGACAGGCGTGGTGGCTCACGCCTGTAATCCCAGTACTTTAGGAGGCTAAGGGGGGCAGATCACAAAGTCAGGAAGGAGTTTGAGACCGGCCTGACCAACATGGTGAAACTGTCTCTACTAAAAATAAAAAAATTAGCTGGGCATGGTGGTGCACGCTTGTAATCCCAGCTCCTCAGGAGGCTGAGGCAGGAGAATCACTTGAACCCGGGAGGTGGAGGTTGCAGTGAGCCGAGATCGCGCCACTGCACTCCAGCCTGGATGACAGCGCAAGACTCCTTCTCAAACACACACTCATAATTCACCAGAACAGATCATTCAAGAATATTATGCTCCACTAGATCCAAATAGCTACACCTTCAGGCTCTGCCTCTTAAAACAAAAAGGCAGACTGCCAACTCTGTAAATGTTTATTTTTGTGTCCACAATCTAGGTAGTTTCAACACCTAAAAATATTGGTAGCAAGATACATAAAATAAAAAGCTTAGAAATAAGAAAACAAAATAAAAACAAAACTTTTAACATGCAAAGTTTTGTCACATTATACCAAGTGAATCCAAGAGACTATGGTAGAAGCTGAAATGAAACAATTTCTTATTTAATTAAAAATGTTCCCCATAGGCTGGGCACGGTGGCTCACGTCTGTAATCCCAGCACTCTGGGAGGCTGAGGCGGGAGGATCAGAAGATCAGGAGATCCAGACCATCCTGGCTAACACAGTGAAACTCCGTCTCTACTAAAAATACAAAAAAATTAGCCGGGGGTGGTGGCAGGTGCCACCACGTAGCCCCAGCTAATCGGGAGGCTGAGGCAGGAGAATGGCGTGAACCCAGGAGGCAGAGCTTGCAGTGAGTGGAGATCACGCCACTGCAGTCCAGCCTGGGTGACAGAGCGACACTCCGTCTCAAAAAAAAAAAAAAAAAAAAAAAAATTCCTCATAAACCCATGATTAAATAGAAGGTATATGCATGCAAATAGTTAATCTTGGCCAAATCCACATTAATGCTTGATTTGTCTTAAAATGTTAAAAATCTCCCTTATCTGCAACTCTCAAACATAATTTGGCTTTCTCCTATAATATAAATAAATATTCTTTTATTCCTTTTTACCACTCCATTATGCAGAAGATTATAAATATTCTTTAAGAAATATGACCTGGAGGCCGGGAGCGGTGGCTCATGCCTGTAATTCCAGAACTCTGGGAGGCCGAGGCGGGCAGATCACCAGATCAGGAGATAGAGACCATCCTGGCTAACAGTCTTTACTAAAAATACATAAAATTAGCCAGGCGTGGTGGCGGGCACCTGTAGTCTCAGCTAGGCAGAGCTTGCAGGGAGCCGAGATTGCACCACTGCACTCCAGCTGGGATGACAGACTGAGACTCCGTTTCAAAAAAAAAAAGGAAAAAAGAAATAAGACCTGGTATTGGCCGGGTGAGGTGGCTCACTCCTGTAATTCCAGCACTTTGGGAGGCCGAGGCAGGTGGATCACGAGGTCAGGAGTTCGAGACCAGCCTGACCAACATGGTGAAACCTTGTCTCTACTAAAAATACAAAAATTAACCAGGAGTAGTGGTGTGTGCCTGTAAGTAATACCAGCTACTCAGGAGGCTGAGGTAGGAGAATTGCTTGAATTTGGGAGGCAGAGGTTGCAGTGAGCCGAGATCATGCCACTGCACTCCAGCCTGGGTGACAGAGTGAGACTCCATCTCTCACACACACAGAAGGAAGGAAGGAAGGAAGGAAGGAAGGAAGGAAGGGAAAAATATGGTTGGCCGGGCGCGGTGGCTCATGCCTGTAATCCCAGCACTTTGGGAGGCTCAGGCGGGTGGATCAACTGAGGTCAGGAGTTTGAGACCAGCCTGGCCAAGATGGTGAAACCCCGTCTCCACTAAAAATACAAAAATTAGCCGGGCGCAGTGGTGGGCACCTGTAATCCCAGCTACTTGGGAGGCTGAGGCAGGAGAATCGCTTGAACCCGGGAGGCAGAGGTTGCAGTGAGCTGACATCACGCCACTGCACTCTAGGCTGCGTGACAGAGCAAGACTCCATCTCAAAAAAAGAAAAAGAAAAAAAGAAAGAAAGAAAAAAAAAGAAATATGACCTGGTATTATTTTTATATGGGGCTAAAAATGACCAAAACGTAAAATATAGTACATATAAGAGGAATTGACATGAATAATTTTACACATAAATTATTATAAATTTCTTTTCCTGTAAACTTAAAATTATTTTTTCCTATGGCTGATAAAAACATCGAACAGACTCCTAATTATAACTCACTTGTACTTAACGTACTTTAAAACAGAAAATGACGCTGACTACCAATATTTTTCTTCAAGTTGTTGGCATGGCTATTAAGCTCAGTCAAGGGTAAACACCTCTTGAGTTTTAAATACTCCAGGTAGAAGACATTTAAACCTGTAATTATGAAGTAAGTTTTCTTTATATGGATGAAATAATTAAATGAAACGTAAAGAGCTTAATTACCATGCCAATAGACCTACTAGGTACTCTAAAAAACATGACTTCTGGGCTGGGTGCCGTCGCTCATCCTTGCATTCCCAGCACTTTGGAAAGCCCAGGGGGACAGATCACCTGAGGTCAGGTGTTCCAGACCAGCCTGGCCAACATGGCGAAACCCCTTCTCTACTAAAAATACAAAAATTAGCCGGGTATAGTAGTATACGCCTGTAATCCCAGCTACTCGGGAGGTCGAGGCAGGAGAATCATTTGAACCCAGGAGGCAGAGATGAAATCGGGCCATTGCACTCCAACCTGGGCAATGGAGACTCCGTCTCAGAACAAAACAAACAAAACAAAATAACAACAACAAAAATTACTTCATTTTGGCTGGGCGCGGTGGCTCACGCCTGTAATCCCAGCACTTTGAGAAGCCGAGACGGGAGGATCACGAGGTCAGGAGATCGAGGCCATCCTGGCTAACACGGTGAAACCCCATCTCTACTAAAAATACAAAAAATTAGCTGGGGGGTGGTGGCGGGCGCCTGTAGTCCCAGCTACTCGGGAGGCGGAGGCAGGAAAATGGCATGAACCCACGAGGCAGAGCTTGCAGTGAGCCAAGATCGCGCCACCGCACCCCAGACTGGGCGACAGAGCAAGACTCGTCTCAAAAAAAAAAAACCCTTCATTTTACTCAAAACTTATTTACATGATGCTAACCAACTTCAATTAACATATGAGTTGGACAGACAAGTAAATAAACACAATTCATTTTTAAATCCCCAAAGTTTTAAACCCAGTAGTTAAGAACACTTGGTAGGAACTCAAAATTGCTGGATAATCTTAATTAAAAAATTTTTACATTTAGGTCTTCTTACCCCCCAAAAGAACACAAGGTAGATGGGGACATAAACTCTCTTTTACCAAGTGGCTGATAGGAAAACATTAAAACTGAGATGGTTGTTTCTGTGTAAAAGAAATCATCCTCAAAATAAATAGGAACCAAGGCTGAGGCAGGATTGCTTGAGGCCAAGAGTTCTAGACCAGCCTGGACAACACAGAAAGCCTGTGTACCAAAAAAAAAAAAAAAAAAAAAAAAGATTAGAAAATTAGCCGGGTGTAGCGGTGCATGCCCCGTTGCCCTTGCTACTCAGGGAAGCTGAGGCAGGAGGCTCTCGTGAGCCAAAGAGTTTGAGGCTGCAGTAAGCTATGATCACATCCCTGCACTCCGGCCTGGGCAACAAAGCGAGATCCCGCCTAAAAATAATAACCAGTAATTCTATTATAAACATACAACCAAAAACTTCACGGTTTAATACTTTTGCACAGAGGACCAATGAAGGGTTCTATAGAAAATTAGGTTTTTTATAAAGTGTGCTGATTTAAATATTATTTTCAAACAACTTTTTTTTTTTTTTTTTTTTGAGACGAAGTCTCGCTCTTGTCCCCCAGGCTGGAGTGCGATGGCGCGATCTCGGCTCACTGCAACCTCCGCCTCCCGGGTTCAAGCGATTCTCCTGCCTCGGCCGCCGCCACCAGGCACGGCTAATTTTTGTATTTTTTTTCTTTAGTAGAAACGGGGTTTCACCATATGGGCCAGGCTGGTCTAGAACTCCTGACCTCAGGTGATCCACCCGCCTGGGCCTCCCAAAGTGCGGGGCTTACAGGCGTGAGCCACCGCGCCCGGCCTCAACCAACTCTACTTAAAGAGTTTAAATACTACCTTCTTTTTCAGAGCAGGGAAACATAACGGGTAAGCGGGTACGCTTTTATTTCAAAAGTAAATTTGTTTATTAAGAAATTAAAGAAGCTTTCCGCAAAACAAGATGTTTAAACAATAAGGTGTGATTGGTCTTTTATTTATTGTACAAATATTTGGCACTACTATGTGCCAGACACCGGACTGAAGACGTTTGGTAAAACTTTCAACTTCTCTGAAGCCGAGAATAAGATTTTCAATTAAATTTACATGTGTCTATTACATTTGTCTTTCATTTCTGCCTGAGTAGCCGGGAAAACACATTAGACAGGTTCCTTAAAAACTAAAGTAAAATTTGAAGGAAGGAATAATTTCGGTTTAAACTAGTGATCATTCCCAACAACTCCAAACACCACATTCACTGTCTCTTACAAGGCATTTTATGTTACACCAATTACTAGTTTTAGCTTCATCCTATTACGATTTGAAGCCTGGTAACTCGGCAGGCATAAGCAAACCCACAAAAAGCATATTAAAATCCACAGGTAAAAAAGCAAACTATTCTGAAACAAAACATGCTTTGCTGGAGCCGATTTGAGATTTAACCAGGATCAGACATTCCAAATTGCAATACTGATGCACCAGAATGTCATGAAATAAATTTTTCCTGAATCCTAAGTCTTTCGTTTCCTCAAGCAAAATTTACCAATATGTGGGGAAAACGCAATCCAAACTGCAATTTTCAAATATTTGTTTGCAGGGCCGGGCCCGGTGGCTCACGCCTGTTATCCCAGCACTTTGTGAGGCCGAGGCGGGAGGACCACCTGAGGTCAGGAGTTCGAGACCAGCCTGACCAACTTGGAGAAACCCCGTCTCTACTAAAAAATACACAAATCAGCCGGGCGTGGCGGCGCATGCCTGTAATCCCAGCTACTCGGGAGGCTGAGGCAGGAGAATCGCTTGAACCCGGGAGGTGGAGGTTGCGGTGAGCCGAGATCTCGCCATTGCACTCCAGCCTGGGCAACAAGTGCGACACTCCATCTAAAAAAATAAATAAATAAAAACTAAAAAATTATAATAGGCGCCTAAAAATATAGTTTAAAATGCTCCTTTTAATTCGGCATGAACCTGTTCCGCCAAAAGATGGCCTGTTGCTGGGAAAAATTAAAACAAACTAGAAAACATAAACGGTTCAAAAAGCCCTCCACACGCAAAAGTATAAAAAGGCGGGAATTTCCTCATTTCAAATTTTGGTTAGAAATTAGAGTGTCATCAGTTGCCCTCCAGGGAGCGCTCTGAGACTCTGCTGCGAGTCATTTCAGTTAATAAAGCGGGAAAACGCTCGAACTTAACCTATAGCATTTTGGGGCCACCCCTCCAGAGCTTTCGAAAGGGCACGGAAGTCCCCGTCTAAACGCCCGCTGCAGGCGGCTGGTGGTCCAGGGAAGCGGCGTCGACTGCGTGCAAAACAACCGCCGCCAACGCAACTCCACACCTCCCAGACCCACACGTCAAAGAACGCGAACCCCGCGGCCCCAACTTCTGGCCTCTCCGCTCCGGCGCCTGCAGCCCCGCGGGGAAGGGGCGACGCGAGGGGGCGCAGGGACAGCCCCGCACCTGGGAGGCCCGAGGGGGCGCCCGGGAGGGAGGGGCTGCAAACGGCGGCGAGCGCGCGCGGCAACCGCCAAACGCCCGCCTTTGTAGCCCCGGCCCCGCGTCCTTACCCTGCCGACGGCTGCTCGGCTCCGGCCCGCGGCGGCGGCCCCAGAGCCGAGGACCGGGGTGGGCTCGCGCTCTTCGTCACTGGAGAAGTCCGGGGGCCCCTTGCTGTTGGTGCCGGCGGGGAGCGGCGGCCGGTTGCGAGCCGTGAGGTGCTGCAGGTAGAGCTGGACGTACACGTCTTTGCGCTGCTCCCCGGCCGGCAGCGTCACATTGTTGGCGACCAACTCACTCTTCAACTTGTCTTTTGTCAGGACCGAGGGGTCTTCCAGGAACTCCGGCATCTCGGGGATCTGCGAAGCCCCCTCCCCACAGCCTTTGCCGCCGCCGCTCACGCCGGCGCGCTTGCTCCTGGCCGGGGACCGCGCTGCCGCCTCCGAGCCTCACGGCTCCTGCCCGGGAAGAGCGCTGCGGAGCGGAACAAAAACTCGCGGACACAAAGCCAAGCCAGACCCGGACACAAAAGACCCCAGAGCCGAACTACGAACCAACTGCGGCCAAGCTGGAAGCTCGCACCAACCCCAGCCCACACACTACAGGCAGGAGGCGAGCAGCCTGCTTCGCCCACGCCCCAAGAACGCGCGCCGCCATTGGCGGGCGACGGGAGGAAGCGCGGCGGTGATTGGCGAGACGGCTCGCGCGGGTTCCATTAGCCGCCGCGCTGAGCGAGAGGAGGTAGAAACGCAGTTTAAAAGGCGCTGGGGCGGGAGCCGAGGCTCCCGGCCCGCTTCTGTTTTCGTTTTCTCCACCCTTCCCCTTAGACGCCGATAAGGGACAGGTCGTACTGCTTTTGTGCGCCGTTTCCTCTCCCTCCCCCAGCTTGAGAAGCAGCTTTCGTCTCTGGGGTCGATCGCCTACGAACGCGCCGAATTCCACGCCAGTGTGAGGACCCTTGGCTGGGCCTTTCTTCCTCCCGGGACACTGAAGCTCCAAGAGTAGCCGCAGCCTTGCCTTCCCCAAACGCTAGCCCTGAAGGGGAAGAAAAGAAGCGAGGCTTGTCTGCAGGCACTCATATTCCTTGATTTGATTTACTTTGGGAGGGGGAGGGCGGGGAGTTACCCCTCTCCTCGCGAACGCTTCTTTTGTTCCAGAAACCCAGGGGAAGCCAGACCTCTACAATCGGGCACTTAAATTACCCTTGAATTTGTGACAAAAGTGTACTATACCATTCACTTCTTAGTGTCATAGTTGGGGCATGTCTAAATTGTTTAATTTGAACAGTGCGTTCAGACGCAAGACAAATTCGCGCTTGCATTTTTGTTGAAACCGTCTCTGGCTTTGGATCCCACCACCCGCAAGAATCCTAAACCTAACGTTTGATAACAAAACGAAGGAGAACCCTTGGGAACCCCCTCAATGGTCAATTTAAAATAACAGATGGTGCATAATCCTAAAGGAAGACTAGTGACCTATAATTAGGCCTAGAACCCTAATCAAACCCGTATTACCGATCCAAATTAAAACCTGGTAGAATCTAATACATTGACTGCAATTAAAATGTTTGCCTGGAAATTAGTATCACTGATGACAAATATTTGTATTTCTGATGAATATGTATGTTTAAAGATGCTTTCTTTCTAGAAAGGAAAGGAGACCTTGGATGTAGGGTGTGTTAATCATTTCCCCAGAATCTGAGCTCCAAACTATGTTTTAGAAACTGGTTAAATTTTTTTTAAATGTTTGCCTGCTTTCTACATTGCTAGGTTAGAATACATTTAAAACAAACGCCTTCACTAAAAATGTTTCCTATGATTTAAGCGACTTACTTTTATTCAAATTGCGATATTATTTCTTTTAGTGATAATTATTTTCCTAGAGGTAACTAATTCCTTTATAAAAATCTCAGTATTCACATACATTTAAGCAATGGTATTAAGCTCAATAATGCAAATTAAAAATCAGGTTTTAATTAGCAAGTTGTTAGGTAGGTTTTTATGATCCCTTGTAAAAGTTGCTTGGTTTTTTGTCCTCACAGCTTCCCTGGACACATAGGCAAATGTTTTTATCTTCAGAAGGGGAACTGAGCTGAGAGGCAAAGGACCATGACTTTGCAATGACTGGTAACCCAGTACGTATAATGCAAGAACTGCATTCTAGATACGCCTGAAATTAATGTTTCCTGGGCAAAAACATTTTCATTATCTTTTTTTTAATCCCTGGACATTAGCTACAGGTGGTTACTTGCAGATTTACTGCTGTAGAGCTCCAAAATTGAGATTACACTTTTCAGATTCTGCGTACCCTAAGGCTAAGAGGTTGGGCTATTGAGTTTGGGTGGTCTCTTTGGTCCTGATTGCTACTTCCAAACCATTTCTGCTCTTTTCTGCTTCAAAAATATTTGAAGTTCATATCTTCTGGCTAAATCACTTTCTACTCTCCTTCCTGCCATCATCCACGAGCCTCCTGGTCACTTTCCAGAAATTATAGAGCTGCTTGCCGTAGGTTTTCCTCACCATCCCTCTTGTCTACATTCTATCTGAATTCAGCATGCTTGTAGGTGACCCATGCAACACCAACACTTGGCCTCTTAGACCTCTGACCTCTTCATCTCCAACAATTTGTTCCTCTCTTGCGTCTTAACCACTTCGGTATCAGTCAGATTCTGAACCTTGTCATCAGTTGAAATCTCAGTTTCAAGCTTCCCAATTGTCAATCACTAGCCTTTTTTTCCCAGCTAATTTATGGTACTCTCACTTACCTAATTAAGACCTCCACGCTATTAACCCCAACACTTAAAAAAACTCAACTCTTCTGCTTCTGCCATCATGTAATAATTTTGCAACTCACCTGACTTAAATTCCCTGATCAGTCCTTTTCATCACTCTTTTACAAACATTTTCAACTCTCTGATCTCAATGTCTCCTTTTTTGCTTGAAAGAATCTCAGCCTTGCTTGGACTAAACCATGCTCCAGCTGAACTTTCTCATTGCTTACATCCAAACAGCAAAAGCTGCTGGAGAAAAGTCAGTCATATAACAAGCTAACTGGTTTTAATTCATGACCTCAGTCCTCTCAGGAGCACTCAACACTGGCTGGCAATGCTATTCCAGTCTCTGGGTTAACCATTCATACGTTCACATCTCCTCAAATTTCACATCCTTTTTCCCTACCTCTCATTTTTAGCTGGTGACCTTGCCTCAACTTCAAAAAATAAAAACCACCTATGAGGAATGCTTCAACGTCAGACTTTCCAATTTGCATTCATTTTCTCTTGCATTTTTCTTTTCAGTGAAAGATGTGTCCTGTCAGAAGGAAATTCCACCACTTGTACTCTGGCTCTCACCCTTCTCAAGGAATTGACTCTTTCCATCATCTCCTTAATACTTGTTTCAACATAAAAGATAATTTTTAAAATATTTGATCAATGTGACACAAAAAACACAAAGGCTGAGCACTGTGGCTCACGCCTGTAATCCCAACACTTTGGGAGGCTGAGACAGGCGGATCCCTTGAGCTTAGGAGTTCAAGACTAGCCTGGGCAAAACAGTAAAACCCCCTCTCTACAAAAAAATACAAAATTTAGCCATGGTGCCCACCTGTAGTTCTAGCTACTAGGGAGACTGAGGTGGGAGGATCACTTGAGCCTGGGAGGTTGAGGCTGCAGTGAGCCATAATCCTGTCACTGCATTCCAGCCTGGGTGACAGAGTGAGACCCTGTCTCTAAAATCAATATGTGTAAGATGTAGATTGGTCCCTTCCAGAAAGGCGGGACAACTATTAATAAAAGTGGGGGTTGGGGGGCTCGGGGTGTTCCAGGTCATTGGTAGATAAAAGTAATTTTAATTCAGAAAATTTCACAGGGAAATGAGAGTTTTTAGAAGTCTTAATATTCTGACTGTGGTCAGAATGTCCAACAGAGACTAGGCTGGAGTGCAGTGACGTAGTCTCGGCTCACTGCAACCTCCGCCTCCCAGGTTCAAGCAATTCTCCTTGCCCCAGCCTCCAGAGTAGCTGGGACTACAGGCGCCTGCTAATACACTCATCTAATTTGTTTGTATTTTAGTAGAGACTGGGTTTCACCATGTTGACCAGGCTGGTCTTGAACTCCTGACCTCAGGTGATCCACCCGCCTCAGCCTCCCAAAGTTCTGGGATTACAGGCATGAGCCACTGTGCCTGGTGGATGCAAATTTTTTTTTTTTTTTTTTTGGAAATGGAGTCTCCCTCTGTTGCCGAGCCTGGAGTGCAGTAGCACAATCTCAGCCCACTGTAACCTCTGCCTCCCAGGTTCAAGCAATTCTTCTGCCTCAGCCTCCCAAGTAGCTGGGATTACAGGCGCCTGCTGCCACGCCCAGCTAATTTTTTTGTAATATAGTAGAGACAAGAGTTTCACCATGTTGACCAGGCTGGTCTCAAACTCCTGACCTCAGGCAATCCACCCGCCTCAGCCTCCCAAATTGCTGGGATTACAGGCATGAGCCACTGCGTCTGGCCTGATGCAATTTTTTTTTTTTTTAAATCAGAAAACTTTCCCATAACTTAAAAAAAAATCATCTGGAGGTGGGCCCGGTGGCTCACGCCTGTAATCCCAGCACTTTGGGAGGCTGAGGCAGGCAGATCACCTGAGGTCGGGAATTTGAGACCATGTGGAGAAACCCCGTCTCTACTAAAAATACAAAATTAGCCTGGCGTGGTGGCGCATGCCTGTAATCCAAGCTACACGGGAGGCTGAGGCAGGAGAATCACTTGAACCCGGGAGGCGGAGGTTGTGGTGAACCGAGATCGTGCAATTGCATTCCAGCCTGGGCAACACGAGCGAAACTCCATCTCAAAACAAACAAACAAACAAAAATCACCTGGATAACTGCCTCCATTCTTTTTTTGAAGTTCTTAATATTATTAACATACAGCTGGCTTTGTTTTTCATTATCCCATTTTGCGGAGGATTGGTTGTGAATTTAAGGGTGTCACCTCAAACAGGAGGGTAAGTTGCACTTTAAGTGATGTAAAATAGTAAGAAGCTAAAAACCTTAAAAAATGTTTAGTTCTCGGCCGGGCGTCGTGGCTCATGCCTGTAATTCCAGCACTTTGGGAGGCTGGGGTGGGCGGATCACTTGAAGTCATGAGTTCGAGCTCAGCCTGGCCAAGAAATTAAAAAATTAGCTGGGCCTTGTGGTGGGCGCCTGTAATCTCAGCTACTAGGGAGGCTGAGGTAGGAGAATCGCTTGAACCCGGGAGGCAGAGGTTGCAGTGAGCCGAGATCGTGCCACTGCACTCCAGCCTGGGCGACCGATCAAGACTCCATCTTAAAAAAAAATAATAAGAGGGGCCAGGAGCGGTGGCTCACACCGGTAATCCCAGCACTTGGGGAGGCCAAGGCGGGCAGATCACATCAGGAGTTCGAGACCAGCCTGACCAACATGGTGGAAGCCCCTCTCTACTGAAAATACAAAAGTTAGCCGTGCCTGGTGGCATGCGCCTGTAATCCCAGCTACTTGGGAGGCTGAGGTGGGAGAATCCCTTGAACCCGGGAGGCGGAGGTTGCAGTGAGCTGAGATGGCACCATTGCACTCCAGCCTGGGCAACAGAACGAGACTCGGTCTCTCAAAAAAAAAAAAAGTTTAGCTCCCTTAAGCCATTTCTGATAATTTATTCTAAAGATAAAATCAAATGTGGAATTCATTTATAAAGGTATTTATTGCTTCATTTATAATGGTGAAAAAAATAAAAAATCTCTATCTCCAATAGTAAGGAATTGGTTGTTTATGATATATCCATATGACAAAATAATGCACAGTAGTAAAAAATCATGTTTTGACATTTAAGAATATGAGGCTGGCTTGGTGGCTGTCACCTATAATCCCAGTACTTTGGAAGGCTGAGGTGGGAGGATCCCTTGAGCTCAGGAGTTTGAGACCAGCCTGGGCAACATAGGGAGACCCCAGTCTCTACTAAAAATAACCAAAAATTAGGTGGGGCCGGGCACGGTGGCTCACGTCTGTAATCCCAGCACTTTGGGAGGCCGAGGCGGGCGGATCACCCAAGGTCAGGGGTTCAAGACCAGCCTGGCCAACGTGGCGAAACCCTGTCTCTACTAAAAATACAGTAATTATCCAGGTGTGGTGGTGGGCACCTGTAATCCCCAGCTACTTGGGAGGCTGAGGCAGAAGAATCACCTGAACCTGGGAGGCGGAGGTTGCAGTGAGCCAAGATCTCGCCATTGCACTCCAGCCTGGGCAAGAGCGGAACTCAGTCTCAAAAAAAAAGAAAAAAAAAAAATTAGCTGGCATGCTGGTGTGCTCCTGTACTCCCAGCTATTGGGGAGGCAAAAAAAAAAAAAAAAAAAAGAAAAGAAAAGAAAAAAAATAATATACATCAAAGTGGAGTACTTTCTCTTGGATAGTGAGGCACAGGTGATTCTTATTTTCTTTTTATTTATATGTCTGTATTTCCCTAGATTTCCACAATGAACACATATGATTTTAAAACCATATTTTTCTTTTTAAGTGAGAGTGCTAAGTTGGAGAACCATTTGGCTTATCAGAATTCAGGTCTGCATTTCAATTCTGCGTGTCCAAAAGCTCAATTTTATTAGTTCGTCCAGAATACATCGCTCTGTAAACCAAGAGAATCGGAGACAGGTCTCAATCAATTTAGAAAGTTTATTTTGCCAAGGTTAAGGACACACCCATGACACAGCCTCAGGAGGTCCTGACGACATGTGCCCAAGGTTGTGTGGCACAGCTTGGTTTTATACATTTTAGGGAGACATGAGACATCAATCAATATGTTTAAGATGTACAATGGTCCCATCCAGAAAGGCGGGACAGCTATTAATACAAGTGGGGGTTGGGGGGCTCCGGGGTGTTCCAGGTCATAGGTAGATAAAAGACCAATGGTTGCATTCTTTTGAGTTGCTGATTAGCCTTTCACTGAATACACTATTTACAGGAATAGTCACTTATGTTAGTCTGGCTTAGGGAAACAAAAGGGCAATCAGATATGCATTTATCTCATATGAGCAGAGGGATGACTTTTTAAATCTCTATCTGTCCTTTGTCCACAAGGAATTTCTTTGTGGTCAAATTGTGAGGGAGGTATATATAGCTTTTTTATCTTAGTAGCTATCTTTTTTTTTAGGAGTAGAATGGGAGGCAGGTTTGCCCTAAGCAGTTCCCAGCTTGACTTTCCCTTTGGCTTAGTCATTTTTGGGGTCCTGATGTTAGAGGGGTTTGAATCACAGCACCTCCATGTTGAAAAAAGGGTGGGTAAGGCCGTGCACGGTGGCCCATGCCTGTAATCCCAGCACTTTGGGAGGCCAAGGTGGGTGGATCACCTGAGGTCGGGAGTTTGAGACCAGCCTGATCAACATGGAGAAACCCTGTCTCTACTAAAAATACAAAATTAGCTGGGCGTGGTGGCACATGCCTGTAATCCCAGCTACTCAGGAGGCTGAGGCAGAAGAATCGCTTGAACCCGGGAGGCGGAGGTTGTAGTGAGCCAAGATCGCGCCATTGCAGTCCAGCCTGGACAACGAGCAAAACTCCGTCTCAAAAAAAAAAAAAAAAAAAAAAGAAAAGACCTACTGGGCTGCATTCCCAGACAGTTAAGGCATTTTAAGTCACAAGACGAGATAGGAGGTCGGCAGAAGATACAGGTCATAGGCCGGGCACGGTGGCTCACGCCTGTAATCCCAGCACTTTGGGAGGCCAAGGCAGGTGGATCACGAGGTCAGGAGTTCGAGACCAGCCTGACCAACATGGTGAAACCCTGTCTCTACTAAAAATACAAAAATTAGCTGGGCGTGGTGGCGCGTGCCTGTAGTCCCAGCTACTCAGGAGGCTGAGGCAGAAGAATTGCTTGAACCTGGGAGGTGGAGGTTGCAGTGAGCTGAGATTGCACCACTGCACTCCAGCCTGGGCGAGAGTGAGACTCTGTCTCAAAAAAAAAAAAAAAAAAAAAAAAAAAGACACAGGTCATAAAGACCTTGCTGGTGAAACAGGTTGCAGTAGCCTGCCAAAACCCACCAAAACCAAGATGGCGATGAGAGTGACCTCTGGTTGTCCTCACTGCTACACTCCCACCAGCACCATGACAGTTTACAAATGCCATGGCAATGTCAGGAGGTTACCCTATATGGTCTAAAAAGGGGAGGCATGAATAATCCACCCCTTGTTTAGCATATAATGAAGAAATAACCACAAAAATGGGCAATCAGCAGCCCTCTGGGCTGCTCTGCCTATGGAGTAGCCATTCTTTATTCCTTTACCTAATAAACTTGCTTTCATTTTATGGACTCGCCTTGAATTCTTTCTTGTGTGAGGTTCAAGAACCCTCTCTTGTGGTCTGGATTGGGACCCCAGTAACACCGAGATTTTTCTTTCACAGGACTTAAGTAACTAAAATACTCTCAGAAAAGAAAGCAAGGCTATTAAACAGGTGAAATAAATGCTCAGAGCATTCTATAGTAGTGGATAAGTCCTCTTGCAAGAATACATGAATAGACATTTCTTAGTGAAATAGAACAAATCCACAGAGCTGTCTTTTCTAGACAGGTCCATGTTTCAGTTCAAATCCTGACACTTCATAGCTCTTGATAGCTCTTTGTTTCCACCTTTCCTATAAAACTCTTTCCGTATATCATCCCTATATCATGAGTATAGAAGATTAAGTTAAAAAGTGTTGGATTTGCAGTCATTTCAAAGTTATAGAAAGTCATCAGATGGAGCATTCTAAAAAACTACAGATGTCCAGCCTTGGGAAAGAATCTGGGACCTGGGAAGTGACAGTTTTAGAGCCATAACAGTATTAATAATGACATGTATAACAGCTTCAAAAACATTTTGATGTATTTTATCTTATTTGATCCTTTTAACCTGTGGGGTAAGTAGGACGTCTAGTCTTGCCTTGCTTTATAGGCCGGAGGTCCTCAAACTTTAGCTTGCATCAAAACGGCTGGAAGGTTTGTTGCTGTGCCCCACACCCAATTTTCTGAGACTGTAGGTCTGAGGTGAGGCCTGAAAATTTGCATTTCTAACTTATTCCCAGGATGGTGGTCCAGGAACAGTTCTTGGCCATTTTTTAGTCTTTGTGAAGCTGGCTGGATTGTCTTAGTCATGAATTATAGTTCTGCATTGCCCTCAGAATAAAATCTAAATTAGTTGGAATGGCACACTGATCCTGTATGCTGACGCCTATTTACCTCTCCAGCCATTCTGCAGAACTAGTAGTTCTTGACGGAAGCTGTATTCGTTTGCCAGGGCTACCATAATAAAAGTAAACAGATATTTATTTTCTCAGAGATCTTGAGGCTAGAAGTCTAAGATCAAGAGGCCAGCAGGGTTGGCTTCTTCCTAGACCTTGGCTTGTAGATGGCTACTCTCTTGCTGTATCCTCACATGGCCTTTCCCCTGTGTGCACACATCCTTGGTGTCTGTGTGTCCAAATTTCCTCTTATAAATATGACACCAGTCAGACTGGATTAGGGCCCACCCTAATGGCCTCATTTTTACTTAATAATGTCTTTTTTTTTTTTTTTTTAAAAGAGAGTCTTGCTCTGTCACCTAGGCTAGAGTGCAGTGGTGCGATCTCGGCTCACTGCAACCTCTGCCTCCCGGGTTCAAGCAATTCTCCTGCCTCAGCCTCCCGAGTAGCTGGAATTATAGGCACCCGCCACCGCGCCCAGCTAATTTTTCTATTTCCAGTAGAGACAGGGTTTCACCATGTTGGCAAGGCTGGTCTCCAACTCCTGATCTTGTGATCCACCTGCCTTGGCCTCCCAAAGTGCTGGGATTACAGGCGTGAGCCACTGCACCTAGCGTACTTAATCAGGTCTTACGATCATTCTGAGGTACTAGGAGTGAGGGCTTCAACATATGAATGTTGGGGAGATGAAATTCAGCCCATAAACTGGGTGTGGTGGCTCACGCCTGTAATCCCAGCACTTTGGGAGGCTGACGCAGGTGGATCATGAGGTCAGGAGTTCAAGACCAGCCTGGCCAACATGGTGAAACCTTGTCTCTACTAAAGATAACAAACAAACAAACAAAAAAATAGCTGGGTGTAGTGGGGTGCACTTGTAATCCCAGCTACTTGGGAGGCTGAATCGTTTGAACCTGGGAGGCGGAGGTTGCCACTGCATTCCAGCTTGGGCGACAGGGTGAGACTCCATCTCAAAAAAAAAAAAAAAAAAAAAATTCAGCCCATAACAGAAGCCATTTCTTCCCTCTGGCATCATTTGCATATACTGCATATATCGTAGCTTGGACCAATCATGTTAACTCATTTGGACAAAACCATATTTTTGTGATGTAGATGGAGAGGTTGTATCACCTTGTTATAGCCTCATACAACCCAATGTGGAGTTACTGTCCACTGTTTTAGCACCCCCATACCACTCTGTTCATGTTACTTTCATGGTTCTTACCAAGTAACATGAACTTACCCCAACACATTATGGCGTTTGGTGGCTTAACATATCTGTCTCCTGATGCTCAAAAAAACCCATTTTTACTCAGTGTATCCTCATCCTTAGTACTTAGCACAGTATCAGGCTCATCAGAGTTGACAGTCCATAAATACCCGTTGAAATGGATGATCTAATTTTAATCCAAACAGGAGAGGGAAGAACAAACCACACCATGTGCAAATATAATTTCCAGGTATACTGCTACATTAGGTTGAATCAAAAGAAATTAGTGTTTGGTATTTTCAAAATACTAAGCAGAAAACCTCAGGAATTTTACAAAACATATCATCAAAATCTAAAACTATTAATTTCTCATAGTCTTGCTATTCATTTTCTGTTCAACAAATATTTGACACTTACGTGTAGGGCACTATTTAGTACTAAGAGTCCTGGAGCTTGCAAATGTGAACGAGCAAGCTTTGCTTCCTGCTATTAAAGAGATTAATAGTCAAAAGTGGTGACTAGTCATCACTCGCATAATCGGTGAAAACATAAAAGGCGCCCAGTCCAACAGCTTTTCCCACATTCCTCCCCGCCACCCACCTCCAGAAGGAGTCTTGCTTGGTCACCCAGGCTCACTGCAACCTCCGCCTCCCGGGTTCAATCAATTCTTCTGCCTCAGCCTCCGGAGTAGCTGGGATTACAGGTGCACCCCACCATGCCCAGCTAATTTTTGTATTTTCAGTAGAAATGGGGTTTCACCATGTTGGTCAGGCTGGTCTTGAACTCCTGACCTCGTGATCCACCCACTTTGGCCTTCCAAAGTGCTAGGATTACAGGTGTAAGCCACTGAGCCTGGCAGTCACACATTCTTTCAACTGTTTGTTTCCACCTTTATTATAAAGTATTTATAAAGAGGGATCCAGAGTCCCTCACCTGGTTCAGAATCTTGGGTGACCCTTGGCAGGTCACTAACCCTGTGAGCCACAGCCACATTTGTAAAAGTGGGATAATAGTCACACATTGTGAGGTTGTTCACAGTGTTGGCACATGGTAAGGGCTAAGACACTTGATTAGCATAATATTCAAAATTAGAAATTGTACACTATTGTACTCTCTTTCAAAAGGCAAACAGCCTAAAACTGTTTGGAAAAAACAGCTTGTACAGTATATTGTACACTTCCTGTGATAGACTAGTGGACTGATACACCCACTAATGCACAGCAGTAATAGTCCACCTCTTTACACATTATGCATGTTAAGTGACAAAAAAACTCACTTTAAAAGGCCAAATGATAAAAACATCAGCCTTGAGGCTCTTCGATATAGAGTAAATCATATCTTCCTGCAAACCAAGGATTAGTATCATAATACCTGAAAGAGGAAAACTTAATTCTAACATTCAAGAAAATTGGCGGCAGGAATACACCTCGGCTTCTAGTAGTCGGTAGTTTAAAATACAGGAGGAAAAAAAAAAAGTTTGACCCCGACGTGATTCGAACACGCAGCCTTCTGATCTGGAGTCAGACGCGCTACCGTTGCGCCACGAGGTCCTGCTGGGCTGTGGCTCGCGCAGTTTCTTAGGACACCAGTAAATGGCGTTTCTTCCAGGGGTACCAGTCTTTCTCTTCCATTTACTCTCTGCCCCTCCACCCAGTATCTGTCGGACCAGGAGACCGATTCCTTCAGCGTCCAAACTTTCCTGACTGCTAGTCCTCTAACCAAGGCTGGGACGTAACCAGCGGAAGCGGGAGAACGGGGCTTCCCGTTTAGTCGGGTCTCCAGGATCAAAGGAAATTGGCCCTTCCTTTTCTTTACCAAATGATTTCCGTTCTTACCCGCCCTGCCCCCGCCCCGTTAGTCGCGAGACTCCGCCCTCTCTCCCCTCCCCCAACAGGTTCCGCGCGCTGAGTTCGCGACCTCGAGTTGTAATCTGGCGGGGCGCCACTAAGCCGGCGCAGGCCTTCGCAAGATGGCGGCTGGAGGCAAGGGCAGAGGCCTTCAGAGCGTTTTCTTTTTCCCTTTCCTCCCTTCCTGCAAACAATGTAAGGCATTTTCTCTCAGGGGAGGCTTTCACTTCATGGTGGGCATTAAGGTTAAAAGTCACCATTTTGAAGACAGGGTTGTGCACTTAAGGGAGCTGGTTTAGCATATTATGTTTAACAGCAGTGTCCTGTCATTGAATGATACAGAAAATAATAACTGTCGCCAAAAAAGTGCAGCTACACACCTCCCCGTCGGGGAATTGAACCCCGGTCTCCCGCGTGACAGGCGGGGATACTAACCACTATACTAACGAGGAGTCGTTAGGCTGTGTATTTTCTCAGACAGCCCTTCAAGGAGCAGTAAGATCCTTCCAGCGCTCCGTAACCTTCCGCCTGCCCCCGGGAAGTACGAAAGTCCGGTCTCTTGGAGCCGCTGCTTAGGCTTATTGTCCTCTCTGGGCGCTTTGTATTCTTGATGTTGGTGGGAAGAATAAAAGGTGTGGAATATGTGAAGGAAACGCGCTTCCCATGTTAGTGCTAGAGAAGTGTGTGAAAATAGTTTTTCCGAGGCTCTTGACGCGTTCTAAATGATTTAGGTTGCCGTCCTGAGTTTTTTTTTTTTAACTGACCACTGGTATGTGACTTGCGGCTGAGCCTTCCCCTTACAAATTTATACTTTCACTCTGAAGTTCAAGTTCAAGGATAGCATATGGCTGCCAGATGTCGGGGACAGTTAGGGTTGCCACGGTCTCGTGCCTCTTCAAACAATTCATAAGTCTTTTTTTTTTGAGAGGAAGTCTCGCTCTGTCCCCTAGGCTGGAGTGCAGTGTTGCGATCTGGGCTCACTACAACCTCCACCTCCAAGGCTCAAGTGATTCTCCCGCCTCAGCCTCTCGAGTGGCTGGGATTACAGGCGCGCACCACCATGCCTGGCTAATTTTTGTATTTTACTAGAGACGCGGGGTGTGTGTGTGTGTGTGGGGGGGGGGAGGGTTCACCATGTTGGCCAGACTGGTCTCGAACTCGTGACCTTTAGTGATCCACCTGCCTCGGCCTCCCAAAGTGCTGGGATTTACAGGCGTGAGCCACCGCGCCCGGCCAATTCACACACTTTTGTAACACAAAAGCGCCCAATGAAATGACCAGCTGCGGGCAAATGAAATTTTATCAAAATTTTATCAGCCGACTTCTGTTTCGCTCTCTGTAGGTGGCTACAGTTTAACTGGAAGTGACAAACGTAAGTATGTGAATGGCTAAATAATAATGCGTTTAAATAATTCAAAACCAGGATGTGCCACTGATTAAACATATGGGTTAGGAAAGTGCACTAATCGGATAATTTGATAATTTGTGTCATCCTAAACCCGTTCATAGACAGGATGAACCCTCTTCCCAGGGATACTAAGAGAGCCTTATATGTAAACTTTTTTTTTTGAGACGGAGTTTCACTCTTGTTGCCCAGGCTGGAGTGCAGTGGTGCGATCTTGGCTCACTACCACCTCCGTCCCCCGGGTTCAAGCGATTCTCCTGTCTCAGCCTCCCGAGTAGCTGGGATTACAGGTGCCCACAAACACGCCCGTTCAATTTGTGTTTCTAGTAGAGATGGTAATTCACCACGTTGGTCAGGCTGGTCTCGAACTCCTGACCTAAGGTGATCCACCCACCTCGGCCTCCCAAAGTGCTGGGATTACAGGCGTGAGCCACCGCGCCTGGCTATAAACTTTTGATTTTCTCTAAAGGAGTGTGTTTATAGGCACAGATAAACTGACATGATTGAAAGCGTTTCATTATAGAACTTAAACTTACGTGTCTCGTCTCCGACCCAACCAATCAGGACTCCCAACTCACTGACCCCTACCCAACAAATTATCCTTAAAGATAATAAAAATAACAACAACAACAACAACAACAACAAAAACCCCACATATGTGTCTTAAGGAATCCCTTGTTTCTAGTGTGCTACGAATTAATGTATTATCCATCATAAATTATAAGGTATTTTTCATCTGATGGAAGGGATAATTTTTTTAATGCAGATATTAAACAAATGGCAGTTTCTGAGGCTTGTTTTGGCTTTTCTTTCTTTTTTGCTCTCATTATTATTATTATTATTTGAGACGGAGTCTTGCTCTGTCGCCCAGGCAGGAGTGCAGTGGCACGCTCTCGGCTCACTGCAACCTCCGCCTTCTGGGTTCGGGCGATTCCTCTGCCTTAGCCTCCCGAGTAGCTGGAACTACAGGCGCACGCCACCACTCCCTTTTGTATTTTTAGTAGAGTCGGGGGTTTCACCATGTTAGTCAGGCTGGTCTCAAACTCCTGACCTCAAGTGATCCACCCGCCTCGGCCTCAAGCGGCCGCGCTCAGCCCTTTTTCACTCTCTCTCTCTTTTCTTTTTTTGAGACGCAGTTTTGCTCTTGTTGCCCAGGTTGGAGTGCAATGGCACAATCTTGGCTCACTGCAACGTCTGCCTCCCGAGTTCAAGCGATTCTCCTGCCTCAGTCTCCCAAGTAGCTGGATTACAGGCATGTGCCACCACAGCCAGCTAATTTTGTATTTCTAGTAGAGACAGTTTCACCATGTTGGTCAGGCTGATCTAGAACTCCTGACCTCAGGTGATTCACCCGCCTCGGCCTCCCAAAGTGCTGGGATTACAGGCGTGAGCCACCGCGCCCGGCCCCTGTTTCACTCTTAACTACACCGAAAGCCTCAATACAAACTCTCAGTGTGTGGGAGCCTCCTTCCACTTTGATCCTCCAAAAACTTTTGCCAGGGCCAAAGGGCACTGTGATAGCTATGATGACGTCCTTTTCCTAGTAAAATCGAAGGGACTTCCCCAAGTCTCTCAGTTCGTAGAGCTATGGGGCAGTGAACCCAGTTCTCCTGAATCAACTGTTTGCCCCGTGTTCTGCACTCTCGGGAAAAGCAGCTTCATCTCTTCCTTTAGAAGAGACATCCTTTCCACTGAAGCTCTCGTAAAGCTATGCCAGTGCTCACACACGTGTTGTTACTGCTCCTTTTTCATCCCTGGTGAAAGTAAGAGGCAGTCTGAGTCAGTGAGATCAGGGAGCAGGGAACGCAGCACTTGCTGTCCATCATCCGAAAATGGAAAGGAAAAGAGAGGGCAATTAACCTGAACAGGGTGAGGGAGCTCAGAGGTTCCTCCCTGTCAGCACTGGGCAAAAATAAAGGTTAAAATCTGACTGGCAGTACAGAGGGCATGGAACTCTCTTCGGGAATAAATGGCATGATGACAATGAGTGTTATTCAAAGTTTCAAATCCTGCTCTTCCTAAAGAACTATGCTGCATATCTCAGCTTGCTAAATGATTCACATTCATTTTATTTTCTCAACAACCTGTTAGGTCAATGGGACAAGTGTTTTTATTCCTATTTGGGAATCTTCTGCAGGATCACACAGATAGGAGGTGGTGAAAGGCCAGGAATCACCCAAGCTCTGACTGCAAAAACCAGTTTTCACCCTACCTGCACAGTTCCATATACATGTATATTAACAAATAAGTACATGCTATGGAGAGAAAAACTTTATAACTAGTATCAACATATGTGTCACCCTTGTTCCTATATTAATATTTGCTAATCTTTAATTACTTGGCAGACACTGTAGTTATTCATTAACTTATTGAACCTGCAACGTGCCAGACATTCTTTTAGATGCATGGGGAGGTTCTCATAAATACATCTTGTTCTTCTAGATCTTTTATCCTACAGAAGAAATACAGATAATAAACAATGAATACGATAAATGGATACAAACATCATACATAAGTATGTCAGACAGTTATAAGAGCAGAAATAAAAATAGCAGAGTAAGGGGGTTTGGAGAGTAGCAAGTTAAATAGGTCAAGGTAAGCCTCATGAGAGGGAGTTTTGCTCTGTCACCCAGGCTGGAGGGCAGTGGTGAGAACTTGGCTCACTGCAACCTTGGCCTCCCGGGTTCAAGCGATCTTGTGCCACAGCCTCCTGAGTAGCTGTGCCACAGCCTCCTGAGTAGCTGTGCCACCACACCCGGCTAATTTTTGGTAGAGATGGGGTTTCACCATGTTGGCCAGGCTAGTATCGAACTCCTGGCCTCAAGTAATCTACCCACCTCGGTCTCTCAAAGTGCTGGGATTACAGGCATGAGCCACCGCGCCTGGCCAAAGGTATAATTTGAACATAGTTGAAGGAAGTAAGAGATGTAGTCATGCAGCTGTCTGGGAGGCCTGAGGGCCTTAGAGGTCATTGGAAAGACTTTGGCTTTTATAATTAGGGAAACGGGGACCCACTTCAGGGTTGTTGGATTTTTTTAACATTAAGAAAATTGATACATAGTAATTATACATATTTATGGAGTGCATGTGATATTTTAATACATGCATACAATGTGTAATGATTAAATCAGGACATTCAGCATATCCGTCACCTGCAACATTTATTATTTCTTTGTGCTGGGAATATTTCAAATCCTCTCTTATAGCTATTTTGAAATATACAATAAAGTATTGTTAACTGTAGTCACCCTACTGTGCTATTCAACACTAGAATTTATTCTTTTCTTTTTTTTTTTTTTTGAGACAGAGTCTCGCTCTGTTGCCCAGGCTGCAGTGCAGTGGCTTGATCTTGGCTCATTGCAATCTCCGCTTCCCGGATTCAAGCCTCAGCCCCCACTAGTACCTGGGATTACAGGCACGCACCACCACACTTGGCTAATTTTTGTATTTTTAGTAGAGACGGTGTTTCACCATGTTGGCCAGACTGGTCTCTAACTCCTGACCTCAGGTGATCCACTCGCCTCCACCTCCCAAAGTACTGAGATTGTAGGCATGAGCCACCGTGCCTGACCTAGAATTTATTCTTGCTATCAGATTGTATGTTTATACCCATTAACTAACCTGTCTTCATCTCCTTCACCTTGCCCTTTCCTAGCCTCTGGTAAGTATCATTCCTCTCTAACTTCCTGAGAACTGCAGGGTTTTGAACAGAGTAGTGATATGGTCAGATTTATGTTTTAAAGGGTCTTTGGCTGGGCAACATAGCAAGACCCCATCTCTACTAAAAATTAAAAAAAATTAACTGGGTGTTGTGGCTCACACCTGTAGTCACAGCTACTTGGGGAGCTGAGGTGGGAGGATCACTCGAGCTCAGGAGTTCGAGGCTGCAGTGAGCTATGATCATAGCTCTGCACTTAAGCCTGGGCAACAGAGTGAGACTGTCTCAAGAAAAAAAAAGGATCTTTGGCTACTGGATTGAGAGTAGTTTGTAGGAGGGCAAGAGCAGAAACAAGAACTATGAAGTCTATTGCAATAATCCATATGGGAGATGTTGGTGGGTGGTTCAGGCTACAGTGAAAGTGATGGAGAAGGTGAGAGGCGCTGATGTACTTTGTTTATTTTTTTGAGACAGGATCTCACTCTGTCACCCTGGCTGGAGTGTAGTGGCGCAATCAGGGCTCACTGCAGCCTCAACTTCCTGGGCTCAAGAGATCCTCCCACCTCAGCCTCCTGAGTAACTGAGACCACAGGTGCATGCCACCACGCCCAGCTAATTTTTGTGTTTTTTGTAGACTGTTTCATAATGTTGCCCAGGCTGGTCTCGAACTTCTGGGCTCAAGGGGTCCTCCTACCTTGGCCTCCCAAAGTGCTAGAATTACAGGCCTGAGCCACTGTGCCTGGCCCCAAGTGCTATGTATTTTGAAGGTTGAGTCAATAGAATTTCTTGGTAGAGTAAATGTGAGATATGAGTTAAAAAGAGGAGTCAAGGATGCCTCCAGAATTTTTGGCCTGAGCAACTGGAAGGATGGAGTTGCCATCACTGAGGTTGAGAAGAGTAATGCACAACTCCAGAGGGCACCATTCATATTGGCAGTCATGTGAAGGGCATAACTGGGAAGAAGTTGTTAAAATAAAAACTTCAGCTGAATTAAATGTAAAGGAATTTGGCCAGGAGCAGTGGCTCACGCCTGTAATTCCAGCACTTTGGGAGGCCGAGGTGGGAGGATCACCTGAGGTCAGGAGTTTGAGACCAGTCTGGCCAACATGGTGAAACCCCGTCTCTACTAAAAATACAAAAATTAGCCGGGCATGGTGGCGCGTGCCGGTAATCCCAGCTACTTGGGAGGCCGAGGCAGGAGAATCGCTTGAACCCGAGAGGTGGAGGTTTCAGTGAGCAGAGATCAAGCCACTGCACTCCAGCCTGGGCGACAGAGCAAGACTCCATCTTAATAAATAAATAAATAAATGTAAAGTAGTTTATCTGAGCAATAAACTATTCGCGAATCGGGCAGCCCCCAGAATCACAGCAAATTCAGAGAGACTCCAGGGATGCCTGGTAGTCAGAACAAATTACAGGCAAAAAAAGGGAAGTGAGGTACAGAAATCGGAAGTGAAGTACAGAAACAGCTGGATTGGTTACAGGTTGGCGTTTGCCTTATTTAAACACAGTTTGAACACTCAGCAGTGTATGAGTGGTTGAAGTATGGCTGCTGTGATTGGCCAAGACTCAGCTATTGTTAGAGTCGTATACTTCTAAATTAGGTTTTCAATCTTGTCTACCCATTAAGTTAGCTTATGGTTGTCCATAAGGACTCAAATATGGAAGTACGGAGTCCTTCTCTGGCCATATTTAGTTCACTTTAACAGAGGCAAGATGCCATCCATAGACTGTGCTGTGGATGGCACTCCTTGGAATTGTGCACTATGGCAGCCCTGCATGTGGAGTAATGACCCTGGTGGGAGCAGGGGGATGATCAACATTTCAGTTTTGGACATGTTAAGGTTGAGACATGAAGTAGTCAGTTGAATATAATGGTTGAACACTCATTGTGTAGGTAAAACACAGTACTAGGTTCTGGAGATACAGTGATGAACAAAGACCCTGGTCTCAAGGAGCTTTTATTTCAGTGGAGGAGACACATAACACTAGTAAAAGAATAACAAAAATAAAAAAGTAAAATTACAGGCCGTGTGCAGTGGCTCACACCTGTAATCCTAGCACTTTGGGAGGCCGAGGTAGGCGGATTGCCTGAACTTAGGAATCCGAGACCAGCCTGGGCAACACGGTGAAACCCCGTCTCTACCAAAATACAAAAAATTAGCGGGGCATGGTGGTGGGCACTCCCAGCTACTTGGGAGGCTGAGGCAGGAGAATTGCTTGAACCTGGGAGGGGGAGGTTGCCGTGAGCAGAGATCGTGCCACTGCATTCCAGCCTGGGCGTCAGAGCGAGACTACGTCTCCAAAACACACAAACCAAAAAAAGTAAAATTACAACTGTGACAGTTACTAAGATAATGGGGAAGAGCAAAGGAAAGAGCTTCTTAGGTAGATGGAACTGGATGTGCTAAGGTTGTAGGAACAGAGGAAATGTGGTGAGTAGAGGGTGTGAAAGAAGGCAGAAGTGACTAGAGAGGAGCAGAGGGTGAGCAGCATCATGGGGAGATGAGGCTGAAAAGGCTGATGGGAGTAGGACAATGCAGGGCCTTCCAGGCTGTGTTGAGAACTTTTGGGGGAGTGCCTCTTATTTCTGTCTGTCTGTCTGTCTGTCTGTCTGTCTCCACTTACTTATTTACTATTTTTAGGGTTTATTGAGGTATAATTTATGAGGGTAAAATTTACTCTTTTTAAGGGTACTAGTCTATGAATTTTGACCATAATTAAGATGTAGGCTGGGCACAGTGGCTCGAACATGCAATCCCAGCACTTTGGGAAGCTGAGGCAAGAGGATCATTTGAGTCCAGGAGTTCGAGACCAGCCTGGGCAATATGGTAAGACCCCCCTCATCTTTACAAAAAATACAAAAATTACCAGGTGTGGTGGCATGTGCCTGTGGTCTGGGCTACTCAAGAGGCTGAGGTGGGAGAATTGCTTAAGCCCGGGAGGCAAAGATTGCAGCGAGCTGAGATTGAGCCATTGCACTCTAGCCTAGGTGACAGAGCCAGACACTGTCTCCAAACAAACAAACAAACAAACAAACATACATTTATCCTAAGATCCAGCAACACTGCTCGTAGATATTGACCTGAGAGAAATGAAGACATATGTCCACAAAAAACCCTGCACACTTATGTTTATAATGGCTGTATTTATAATAGTCAAAAACTGGAAACTACCCAAATTTTGGAAATTTGAGTTTAATAGATTATGGGAAATTACAAGAACTTACTGTCCATAAACATTAAAATTGAAAGGTGAATGTTTTTGATTTGGGCCTGGAAGGCAAATTAGATGGATACATGTTTAAATTATTAAAGTGAGGGGTGGGGAAGATATTCGGGATGCTCATACTTCACTATTCCCCAGTCTTTATTTATTTATTTATTTATTTATTTATTATTTTTTGAGACAGAGTCTTACTCTGTTGCCCAAACTGGAGTGCACTGGCGCCGTATCGGCTCTGCATCCTCTACCTCCTGGGTTCAAGTGATTCTTCTGCCTCAGTCTCCTGAGTAGTTGGGATTACAGGTGTGCACCACCACGACCGGCTAAGTTTTTTGTATTTTTAGTAGAGACGGGGTTTCACCATGTTGGTCAGGCTGGTCTCAAACTCCTGACCTCAAATCATCTGCCTGCCTTGGCCTCCCAAAGTGCTGGGATTATAGGCATGAGCCACTGGGCCCAGCCTCTAATTTATTTAAATAATAATTTAAAGTTAAAACTGAGAGGAGGTGGGTGGACCTCGAGGTCAGGAATTCAAGACCAGGTTGGCCAATATGGTGAAACCCTGTCTCTACTAAAAATACAAAAATTATCTGGGCATGGTGGCATGTACTTGTAATCCCAGCTACTGGAGAATTGCTTGAACTGGGACCCTGGAGGCGTAGGTTACAGTAAGCCGAGATCACGCCACTGCACTCCAGCCTGGGCGACAGAGCGAGGCTCTGTCTCAAAAAAAAAGCAAAAAACAAAAAACTGAGAGGCAAAAGTCTGTCTCCCTTCAGCTCGACTAACACTTAGTCTTTTCTTTCCCTCCTTATTTAAAAAAATAAATCTTTATTGATTTATCTTTTGTGCCAAGCATGGAGATAGGCATTGGGCACAAAAAATTAGTAAGACTCACTTCTTGCCCTCAAGGAACTCAAATTTCTTGAGGGAGGTGGACTTTTAACTGATAGTTACAATACAATTTGGTAAGTGCTATGGTGGAGGCATAGCTCATGCTGATGGAGAGCCTGCTATGCCTTAGGCTTCAAGTGCCTTATATAATATTAACCATTGTCCAAGGACAAAGTTATAACAGATTTAAAGATCTTAATTGGCTTCCATTTGTGATTCTAAAATCAGGCAACATCTCATTCCATAAAATAGAATGAGTATTTCAATGAGCTGAACAGAAGAGTTTGGCTTTTATTTTATTTTTGAGACAGAGTTCCGCTCTTGGTGCCCAGGCTGGAGTGCAGTGGCACAACCTCAGCCCACTGCAACTTCTGCCTCCCAGGTTCAAGAGATTCTCCTGCCTGAGCCTCTTGAGTAGCTGGGATTACAGGTGCCCACCACCATGCCCAACTAATTTTTTGTAGTTTTAGTAGAGACGGGGTTTCACCATGTTGGCCAGGCTGGTCTCAAACTCCTGACCTCAGGTGATCCACCTGCTTTGGCCTCCCAAAATGCAGGGATTACAGGCATAAGCCACCTTGCCTGGCCAAGGTTGGCTTTATAGACAAAAAAGGGTTGAGCAAAGCAGAAACAGAAAACACAAAGTGGATTGGTGCTTTAAAGTTACTTTCCGTTTAAAGGTTAAAGCAGAGTGGACCTTCTTATCATTCCAGCGAAAACTGACCTGCTTGGGGATTTGACTATTATATCTCGCTGCTGATTTCTTTCTCTCTTTTTTTTCTCTCCTTTTTTTGAGACAGGGTCTTGCCCTGTCACCCAGGCTGGGGTGATCACAGCTCATTGCAATCCCTGCCTGAACCGGTCTTCTCACCTCAGCCTCTGGAGTAGCTGGGATCAGAGGCACGCGTCACTATGCCACTAATATTTTGTATTTTTTGTAGAGGGATGGTGGTGGTGTTGGGGGGTGGGGGCTCTCCATGTTGCCCAGGTTGGTCTTGAACTCCTGATCTCAAGCTCAGCACCTGCCTTGGCGTCCCAAAGTGCTGAGATTACAGGTGTGAGCCACCATGCTCCGCCCCCTCCTGATTTCTTGGAAGGTCAGATAAACAACTTATTTTCAGCTTAGTGGTGTGGAACTCCAGCATGAGTGACTCTATTTTGGTTTGTCTGTTGGGCCTAGTGTAGGAACTCAGTTCAAACCAATGACTTACTATACATTTTATTTAATACCATTTAATCCTTATTTAAATCCTATGAGTTTGCTATAATAATTTTCTCCTTTTTACAGTGAGGAAACTGAGGCACTGGAAGATGAAGGCTACAGAGGTAGAAAGTGATGGAGGTATGTGCAGAATACTACGGGATTACAGAGAGGGAAGGGCTGGAGTGGTCAAAGAAAGACCTATTTTTAGCTGGGCCACCAAAGAATGATGATGAACTTAGAAAAAGAATGGGGGAAATGTTTTCCAGCACTTAGGGAACAGAGAAACATTAATACAAAGGCTCAGAGCATGTGGCAATTTGGGAAAAGTGGCAATGCGGGAAAGAGTATATGGTGGAGGGGCTGCTGCTTAGGGGACTGGAGTGGCAGGGGGCAGGAAATGTCTTCACCTTTCATTATAATGCATGACTGGGGAGAATTAAACATCACAATCTTTGAGGAACTGACAGGAACCTTACCTATCTTCTTGATCCTTTCGTTATACAGATAAGGAAACTGAGGCCAGACAGCTCCAGTGATTTAACTAAATTCCTGTGGCCGAGAACATCACCTTTATCTGTTGCTGTAAATTAAGGAATCTGTGGGCTTAGTGATTAGGTGTCCCTCAGAGGTTTTCAGGGCCTCAGATCTTGCCATCACTTTCCTTAGAGTTATCTGTTCCTGGGCTGGCCTAAGCTTCCTGTCCTTTAAGGAACCTGCCTGCCAACATTGGCCCCAACCCAACAGGAGATCAGTGACCTCCGTTTTCCTGACTTTTTTCCTGCCCTACTGACCACCTGCTGACCTATCCCGGTTAATAGCTTTACTGATCTGTCTAGCTTTGAGGCAAACACTAGCCCCAGTGTGAGGAACAAAGGGTCCTGGTGACCCACACCCCCTGGCCCTTTGGCATTCAGTCCTCAGGCTACCCAGAAGGACAAATTATTCAGCCTGTTTGGGGTGGGATGGAACAGTTTCTACTTCTTTTCTTTGGATTTTTTTTTTTTTTTTGAGACCCGTCTCACTCTGTCACCCAGGCTGGAGTGCAGTGGTGTGACCTTGGCTCACTGCAACCTGCGCCTCCCAAGTTCAAGCAATTTTCATGCCTCAGCTGCCCGATTAGCTGGGACTACAGGTGCGGGCCACCATGCCTGGCTAATTTTTGTATTTTTAATAGGGATAGGGTTTCACCATGTTGACCAGGCTGGTCTCAAATTCCTGACCTTGTGATCCGCCTTGGACTTCCAAAGTGCTGGGATTACAGGTGTGAGCCACTGCGACAGGCCTTTTCTTTAGTCTTTCCGTGTTTTCTAAACACAAAGCAACAGAAAAACTTCTGCTTCAAATGCATGACTCAGGTCTGGCATTCAAGTTGCTGCTATTTTGGGAAAAAAGCTGCCTGTAGCTTTTGAAATTTCTTATTCTCCTACCTGTGATTAACTCATATGATTAGCAAAGTTTTATTATCAGAATTTATCAATAAAATGAAGTTAGTGATCTAGAAAATAAGAAGAGAACCAGCACAAAATAGCACGCAGAATCCCATTTTTTTTCTATGCATTTGTAAGTACTGGAAACGTCTGGTGGCTGGGTGCGGTGGCTCATGCCTGTAATCCCAGCACTTTGGGAGGCTGAGGCGGGAGGACCACTTGAGGTCAGGAGTTCGAGACCAGGCTGGCCAACAGAGTGAAACCCCGTCTCTACTAAAAATACAAAAATTAGCTGGGCGTGGTGGTGGGTGCCTATAATCCTAGCTACTCGGGAGGCTGAGGCAGGAGAATCACTTGAATCTGGGAGGCGGAGGTTGCAGTGAGCCTAGATCGCGCCATTATACTCCAGCATGGGGACAGAGTGAGACTCCGTCTCAAAAAAAAAAAAAAAAAAAAGGAAGAAAGAAAGAAGAAAACATCTGGAAAGAAGTAGCTGAAGATATTAAAAGTAGTTATATCTGGGTTAAGAGTGTGTTGATGATCGCTGTTCTTTTTGCTATTCCACCTTTTCTAAATTTTCTACTATGTGCATATATTGAACTCAGAAAAGCAAACAATAAAATTTTCTTTAAAGTTATTAATATTAGGCAAAGCAAATAGCTCAAATGTACATTTGTGATAGTCCTCTTAGCCTATGACATGTTGAGTAATGTATTCTAGTTTGGTTTTCCTTGTTAGCCAGATTTCATTATTTTGCAGCTTAAGTTGTTTATTTCTAGTTCCTTAAGGTGGGGAGGAGGTGAGGAGGTGAGGAGGGTGAAGAAGCAAATTCCACTTCAGTAAAACAGGGCGTGCAGCCTTTTCCCCTGAGTCCCTTTGTCTCAAGGCCCCTGTGTTCCGGGTCTTTTGTTGTTCTCTGCATGGACTTTGATTCGAGATTTAAAGAAAAACAAGTGCTGGCCCTCCTTGCGCCCTCTGGTGTCCCAGTGAGGTATAACCGGACAAACCGCACAAAGATCACAGCCATTTTCACACAGCGCTCCCCCGACACAGTGATGCCTGGAGACGGGAATGTCTGGAATCTTAGAGGAAGGAATCACACACCGACAAGCATGGCAGGCTTAGTCTTTGAAACTTAATCAGAGCCTGTAAGTATGGATACTGTTTTTTAAAAAATTAAAAGCAGTATCTGGACTGCAAGTATTTAAAAAACCTAATAGGAAATAAGTCAACTCTCAAAGCATTTGGCACAGCTTTCTGGGTTCTAAAACTAAGAAAATCTTACTACATATGTTGTTTTATAAATACAGCATAAACCAGTACTTTGTTATTTGTTTTAAAAATTTCTTTTAGAGACAGGGTCTTGCTCTGTCACCCAGGCGGGAGAGCAGTGGTGCAATCTTAGCTCACTGCAGCCTTGAATTCCTGGCCTCGGGTGATCCTCCATGCTTCCGCCTCCCAAAGGACTGGGTTTACAGGTGTGAGTCACTGTGCCTGGCCTAGAACTTTGGATTAATTGCAAATAAATTAGGTGAAAGAGAGGTCTGGATACCTAGGCTTTAGCTTGACTGAGGATAATGATTTCCGCAACTTTAAGCTTTACCATGTAGACCAAAAATAAAATTCTAAGCTCCCCAATCAGTTGAATGGATGCCTCCTTGTCCAGGGGCATTCCAAAGTTACCTGAAACGCTAGTTCATGTCATGATGGGAACAGGTGGTCAGACAAGCCTCATTATACTCTCCTCCCTTTGGGACAGAGTCCCTTTGGGATTCAGGCACATCTGACCAGCATTAACATAAGTCTGACAAAGAAGGCTTTTTGTAGCAGTAAGATACCAACATGACAGACAGCAGGCCCTGAAGTAAATTGAAGTAGTTTACCCCAAAAAATATATATATATTTTTGACACATTTTGAAATGGCCCTGCAAAGGTGTCTCTTGTGGGGAAAATCTACTTTCAGTAGAGAATCCCCTTCCCTTTCCAGATATTTTTCCTTAACCAGGAGAGAATTTACTGAGAGTCTTGCACCTTAAAAAGGTAAAAAATAAAATTTTTGGCTGGGCATGGTGACTCACGCCTATAATCCCAGCACTTTGGGAGGCCAAGGCAGGTGAATCACCTGAAGGTCAGGAGTTCGAGACCAGCCAGGCCAACATGGTGAAACCCCATCTCTGGCTAATACAAAAATTAGCCAGGCATGGGGTGGGGGTGTGGGCGCCTGTAATCCTAGCTACTTGGGAGGCTGAGGCAGGAGAATTACTTGAACCTGGGAGGTGGAGGTTGCAGTGAGCCGAGATCACACCATTGCACTCCAGCCTGGGCAACAAGAGCGAAACTTCGTCTCAAAAAATAAAATAAAATAAAATAAAATAAAAAAAATAAATAAAAATTAAAAGTTTTACAATCTGACCTGGTGCTGTGGCCCACTCCTGTAATCCCAGCACTTTGGGAAGCCGAGGCAGGTGGGTTGCTTGAGCCCAGGAGTTCGAGATAAGTCTGGGCAACACGGTGAAACCCTGTCTCTACTAAAAATACAAAAATTACCAGGACGTAGTGGCGCGCATCTGTAATCCCAGCTACTCCAGAGGCTGAGAGGTGCGAGGATGGCTTGAGCCTGGGAGGTTGAGGCTGCAGTTAGCTGAGATTGCACCACTGCACTCCAGCCTGGGTGATGGAGTGAGACCCAGAAATAATTACAATGTGTTCTTTCTGAAGCCTGCTACCTGGAGGCTTTATCTGCATAACAAGAACCTTGGTTTTCGCAACCCCTTATCTTAATTCAGGCACTCCCTTCTATAAATTTCAGGTCTTTAGATAAACTCTTTCAACTAACTCCCAATCAGAAAATCTTTGAATTCACTCATGATGTAGAAGCGCCCCATCCACCCTCACTGAACCAATGTACATCTTACATGTATTTTTTGATGTCTTCTGTCTCTCTAAAATGTGTAATAAAAAGCTGTAGTCCGACCACTTTGAGCACACGTTCTCAGGATTTCCTGGGGCTGTGTCACTGGCCATGGTCACTCATATTTGGCTCAGAATAAGTCTCTTCAAATATTTTACAGAGTTTGACTCTTTTCTTCATCGACAATCAATATGTGAGAGTTGATACTGAAGGTCCCTTTTGTCTATAATATACTTCATTCTATCGCATTTTTCACCAGACTGTTTTGTTTGGTTTTTATAGAGATGAGATCTCACTTTGTTGCCCAGCCTGGTCTCTTGGGCTTAGGAGATCCTCCCTCCTCAGCCTTCTAAAGTTCTGGGATTACATGTGCGAGCCCCCACCCTCAAACTGTGCCTTTTTTTTTTTTTTTTGAGCCCGAGTCTCACTCTGTCACCCAGGCTGGAGTATAGTGCCACGATCTCGGCTCACTGCAACCTCCACCTCCCGGGTTCAAGCATTTCTCCCTGCTTCAGCCTCCCGAGTAGCTGGGATTACAGGCGTCCGCCACCATGCCTGGCTGATTTTTTTTTTCTTTTTTTTTGTATTTTTAGTAGAGACAGGATTTCGCCATGTTGGCCAGACTGGTTTTGAACTCCAGACCTCAGGTGATCTGCCTGCCTCAGCCTTCCAAAGTGCTGGGATTGCAGGTGTGAGCCACTGCACCTGGCTAAACTGTGCTTTTTAAAATTGTATTTCCACTAAAAAAATGTAGATGTAAAATATTTTTGGTTTAAATACTTGATTGATAAGATCTCAGGCGTGGTGGCCCATGCCTGCAATCCCAGCACTTTGGGAGGCTGAGGCGGGTAGATCACCTGAGGTCAGGAGTTCGAGAGCAGCCTGGCCAACATGGTGAAACCCCATCTCTACTAAAAATACAAAATTAGCCTGGCATGGTGGCATGCGCCTGTAATCCCAGCTCGGGAGGCTGAGGCAGGAGAATTGCTTGAACCTGGGAGGTAGAGGTTGCAGTGAGCCGAGATCACACCATTGCACTCTAGCCTGGGCAACAAGAGTGAAACTCCATCTCAAAAAAAAACAACAACAAACAAACAAACAAAAAAACCTCAGGCATTACAGTTTTATTTGAATAGGCAATTCATGCACACAGAACAAAGTTCAAAAAGTACCAGATACCAGGAGGTATAAGGTATGGAGAGGAAAGTCTTTCTCCCATTTTTTCTTCTCTTTTCTTTCTTTTTTTTTTTTTTTTTGAGACAAGCTTCTTTCTGTCACCCAGGCTGGAGTGCAATGGCGTGATCCCAGCTTGTTGCAACCTCTGCCTCTCGGCTTCAAGCAGTTCTTCTGCCTCAGCCTCCAGAGTAGCTGGGATTATAGGCATGCCACCATGCCCGGGTAAGTTTTGTATTTTTTAGTAGAGACAGGGTTTCACTAGGTTGGCCAGACTGGTGTCGAACTCCTGGCCTCAAGTGATCTGCCTGCCTCGGCCTCCCAAAGTGCTGGAATTATAGGCATGAAACACATGCCCAACTTCTCTCCCATTTCTAACTCACAACAATTCTCTTGAGTGATGTTGGGGTTGGTCTGGCAGCTCAACAAGGCCATCATAGGCTTTGAGTACTCTCTTCTTGTTCTGGGTCTTTCTTCTCTGCTACCTTTAGCAAAAGGACATTTCTTTTCATGATTGTCACTTCATGTCTGCAAAGTAGCTGCTGCAGCCATCATGGCCAGTTTCAAGGCTGGAACATGAGGGAAGAGGCAGCTCCAGCACACTATACTTTTGAATGTCCCTTTTTACTGGGAGAAAGCCTTTCCAGGGAAATCCTGACAGTTGTTTTCCTGTTTCATTAACCACTATTGGGCCACACAGAGGCTGGGAAACTGACTGCCAGGCAAAAGGGTATGAATAATGATTCTAATATTAGTTTTTTTTTTTTTTTATTCTAGTTTTCTGTGCTGGGTGTAAGAGCTGAAATTTGTTAGTATAACACCATTTTTCCTCAATTCAACAATGATGTTTTCATCATTTCTATTTCAGGAGATACATCCAGAAGACTGCATTACAATTTCAAATCAAAGCTGGACAAGTTTTTTTTTTTTTTTACACAGATATCACCATGTTAGAAAAGTTGGACAAGTTTTGAAACCATTCTGAACCTATCATTCCTGTCTTTCAAATCCTTCCAAGGCATCTTATTATTGATTTGTTTCTATATTTTCCTCATTATTAAAGAGGTTGAGTATCTTTTCTCTAGAGCTAGTTTGGGTTCTGATTTTCTTCACTTTCGTGATGGAGTCATTTTAGAATTGAAGGGCATCATAGCAACTGAGGCAGTGTTGACATCATCAATGTTTTAGGATTACAGGTAACCATATTTCCCAGTTTGCTTGGGACAAGGCCAGTTTGTACCTCTTGTCCTAGCATTTTTTTTTTTTTTTTTTTTTTTGAGACAGAGTCTCGCTCTGTCACCCAGATTGGAGTGCAGTGGCGTGATCTCAGCTCACTGCAATCTCCACCTCCTGGGTTCAAGTGATTCTCCTGCCTCAGCCTCCTGAGTAGCTGGTATTACAGGCACGCACCACCATGCCTGGCAAATTTTTGTATTTTTAGTAGACACGGGGTTTCGCCATGTTGGCCAGTCTGGTATCAAACTCCTGACCTCAAGTGACGCCCTGGCTCGGCCTCCCACAGTGATGGGATTACAGGCGTGAGCCACCGTGCCTGGCCCTAGTATATTTTTTAATAGCATTGCATTCAATCTCAAAAGTGTGTGAGTTTTGATGAAAAATTATATGGTGGTCATTTATTATCTGAAATACACATCAAAATACCACTATTGCCATTTTGCTCTGGTATCTTCATCAGTGGGTGCAGGATTGTCATGAAGGCGGGGGGAGGTTGTTCTGCTTCCTTCTCTGTTGCATCCCCAGAGCCCAGAACAGTGCCCAGCACCCAGTAAGTGCTTAATGAATATGAATGCATCTGCACATAAATTCGTTTCTTGGGGCTTGGCACATTGCCACTTGAACAAATGGATTCTATTAACAAGGAGTATGGAGCAATGATTTTGGGGTACACAACTCATGGCGCCTGCCAAAACATGCGCTTTAGATTTTGATAGATATCGTCAAGTTGTTCTCCGCAGGGGTTGAGCCAGTTTACACTCCCACCAGCAATATGTGAGAGCATCTGTTTCTCTAACCTTCACCCACATGGTGTTATCAAAATTTTTATCTGTGCCAATCTGGTATTTTAAATTTGCATTTTCTTTATTATGGAAAGATAGAGCATACTTTCATATGTTTAAAAGCCATTTGAAATTTCTAAGAACTGTCTGTTCATATCCTCTGCCCATTTTTTTTTTTTCAGTGAATTACTGGTCTTTTTCTTATCAATCCATAGGAATACAAATAGTTGTTCCAAGCTTTTCATGCCTTTTGAGTTTGTTTCTGGTGTTGTTACTAAGCAGAATTTAAAACATGTATTTATATTTAGCTTCTTTCGTTTTATTGCATCTATATTTTGCATCATGCTTAGAAAGGCTTTCCCAGATTGTAAAATAATTCTCCCATATTTTCTTGTCTTACTTTCAAGTTTTCATTTTTTTCACATGTAAGTCTTGATCTATCTGAAATTTATTTTGGTGTAAGATTTGAGATATGAATAAAATCTAATATTGTTTATTGAATAGCTCATCTTTTCCCCACTGGTGGAAACTCTAAAGTGTTCCTGATATTCAGAGACTATTTCCTATGAAACTTTTAACACTCTAGTAAATTCTAAGGAAAGAAACTCAAGGACAAAGCAGTCAGGATGGAATTTTATTTTATTTTTTTGTTGTTGTTGAGACAGAGTTTTGCTCTTTTTGCCCAAGCTGGAGTGCAGTGGCATGATCTCGGCTCACTACAACCTCCGCCTCCCGGGTTCAAGCGATTCTCCTGCCTCAGCCTCCCAAGTAGCTGGGATTACAGGCGCCTGCCACCACGCCTGGCTAATTTTTTTTTTTTTTTGGTATTTTTACTAGAGATGGGGTTTCACCATGTTGGCCAGGATGGTCTCGATCTCTTGACCTCGTGATCCGCCTGCCTCGGCCTCCCAAAGTGCTGGGATTATAGGCATGAGCCACTGCGCCCGGCCGGATGGAATTTTAATTTGTAGTTTCATGTCTTGCATTTCCTCAATTTATAATAACGCTATCTTTTATTAAGCATTTATGTGTTAAGCATAATACCACAGAAGACTGTATAAAAATACAGAGAGTTTATAGAATAATGGTAAAATGAACACCTGTGTACCTGTTATCCAGATGAACATGTAAAACTTTGCCAGTGACTTGAAAATCCTCTGCGTGCTCTACTTTAATCATCATCTTCTTCTTCCTCCTCAAGAGATAACCACTATCCTGATTTTTTGATAATTATTTCTTGCTTTGCTTTATAGTTTTACCACCTATATGTATCCTTAAATATTAGATTGTTTATTTTTTGTATTTGATGAGAACAAAAAATATCTTTGTTGTTGTTATTTTGAGAGTCTTGATCTGTTGCTCAGGCTGGAGTGTAGTGGCACAGTCACATCTCACTGCAGCCTTGACCTCCCAGGCTTCAGCAGTCCTCCCACCTCAGCTCCTCAATTAGCTGGGACTACAGGCATGCACCGTCATGCCCGGCTAATTTTTGTATTTTCTTTTTTGGTAGAGACAGGGTTGCGCCACGTTGCCCAGGCTAGTCTTGAACTCCTGGACTCAAGTGATCTGCCTGCCTCAGCCTCCCAAAGTGCTAGGATTACAGGTGTGAGCCATGGCTCCTGGCCTTATATTGCTTATTTTTGACAACTGAGTGGCAAGCCCAACCATTGCAGCAGGCTCTCAAAAGATAAGCTCTGGGTCACGTTCAGTGGCAGCGTTCCTGAGAGAATGCAAGAGCTCCTTTTGGGAAGTCTGCGGTCAGGGTCAAGAGTGAGTTCTGGGAAACACAGGATATATCACAGCTGGGACATCTGGCAGGGCTGCAGTTTGGGTCAGGTAATGGATATCTGCGGAAACATAGTCAAGAAGTGGGAGACTCTCTATCTGCAGCTCCCAAGCTCGCCATGGTTTCTTACCTACTTTCAAGAAGAAATCAAAGCAAACCCCTTCTATGGGGTAAGGTGAATTTCCTCAGTTCGTGAAGACAGCAGGTCATGGTGGGTGTGTTAGTCTTCTATTGCCACATAATAAATTATCACCAATGCAGCAGCTTAAAACAACATACGTTTATTGTCTCATAGTTTTTACAGGTGAGGAGCCTGGCACATTTTAGCTGGTTCCTCTCCTCAAGGTCTCATTAGGCTGAAATCAAGACATTGGTTGGCTGCCTCCTCCTCTGGAGGCTCCCCTAGGGAAAGATTCATTTCCAAGGTAGCTCAAGTTGTTAGCAGAGTTCATTTCCTTGCAGGTGCAGCACTGGAGGCTCCTCCTCTCCTCTCCTCCCCTCCCCTCCCCTCCCCTTCCCCCTCCCTCCCTCCCTCCCTCCCTCTCTCTCTCTCTTTCTTTCTTTCTTTCTTTTTTAACAGAGTTTCTCTCTGTTGCCCAGGCTGGAGTGCAATGGCACAGTCTGGGCTCACAGCAACCTCCACCTCCTGGGTTCAAGCGATTCTCCTGCCTTAGCCTCCCAAGTACTTGGGATTACAGGCATCTGCCAACATGCCTGGCTAATTTTTGTATTTTCAGTAGAGACGGGGTTTCACCATGTTGGCCAGGCTGGTCTTGAACTCCTGACCTCAAGTGATCTGCCCGCTTGGCCTCCCAAAGTATTGGGATTACAGGCGTGAGCCACTGTGCCTGGCCTTCACTTTCTTTCTGGCTGTCAGTGGGGACTGCTGCCAGCTCGTAGAGGCTGCTCTCAGGTGGCCCCCTCCACTCAGCATTGGAGACTCTTCCTTATGATGAGTCTCCCTTATGTTGAGTCTCCCTTGTGCTTAGAATCTCTCTGGCTTTCTCTTCTGCTACCAGCCAGAGAAAATGCTCTTAAAATGCCTTTAAAGGGCTCATGTGATTAAGTCAGGTTTACCAGGATAATCCTTTGTCTTAAAGTCAACTGATTAGTCGCCTTAATTACATCTACAAAACTTTGTGTCATGCAAGGTGACATAAACCTACTCATAACTAGGGGGTGGAGATTATGGAGGTCATTTTAGAATTCTGCTTGTCATGGTGAGGAGAGCAGAAACTCCATTGGTACATAGTCAAGATGTGCCAAGCACAGACAAAATCTAGGTCAGATTCACCAGGCCTCAAAAAGATGGTCCAATGGCAAAGGGTATCTTCGAGATGGCTCCTGTGATGTCTGCATCTTGTGTCACATTGCTCCCATCTGGATTGACTGTCCTCTGCATCTGACACATAGCTGTCATTCAAGGACCTCTTTTTATCATCCTCCTGAGGACCCTTTTTATTTCTCTCGTGTTGGATTGCTTCTTTCTTGCATCTCATTTCTTCCTCTTTACTCTTAATTCACACTCTCTCTTGCTTTCGTCTTATTCTGGTGGAGTCAATCTTCTTGAAATTTCTTGAGAATGGGTACACGGAAGTTAACTTTTTCAGACCTTTTATGTCTAAAAAACTTTTTTTTTTCTTTTTCTGTTTTTTTTTTTTTTTGAGACGGAGTCTCACTCTGCCACCTGGCTGGAATGCAGTGGTGCGATCTTGGCTCACTGCAACCTCCACCTCCTGGGTTCAAGTGATTCTCCTGCCTCAGCCTCCCAAGTAATTGGGATTACAGTCACCCACCACCACGCCTGGCTAATTTTTTTTGTATTTTTAGTAGAGACTGGGTTTCGCCATGTTGGCCAGGCTGGTTTTGAACTCCTGACCTCAGGCAATCTGCCCACCTTGGCCTCCCAAAGTGCTGGGATTACAGGTGTGGGCCACTGTGCCCAGCCAAAAAAAACCTTTATATTTTTATTTTTAGAGATAGGGTCTTGCTCTGTCACCCAGGATGGGATGCAGTGATGTGATCATAGTTTATGGTAACCTTGAGCTCCTAGGCTCAAGGGATCCTCCTGCCGCAGCCTCCCAAGCAGCTAGGATGACAGGTGTGAGCCACCATGCCTGGATTCAATTTTATGTTTATACTTGATTGATAGCTTAGCTGAGAATATAATTCTAGTTGGAAGTTATTAGCCCTCAAAATTTTGAAGGCATCATTTCACTTTCATTGTGCTGGATTGTCTGTTGTCCAGCTATACCTCTCCATTATCCCTTCTAGAGTCCGCTCTGCATTAAAGAAGAGAAACCTGTAGTTACATGTGACAGAATCCCCTCCTTCATTTGATTCCAAGTTGGAGTTTGCCAATGAGAGGCACTTGTGTGAGAAGGAAAGCAGAAAAGAAAAACCATTATTCAACAGAGGCAGTTGAAGGCAGACACATGGGCTGAAGGCAAAATCTTGAGAGTTTCCTGTTTTGGTGCTGTCAGCAGCTGGGATTGAAGGCAGTGTCTTGCCTTAGATTGCTGAGATTTTTCCATGGCTTGCAGGTGAAGTTATGTGAATCACTGACTTCTACTGGCTGCTCTCCTGACCATCACATCCTCAACACTTAGTTTTATTTTATTTTATTTTTTTTTGAGATAGAGTCTCACTCTGTTGCCCAGGCTGGAGTGCAGTGGTGCGATCTCGGCTCTCTGCAACCTCCGCCTCCCGGGTTCAAGTGATTCTTCCACCTCAGCCCCCTCAGTAGCTGGGCTTATAGGTGCATGCCACCACGCCTGGCTAATTTTTGTATTTTTAGTAGAGACGCGGTTTCACCATGGTGGCCAGGCTGGTCTCAAACTTCTGACCTCGTGATCTGCCCGCCTCGGCCTCCCAAAGTGCTGGGATTACAGCTGTGAGCCACTGCGCCTGGCATTATATTTTTATTTTTTATTTTTATTTTTTAATTCTTCATGGTTACAAAATGCCTGCTGCAACTGCAAACATCACATCCGTGCATGATGTCTAAATTAGGAAAAAGAGAGTACAGACGCTCTTCTTCATGCATTCGTCTTATTTTATGAGGACCATAAATTGTTTTAAAGTTAGACCAGAGTGATTGGGCAAATTTATATACCTACCTGATGCCTACCCTAAATCACAGCAAAAGGAAAGGGAAACCATCAGGATTAATTAGCTGGGGCTGGGGGAAGAGCATATTTCTGCCTATGCCTGCACAAGTTGAAGCTCTTTGAGCAAGAAATAATGGGAAATGGCTGTCAAGAAGGCAACCAACTCTGTCTGCCATGTTCCTCATGTAAGGATACCGCATGTAACATGGCAGACTGTTGATCAGTGGACAACCAGTAGGAAAAATAAGATTTTAAAAAGTGTTCTAAATGCCTCACAATTATGTAATGTCATTTAATCCATCAGTAGGAGAGATGACGAGGATGACATTTTATGAGAATGAAATATCTGACAGGAATTAGCAAAAGTTTCAGAGTTTGGCCTTAGGAATAAAGTGAAGACAAAAGAATAAGAATTTGATTAAATTCACAGTTAGAACCAGATATATTACATTAATATTAATAGCAAAGGAAGCAAAGAAAGAAAATATATCCAAAGGGTAAAATGTATATTTGAAGTGTTTTGGGATTTCTACTCATGAAAGAAATGCTTCTCAGTTGGGGGAAAAGTCAGCAGACCTCTCTATGTAGCTGACGAGTTTAGCTAGTCCTGCTACTTTTGATGAATTATTAGAAGACTCACCCACTTAGAAAAAGTGTGTGCATTTAAAACAAATCATTAATAATGAAATTGATTGTAGCTTGTGAAAAACAGAACAAACAGATCTCTGTACTTCTGCTTGAAATATTAGTTCCTGAGTTTTGAAGAGATTGTGCCAGTCAGGTTATTAGTCCCATGTAACAAAACTTTGGCTAGTTAAAGCAGAAATAGGCCGGGTGCAGTGACTCACGCCTGTAATCCCAGCACTTTGAGAGGCTGAGGTGGGCGGATCAGGAGGTCAGGAGATCAAGGCCATCCTGGCTAACACGGTGAAATCCCATCTCTACTAAAAATACAAAAAATTAGCCAGGCGTGGTGGTGCGTGCCTGTAGTCCCAGCTACTCGGGAGGCTGAGGCAGGAGAGTTGCTTGAACCCAGGAGGAGGAGCTTGCAGTGAGCCGAGATCGCGCCACTGGACTCCAGCCTGGGTGACAGAGTGAGACTCCACATCAAAAAAAAAAAAAAAAAAAAAAGAGAGAAATACAATTTATTGAGGTCTAACTTAAAGCTCACAGAAACTCTGGGAGGGCCAGAATTAGGCTTGGCAGCTTGACAGTCAGAAACAAATGACTTGGTGGATACAGCAAAGATTTCATTACAGTGTCTGTCACTGAAGACCCTGTTAGAACACCCTCCCCTCCACTGCTGTCTGCTGTGAAGACCTTCATGGGAATGGCACCTCCACTGGAGCGCTCCCTGGAAGCATGGGTTCTGTGCACTGCCTGTTTTCTCATACTGTTCTTCTGCAAATTGAATCTTCATATGGGTGTATCTGGGTAGTAAGGCTTGTGCCACAAGTCAGCATGCCAGCTGCAAGAAGGGCTGAGAAGTCCAGTTTCTGATTTCCACCTTTGATGGTGAGACTTATAATGTGGAGAATTCCCCAGACATGGGAATTCTGAGCAAAAGATGCTGATATGATTTGGCTCTATGCCCTCACCCAAATCTCATCTTGAATTGTAATTCCCAATGTTGGGGGAGGGACCTGTTGGGAGCTGATTGGATCATGGGGGCAGTTTCCCCCCTTGCTATTCTCATCATAGTGGGTGAGTTCTCACAAGATTTGATGGTTTAAAAGTGTGTAGCACTTCCCCCTTTTCTCTCTCTCTCTCCTCTGCCATAGTAAGATGTGCTTCCTTCCCCTTCACCTGCCGTGATTGTAAGTTTCCTGAGGTCTAGTCATGCTTCCATACAGCCTGTGGAACTATGAGTCAATTAAACCTCTTTCTTCATAAATTACCCAGTCTCAGTTCTTTTTTTTTTTTGAGATAGGGTCTCACTCTGTCGCCCAGGCTGGAGTGCAGTGATGAGATCTTGGCACACTACAGCCTCTACCTCCAGGGCTCACGCGATCATCTTGCCTCAGCCTCCTGAGTAATTGGGACTACAGGCATGCATCATCATGCCCTGCTAATTTTTGTATTTTTTGTAGAGATGGGGTTGCGCTATGTTGCCCAGGCTGGTCTTGAACTCCTGGGCTCAAGCGATCCTCCCACCTTGGCCTCCCAAAGTGCGTGTGGGTAGTGGGTGATCAGGTAGTTCTTTATAGCAATGTGAGAATGGAACAGACTAATACAGCATCTGTGAATAGAACACATGTCAAATTGAGTAACAAACAGGCTTAAGAGCATGGAGTCAGGTATACCTTAGTTCAAGTCCAGCCCCATAGCTTCCCACCTGAGTCATTCTGGGTAACTTCTCTACCTTCGTAAGCCTGTTTCATCATTTGTAAAATATGTATGATAATAGTGGCTACATCACAGGGGTGCTGTTAAGATTAAATGAGATAGGCCAGGCACGGTGGCTCACATCTGTAATCTCAGCACTTTGGGAGATCAAGGCAGGTGGATCCGTTGAGTCCAGGAGTTTAAGACCAGTCTGAGCAACATGGTGTGACCATGTATCTACAAAAAATAAAAAAATTAGCTGGGTGTGGTGGCATGCACCTGTAGTCCCAGTTACTTGGGAGGCTGAGGCAGGAGGATCACTTGAGGCCATGAGTTCGAAGCTTCAGTGAGGAATGGTTGTGCCACCGCACTCTAGCCTGGGTGATAGAGACCCCGTGTAAAAAAAAAAAAATTAAATGAGATAAAGCATAAAGCACTTAACCTAGTGCTTGGCGTATGGTGAATAAGTCACTGATTACAAACTTATATTACTATTATTATTGATCTTCTTATTGGTATTGTTACTGGTGTTTATGTAGGACAATCAAAGCTGATGATATAAAATGTAACCATTATAGTACATTAGGTAGTTTTTGTCCCAGAAATTACAGTTTGGGAATTAAATTCAGAGCTCCCTTTTCTGGTTTAAAAAAGCCAAGAAGGATTAGTACTAATATTCTGATAATTTATAAATGCCTCTCTCATACTCACCATCTTCCTACATCTTCCTCCTGCTTTATCTGTTTTCCATTACAATCACAGAATGCCAGTTTTAGGTCAACATATGTTCTTGGCTGCATGCAGTGTCTCATGCCTGTAATCCTAGCACTTTGGGATGCCGAAACAGGAGGATCTCTTGAGCTCAGGAGTTCGAGTCTGCAGTGAGCTATGATTGCACCGTTGCACTCCAGCCTGGGCAACAGAGTGAGACCCTGTCTCTAAGAAAAAAAGAAAAAGAAATCACAATGTAGTCACTTTTATCACCATCTATTGGTATAAGGGAGTCACTAAAACCAAACCAAATTTGAGGGTAGGTGAATTAGACTCCACTTCTTGAGAGGAGAGTGACAAGGTCACATTGCCGAAGAATGTATGGGATAGAAGATATTGTTGAGGCTTCTTTGGAAAATGCAATCTCCCATAACCTGATGGGGTGAGGGTGATTGAGCCTATTTCAGCCTGGCATTGAAAGCTTGGTATGTTATTACATGAGAAAGGCAGGTTATAGAACAGCACGTATGGTATGATTCCATTTTTGCTTACAAATATGCAAAGTCATATGTGTATGTGTGTGCATGCTTGTGTGTGTGCACGTGGGTAGTGGGTATGATGTGTCAAGGACAAAAAATGGGTGTGTTAGTCCATTTTCACACTGCTATAAAGAACTACCTGAGCCTGGGTAATTTAAAAAGGAAAGAGGTTTAGTTGACTCACAGTTCTGCATGGCTAGGGAGGCCTCAGGAAACTTACATTCATGGTGGAAGGCAAAGGGGAAGTAAGGCACGTCTTACATAGCAGCAGGAGAGAGAGAGAGCAAGTGGGAAACTGCCAAACACTTTTAAAACCATCAGATCTCGTGAGAACTCACTCACTATCATGAGAACAGCACGGGGGAAACCAATCCCATGATCCAATCACCTCCCACCAGGTCCCTCCCCTGACATGTGGGGATTACAATTTGACATGAGATTTGGGTGGGAACACAGAGCCAAACCATATCAGTGTGCTAGAAATGTAACTTAATTATTTTCTAAAACTCAATTTGTGATTTATTTTCCTTTCTTTCCTTTCTCTCTTTCTCTTTCTTTCTTTTTTTTTTGAGACAAAGTCTCGCTCTGTCACCCAGGCTGGAGTGCAATGGCATGATCTCGGCTCACTGCAACCTCTGCCTCCTGGTTCAAGCAATTCTCCTGCATCAGCCTCCTGAGTAGCTGGGATTACAGGTGCGCACCACCACGCTTGGCTAATTTTTGTATTTTTAGTAGAGACAGGGTTTCATCGTGTTGGCCAGATTGGTGTCGAACTCTTGACTTCAAGTGATCCACCCGCCTTGGCCTCCCAAAGTGCTGGGATTACAGGTGTGAGCCACTGCACCCGGCCTCAATTTGTGATTTCTTTCCCCATATTTCTACGTCCAGAGTCCATCTCCTGCCCATTCATTCTGATACAGAAAATGACACTTAGTTGCTTCCAGATAATCACAATTGACTTAAGTGGTTTCTTAGTCACTGAAAGTCCTAACACTTTAGAATAGTTTCTTCTCTGGGGTGGGGAAGTGGGGGGAGCTGGTGAGGGGTAAGGCAACCATAGTCTTAGAAACCAAAGCAGTTAATTTTTTTTTTTTTTTGAGATGGAATTTCGCTGTTGTCACCCAGGCTGGAGTGCAATGGTGTAATCTTGGCTCACTGCAACCTCTGCCTCCCAGGTTCAAGCGACTCTCCTGCCTCAATCTCCTGAGTAGCTGGAATTACAGGCACAAACCACCATGCCTGGCTAATTTTTGTATTTTTAGTAGAGACGAGGTTTCGCCATGTTGGCCAGTCCGGTCTCAAACTCCTGACCTCAGGTGATCTGCCTGCCTCAGCCTCCCAAAGTGCTGGGATTACAGGCGTAAGCCACTGTACGTGGCCTAGTTAACATTTTATATATCAGCTTGCTACATATGCCTAGGAATGCTACAAATGTACATTCTGGATTATAAGAAAATATGGGACTGTCCCCCATTTCTTTTTGTCTGTATTTCTAACTTTTATACTATAAGGACATATATTATTTATATATATGTATATATTATGTTATATACTATTTATATGCTGTTTACTTATAGGATTAATTTTTCAATCCACATAATCAGGATTGATCAATATTTTTTAATATCAAATAATCCCAGGATATAAATCTAATTGCTATAATACAATAGCATTCAATTAATCATTAGTGTATTATTGCCAATGGGAAATTTAAGAAGCATATTTAAAAGAGTAGAGTTATAACTCAGTTGAACCTCTGATTAATTTTATCAGAAGAGATGAAGTCATTGGAGGAAGAGTAAATGCTGTTTAGGGCCAGCTCCTAGTTTAGGTTAGCTTAGATTGGTAGGTTTTAACTCACTTAGTGGGTCATTCCTAGGACAGAAGAATCTTAGGCTCTTGGCCTGGAGCTGTTGGTTTGCTCTAGGGTAAAAATTTGGATCCTAGTCAGATTACAAATTTAGTTAAGTCTCATATAGTCCCTGAGGGAGGGGAGATGGGGGTGCTGTTTTTCTTCGCAGTTTCTGCAGTTGCTTCAGCCTGGAGCGTGCTGTTGCTGCCAGGAAGACAGGCCTGTCTAGTGTAATCTACGAGAGAGAATGCTTGGCATTCCTGGACAATGAAGCACAGAGAGAAAATGAAGATTCCCTGAGAGGTGCCAATCTCCTTGAAAATAAATCAGATTTCAGCCTGGGCAATGTGGTTAAACCCCGTCTCTACAAAAACTACAAATATTAGCTGGGCTTGGTGGCATGTGCCTGGAGTCCCAGCGACTTGGGAGGCTGACGTGTGAGGATCACTTGAGCCTGGGAGGCAGAGGCTGCAGTCAGCCAAGAGTGCACCACTGCACTTCAGCCTGGGTGACAGAGCCAGACTCTGGCTCAAAAAAAAAAAAAAAAAAAAGAACAAGAAAAATAAATCAGAAAATCAGATTATTAGGAGAGCCCTGGGAGAGGAGGATGTGCAATTGTGTGTGTGTGTGTGTGTGTGTGTGTGTGTGTGTGTGTGTGTGTGTGTGTGTGTGTGTGTGTCTGTGGTTTTAAAACAAATTGAAAAACTTGATGGGAAATCATAGGAAAGCTTATATAAAGGGAGGATCAGAGGAAACTTACAAGCTGCTGAAATCTGTATAATATCAGGATTTAAGCCACGGAGATAATCTAGGAATGAACTTTTTAGATAGAAAAAAAGGTGATGTGTTTTTCTTGAATAGACCTGTTGATTTGTTCATTCAGGTTTTTTTTTTGTTTTCTGTTTTTTTTTTCTAGAAACTCAAGACCTGCTCGTGTAAACAAAACCTTAATAACATTTTGATTTCTAAAGGTTTATGTTCATTGTTTCTAAAGTTTTAATAATGAGGAAGGTGAAAAAAATTTATTATTATAAATATCAATTGCAAGAAATCATATTAAAACAATGTCCTTAAAGTTTAAGATTTTTCCCACTTCAAATTCCTGGAAATGTAAAAACACAATCTTTCAGTTTTTCTTGTTGAAATAATAAAGTGTTCTGAATAAATCTACTGATTTTACATAGAGTTCTATGGCTTTGATACTATAAAATGAAATGGTTTGAGATTGAAATAATTCAATTATTTTAAATATTCCTGCAGTTCTTAAGTGTGTAGCCTTATTGGGAACCTAAAGTGGAATAAGACAATTGCCTAGTGTCTGTATTTATAGTGTAGGTCCCTGTTGGAAAATTTCATTGAGGTTTCTTTTTCTTTCCTTCTATTTTTTTTCTTTCCTTTTTTTTTTGTTTTTTTTTTTTTTTTTGAGACAGGGTCTCAATCTGTTGCCCAGGCTGGAGTATCCACCTGAAGCCTCCACTTCCCTGGCTCAAGCGATTCTCCTACCTCAGCCTCTCGGGTAGCTGGGATTATAGGCACTTACCACCATGCCTGGCTAATTTTTTAATTTTTCTGTAGAGATGTGTTTCACCATGTTGCTCAGGCTGGTCTTGAAGTCCTGGCTCAAGAAATCCACCCACCTCGGCCTCCCAAAATGCTGGGATTACAGGTGTGAGCCACCGCGCCTAGCCCCAACTCACAGTTTTTAATTGCTGTGAATACTCCATGGTGTGCATCATTAGGAGGAGAGCTTTTTAAGGAGGCAAGAGAATTTGACAAACGTGGTAGAGATGGTCAGTAAGAAGGGTTACACATTGGGAGATTTAGTAGTATGGAGGCCAGTGGCAATGTTTGGTGGAGCAGGTTCTTGGGGTCGTGGGGGTAGAAGCCAGACTGCACCGAGCAGAGGCCTGTTTGGGAGGAGAGCAAGTAAGACATTGACTACACTCAGCCTGCGAGGGAAGCTGGACCATCCAGGGAAGGAGCAAGGGGATGCAGAATCAAGGAAGAGCTTGGAATTTTTAAGCTTTTGTTATCCGAATAATCCATGTTCAATGTAGAAAAATTAGGAAATTCAGATGAGCAGAAAGAAAATAACAAAATGGAAAGTATATTCATTTCTTAGGGCTACCGTAACAAATTACCACAAACTGGTGCCTTGAAAACAACACAAATGTTTTTGTTTCTGTTCACATTGTTCTGGAGGCTATCTGAAATCAGAGTGTCAATATGGCTGTGCTCCCTCTGAAGGCCCTACGGGAGTACCCTTCCTTGCCTCTTCCTAGTTTCTGGTGGTTGCTGGCAATTGTTGGTGTTCCTTGGCTTGTAGCCACATCCCTCCAATCTCTGCCTCCATCATCACAGGGTGTTCTTCCTGTGTGTCTCTTCTGGGTCTCTGTTTTCTCTTATAAGGACACCAGTCATTAGATGAGGACTCATCCTAATCTAATAGGATCTCATCTTTTTTTTTTTTTTTTTGAGATGGAGTCTCTGTCACTCAGGCTGGCGTGCAGTGGCATGATCTCGGCTCACTGCAACCTCCGCCTCCTGGGTTCAAGTGATTCTCCTGCCTCAGCCTCCCAAGTAGCTGGGATTACAGGCATATGCTGCAACGCCTGGCTAATTTTTGTAATTTTAGTAGAGATGGGGGTTTCACCATGTTGGCCAGGCTGGTCTCAAACTCCTGACCTCTGGTGATCCGCCCACCCTGGCATCCCAAAGTGCTGGGATTACAGGTGTGAGCCACTGCGCCCCACCAAGACCTCATCTTAATTTAATTATATCAGCAAAGACCCTCTTTCCAAATGTGGTCACATTCTGAGGTTCCAGGTAGACATGAATTATTGGGGAACACTATTTGACCTAGCATTTCTTTTTGCTTTCTTTTTTTTTTTTGACACAGGTCTCGCTCTGTCACCCAGGCTGAGGAATGCAGTGGTGCCATCTTGGCTCACCATAATCTCACCTTTGAGGCTCAAGCTATCCTCTCACTTCAGTCTCCTGAGTAGCTGGGACCACTAGTGCGTACCACCATGCCAGGCTCATTTTTTTTTTACATTTTTGGTAGAGACAGGGCTTTGTCGTGTTGCCCAGGCTGGTCTTGAACTCATGGGCTTAAGCAATCTGCCCACCTTGGCCTCCTAAAGTGCTGGGATTATAGGCGTAAGCCACTGCGCCTGGCTAGTATATTCTTTTCCCCTCTCCCCTCCTCTCTTTCTCTCTCTCTCCCTCTCTGTCTCTCAAAGGATGAGGGGAAGCATGAGTGTGTTTATAGATTAAATGAAAGAGTTAGGAGAAAAGAAGAGGTTGGAGATAAATCTTAGATACTTGGTAGGTCAGAGTCTCAGCAGAGAATGGAGAGGTGGGTTGGAGAGCACTGGGGAAGGGGATGGGCCTGGGGCCTGCCTGGGTCACACAGCCTTGCCTGGTCACTGACTCCCAGCCTGATGCGGAATTACTCTCCTCAAGAGCACCCTGCCTAGGTACAGCCTTTCACGGGTCAGCCTTAGCAAAGGCTGTGATGGGAGGGAAGAGGAACATGCCCCAAATGGGATCAAATGCAGGGCTCTGGGAGAGAGCTGACTGGAAGGATGCTTGCATCCTACCCTTCACCTCCTCTCTGGGGTTTCAGGAAAACATAATGATCATAATGATGTTTTTATGTTTCCTGTGATGTTGGTCATCTTCCCCTCCGCAACCCCTGCCTCCCTTCAAGTTTTGCCTGCATCTTATAAACTGGAAAAACCCAAGAAACTCCTAAGTTCTATATAGTTCAGTAGTAGGTAGTGGCCTCTGCCAGTCGGAAAATCCCAGAAACATGGCCAGTTTAAAACCAACACTTGGCCGGGCGTGTGGCTCACGCCTGTAATCCCAGCACTTTGGGAGGCCGAGGTGGGAGGATCACAAGGTCAAGAGATAGAGACCATCCTGGCCAACATGGTGAAACCCCGTCTCTACTAAAACTACAAAAATTAGCTGGGCGTGGTGGTGTGTGCCTGTAGTTCCAGCTACTCAGGAGGCTGAAGCAGGAGAATCGCTAGAACCTGGGAGGTGGAGGTTGCAGTGAGCCGAGATCATGCCACTGCACTCCAGCCTGGGCAACAGAGCGAGACTGTCTCAAAAACAAAAAACAAACAAACAAAAAACCCAACACTGGAAATGGAAATGGACTTATCATTACGGCCCTAGTTCAGCACACACAAGATGTATAGGGAAACCAGTATGATAGGCCTGATGACCCTGGGCAGGTAGTCAAGGGTAAAGTTTCTTAGGTGATGAGAGGCCTGGTACTTCTAGTCTCTAACATGCATTCTTGAGCAGGGATGTGATGTACCCTACAGAGGACACACTGGCCACTGTAGCTGACAACACAGGGAGACCAAGGCCAGGGCAGATGTGCGCAGGACCTTGAAGGCAAGAGAGTTAAAAAAAAAAAAAATCCCTATCTAAGTGGGAGGAGCATCTCCCACTCAGTGCAGTGAGCTGCAGGCATTCATCAGGTGTTCAGTGAGTTCTGATTAGGGACCGTGCTGGCCTTGGAGCTATAATGAGGAACACGTTGTTCCTGCTCACACAGAAACTACAATATTTTGGGGTGTGTATTAGTTCAGTTTCTTTTGGCTTTAGGAAGCAGAAATGACCTTGCAAGCTTGTTGGAGGAATATTAGAGGTTCTTAGAGAATTCGCAGAAGACAGCTTGGGGCCCCTTACTAGCCAGAGGCTAATAACATCCTCTGAAGAGTGCTATTATTTGTGTGAAGGAGTTTCAGTGTCCAATCTTTGTATGACTCAGTCCCAAATTGCTACAGGGAGACTGTGGCCCAGCTCGAGTAAATCATCTGTGGTTCAGGGCTCAGGGTTATGAAGTACACACATGGTTGTCGCAATCCTACCTGTGTGTATTGAGTGCATCCCCACTTCCTTCCCTCTCAGTTGAGTGCCCCAGCGATGGGCAGAATGCATGAACCTGAAAGCCACTGTCTTCTGGACAGAGAGGTAGACAGGTAGACAAGCACCCAGCAATTACAGCTCAGTCATCAGTGCTGTGCTAGGGGAAGCATAGAGTTGTGTGAGAATACATCAGTCAAGACCCATTTGGAGGAAAGGTTTAGAAACCCAGCTTATTATTTTTTAGGGGTTGTTGCAAGTTTTGTTTTTCTTCCAACTTTTAAGTTCAGGGGTACATGTGCAGGATGTGCACGCTTGTTACATAGGTAAATGTCTGCCACGGTAGTTTGCTGCACAGATCAGCACATCACCTAGGTATTAAGCCCCAGCATCCATTAGCTATTCTTCCTGATGCTCTCCCTCCTCCCACCCCCACCCTCTAGAACCCCAACTTAAACCAACTTAGGCAAAAAGAAGGGGACTTACTGGAAGGCTCACACTGAGAAGGATGAGTGGCAGGTGGTATCAAGGTCATTGGAACAGGTGATTTGAGTGCTGCTAGGTCTTCTTTTCTCAGTCTCTCAATTCTGTTTCTCTCTCTGTGTTGTTAACTTCTTTCTCTTAGAAAAGCTTTCTTTACATAGCAAGAAATGTGGCCACTAGCAGTTCCTGAGTCTCACCATCTCCTGGCCTCACCAACAGAGAATAAATAAATCTTTGTTCAGCTTCAGTTACAAAAATCCTAGGGAATGACAAAGATTGATTGGCTTTAGATAGGAGTCCATCCAGCCGGGCGCGGTGGCTCATGCCTGTAATCCCAGCACTTTGGGAGGCCGAGGTGTGTGGATCACCTGAGGTCAAGAGTTCTAGACCAGCCTGGCCAACATGGTAAAACCCTGTCTCTACTAAAAATACAAAAATTAACTGAGCATGGTGGCAGGCGCCTGTAATCCCAGCTACTCAGGGTGCTGAGGCAGGAGAATTGCTTGAACCCAGGAGGCAGAGGTTGCAGTGAGCCGAAATCATGCCATTGCACTCCAGCCTAGGGGACAAGAGCAAGACTTCGTCTCAAAAAAAAAATAAAAAAAAATAAAATATATGAGTCCATCCCTACATCAATGAAGTGTACCTAGAGAAGTAGAATAGTGTAAAACCATATGCCATACTAAAGCTGTATGATGATTTAATGACAAACCAAAATGATTGACATCAAGTACTTTAGGTTAATAGTCCTGTACTAGTTATCTGTTGCTGCATAATTAATTACCTCCAAACTTAGTGGCTTAAAACAACAATAAATATTTGTGATTTCACATAGTCTCTGTGGTTTGAAATTTAGGACTGACTTAGCTGGGTGGGTCTGTCTCAGGGTCTTTCATGAGATTGCAGTCAAGGTGTTGACTGGGTCTGCAGTCATCTGAAGGCTTGACCAGGGCTGGTGGATGCAGTTCTAAGATGGCACACAAGAGTGAGCTCACTCAGTTCCTCCCTATGTGGGTCTTTCCACAGGCAGCTTGAGTGTCCTCATGACACGGTGGCTGCCTTCTCTCAGGGTGAACAAGCCAAGAGAGTGCAAGGTGAAAGCCACAACATCTTTAATGGCCTAGCCTTAAAAATCACACTGTCTCATTTCTGCAATATTCTTTTCATTACACAGGTCAGCCCTCTTAAATGCGGGAGGGGTCACACAAGGATATGAATCCTAGGCTGTGAGAATCACTGGGGGTCATCTTGGAGGCTGGCTACCACATTCCCCAAAACTCATTCTGTAGAATTGGGATGTTAAAAGTTTTTATATGAAGAAGGGCTTTGCAGTCAGTCAGTATTAGAAAGGATACGTTAAAGCAAGTTAAATAGATTTCTTTCTCTCAGTCATTCTATACAGTTTTTAGTACTCTGACTCTCACTTTGAATCTTTCTCTCTCTTTCTCTTTCTTTTCTTTCTTTCTTTCTTTCTTTCTTTCTTTCTTTCTTTCTTTCTCTCTCTCTCTCTCTCTCTCTCTCTTTCTTTCTTTCTTTCTTTCTTTCTTTCTTTTTTTTTTTGACAGAGTCTCACTTTGTCACCCAGGCTGGAGTGCAGTGGCATGATTTCGGCTCACTGCAACCTCCTCCTCCCAGGTTCAAGGGATACTTCCTGCCTCAGCCACCCGAGTAGCTGGAATTACAGGTGTATGCCGCCACACCTGGCTAATTTTTGTATTTTTAGTAGAGATGGAATTTCATGGGGTTTCACCATGTTGGCCAGGCTGGTCTCGAACTCCTGACCTCAAGCTATCTGCCTGCCTCGGCCTCCCAAAGTGCTGGGATGACAGGTGTGAGCTACCGCACCCGGCCTCACTTTGAATTTCTGAAAGAGGGACAGAATAAATAACCGTAGCACAGCTTCCTTCTTTTTTTCTTTTTTCTTTTTTCTTTTTAGAGCTGGAGTCCAGCTGGAGTGCAGTGGCATGATCTTGGCTCACTGCAACCTCTGCCTCCCAGGTTCAAATAACTCTCATGCCTCAGCCTCCCAAGTAGCTGGGACTACAGGTGTGCACCACTACGTCTTGCTGATTTTTGTATTTTTAGTAGAGACGGGGGTTTCACCATTTTGGCCAGGTTGGTCTTAAACTCCTGGCCTTAAGCAATCCACCTGCCTCGGCCTCCCAAAGTGCTGAGATTACAGGTGTGAGCCACTGCGCCCAGCCAGCACAGCTTCTTTCTCATTCTCCAGCTTTTCCCCCAGTGGGCCTTTCTCCGCTCCACCATCTCTCTTTCCTTCCCTCTACAAGCATATCAGACTGCTGTCTGTCTCCTGTTAAAAATATAAGCTTCTGGCCAGGTGTGTTGTCTCACACCTATAATGCCAGCACTTTAGAAGGCGGAGGTGGGAGGATTACTTGAGTCCAGGAGTTTTAGACCAGCCTGGGCCACATAGTGAGACCCCTGTTTCTACAAACAAAATAAAAAAATTAGCTGGGCATGGTGGTGGATACTCGTAGTGCCAGCTTCTCAGGAGACTGAGGTGGGAGGATCACTTGTGCCTAGAAGGTTGAAGCTGCAGTGAGTCATGATCATGCCGCCTCTCTCCAGCCTGAGTGACAGAATGAGACCCTGTTTAAAAAAAAAAAACAAAACAATGCCAGGCGCGGTGGCTCACGCCTGTAATCCCAGCACTTTGGGAGGCCAAGGTGGATGGATCACCTAAGGTCAGGAGTTCGAGACCACCCTGACCAACATGGAGAAACCCCGTCTCTACTAAAAATACAAAATTAGCTGGGTGTGGTGGCACATGCCTGTAATCCCAGCTACTCGGGAGGCTGAGTCAGGAGAATCACTTGAACCCGGGAAGCGGAGGTTGCAGTGAGCTGAGATTGCACCATTGCAGTCCAGCCTGGGCAACAAGAATGAAACTCCATCTCCAAAAAACAAAACAAAACAAAGAAAAAGAAAAATAAGCTTCTGATAAAGCAATACAGTTTCATCTGGAGTTGGTCATTCTTGACCCTCCAAAGCCTTCTTGTCCATTTGGTCAGTGCACATCATGAAAACCTAGGAGTGATTAAAAAGGAAAGGAACACATTGTCACATGAAGGTGGGTAGTCAGTCTGAGGAAGTTCTGCAAGAGAAATTTTACAAAGCTCTCTATATTGGCCATGGTGTTGGGTGATATTGAGTCATAAAGTAACGAATACTATTTGAAGGCCAATAATCATTCACACATGAAAGTTTGGGCTGCCTCTTTAAGATATGTTTGTGTGGGGGAAACAAGGTACAGGTTAGTAACATCTTGTACTTTGGTTTTTGCCAACAAATACGAGACCTTCCAGTTTTAGGACTTACCCCGTCTCCTCTCATCAGTGTGACTGTTGTTATTTCTTTTGTGTAGGCTATTTGTCATGACAACAACTCAGTTTATTTAAAGTGTTTTATCATATTTCTGTGAGCTGGTTATACCATCTTGAATTATTTAATTCAGAGTAAACACTGAGGTGGTGTGTATGTGAAAGAGTCTACACCATATGTGTTTATGGAAATGTGCTTATTGAGATGTCGTTTCCAAGCACGGCATCTGCTCTTGTGCATCTTTTATATTATTTTGCATGGAGCCTATACAATGATTGATCTCCACCATCTGATAGTTTTCCTTTTAAGACAGTTTCCCTTCTTATGTTCTTGATAAATGATAATGTTTAATATTTGGGAAGAAAAAAAGCATCTAAATTAAAAATAAGAATGATCAATAAAAATGTCTTCTGAGTTCTTTAATTTCCATTATGCAGTGCATGATTTTTAGAAAGAGCTGAAATCTGTGCATTTAGAAGAGTAAGGTTTTCTGAATATTATCTCAAATGGAAAAGCCCAAGTTTACTCAACCTGTGATTCACACAGAGGTCTAGGTCTCATAAAGACTGCTGAAAATCAAATCCTCCTCTTCACCCTTTTTCCATGGACTGAACATTTGGGCTTTGGGTTCCTATAAATATACTCTGAGTTCCTGTTTACAGTGTTCCTAGGCATCCTGCCTTGCTGCACAAGATGGAGTTTTACAATGTCCAGTGTTACCTAATGGCTTCTTTAAATTGCAAATTCACCTTACCATCCTTGGTTGTCTCTATGGAGAGAAAACTTAATAAATCCCCAAATACAACCCCACAGAGACCTGTACATGCACATGTACTGAACTCAGAAAACAATGAGTCATGCAATCAACTAGTGTTCATCTATCTTCTTAAAATAGCACTTGAAGTAATTTATTATTAATAACATTTTCTGCTGGGCACAATGGCTCACACCTGTAATCCCAACACTTTGGGAGGCTGAGGCAGGAGAATTGCTTGAACCTGGGAGGTAGTGGTTGCAGTGAGCCAAGACTGCGCCACTGCACTCCAGCCTGCGTGACAGAGTGAAACTCTCAAAAAACAAAACAAAACAACATTTCCTGAGTTTTCAAAATCAGAGAATTGAGCCTATCTAGGGGATCAACTTCTTGATTTACCAAAAATATATTGGTTCAAATGCAGTAAAGAAACTGCAACCATCTTAACTGTAAAATCTGCTGCTTTTAAAACTGGAGAGGGACTCAAGCACCTTGAAATGTCATGTTCACTAACATCTCTCTAGTGTGGTTTGCAAACCACTGGCAAGATGCAAGATGATTTTAGGTGGTACATGGATAAGCTTTCAAATGATTTAATCATCATTTACTTATACTGGGTTGAATAATCTCCCTCTCAAAATTTATGTCTAACCCGAACCTCAGAATGTGACCTTATTTGGAAATAGGGCCTTTGCAGATGTAATTAAATAAGGATCTTGATCTCTGGTATCTTTATAAAAGAAATAAGAGGGATATTTGGACACAAAGACACACAGGGAGAAAAAGGTCATGTGACTATGGAGATAGAGATTGGAATGATGCCTATAAGCCGAGAACACCAAGAAGCCAGGAAAAAGGCATCAGACAATTTTTCCCTGAGAACCTCCAGAAAATCAACACCTTGATTTTGGACTTCTGGCCCCCTGAACTGTAAGAGAATACATTTCTGTTGTTTTAAGCCACTTGGTTTGTAATGATTTGTTATGGTAGCCCTAGGAATCTAATGCATTTATTTATTTATTTTTGAGACATGGTCTCACTCTGTCTCCCAGGCTGGAGTGCAATGGCAAGATCACGGCTCACTGTAGTTTCAACCTCCCAGGCTCAAGAAATCCTCCCACCTCAGTCTCTTAAGTAGCTGGGACTACAGGCATGAACCACCATGCCCAGCTAATTAAAACAATTTTTTTTTTTTTTTTTTTTGTAGAGACGGGGTCTCTCTATGTTGCCCAGACTGGTCTCAAACTGTTGGGCTCAAGCAATCCTCCTGCCTTAAGCGATCCTCCTGCCTTGGTATCCCAAATTGCTGGGATTACAGGCGTGAGCTATTGTGCCTGGCCATTTAAAAATATATTACACAAAATAAACATGATGGTGTTATAAAACCTGTGATTTCTGAGTTGCTAGTGTTTAGACTAATAGTCCCTAAATTTATTTAGGCAGCAAAAAGTGCATTGATTAAAAAAATTAAGTAAGTAATTTCATAGGAGGTAGGGAGATATTGCAAAAATGCTGTGGGTGGTTCATGGCTGGATAAGCAGTTTGGGAAAACATTGCTGTTTGCAGCCTGTGGCTCCTTCAACCTGTAGTGGCATGGTGGGAGATCTAGGTCAACAGCGATCTGCATTCCTAATAACTCTGTGACTTTGGATAAAATATGAATAATAGCCTTGAGAAGCCCCATCTTCCTCAGCAGTAAAATGGGAACAGTAATAAATATCTCACAGGACTTATGTGGGGATTGAGTTCCTTTTCCTTCAGCCTTGAAATATCAAAAGCTTAGTTATCTGAACCAGCTCTGCTGAGTGTGGGGGTGGGGGTGGGCTCCTGGCAGCTGGGTTGATGTACAAAAGAACATTTTGTAATCATTGGCCTCAAATGTGGGTTGCCAGTGATAAATATATAGGGCTGAGCAATATGGGAAGTGAATTGCGATAAAGTGGTAGGAACTGATGCAAAGAACCTCTGATGAATCACAGCTGAAGTCAACTTTCTATTATTTCTGGGTCTTATGCATTTAATGAGTTACAATGTCCTTCATTTCTCCCTCTTCAATATGATCATGTCACAGTTCATAAAAGTGAGGGAAAGAACTCTAGATACAATCTGACTTCTATCTTAGATGTAGGAAAAACCTTTGTAAATTCAATGTTAATTTCTAGAAACACTCTAGGATGGTTTACTAAGCAGATGATATGTGAGCACTTAAAAGAGAATATTTTTTGATCATCAGGAGTTGCATGGATTTTCTGGGATTCAGAATTACTTTGACCAGTCTAAGCACTTGGCTGAAACCAGCAAGGTGAAATGGAGAGGGAATAATAGAGCTAAAATCTACTGTTTCCTAGCAAATGGTTAGGCACTGTGTTAGATGTTATCTCATTTAATCAGCGCTGAAACTCCTGAGTGTAGATATTGCTATTAAAATGCCTTTTTTTTTTTTTTTTGAGGTGGACTCTGGCTCTGTCACCCCGGCTGGAGGGCAGTGGCAGAATCTTGGCTCACTGCAACCTCCGCCTCCTGGGTTCAAGCAATTCTCCTGTCTCAGCCTCCTGAGTAGCTGGGATTACAGGCACCTGCCACCATGCCTGGCTAATTTTTGAATTTTTAGTAGAGATGGGGTTTCACCATGTTGGCCAGGCTGGTCTTGAACTCCTGACCTCAGGCCACCCACCTCAGCCTCCCAAAGTGCTGGAATTACAGGCATGAACCACTGCACCCGGCCGATATTACTATTAAAATTCTTATTTTACAGATGGGGAAACTGACTTGATGAAGTTAAGTGACTTGTCCCAGATTTTGTAAATAGAGATTAAATAGTTCATTCAAGATCATCGAACAAGGCAGTCTATCCCTAGAGCTGGCACTCTTTTCTCTCTCTCTTTTTTTGAGAAAAGGTCTTGCTCTGTCACCCAGACTGGAGTGCAGTGGCATGATCATGGCTCACTATATCCTCGACCTCTCAGGCTCAAGCAGATCGTCCCACCTCAGCCTCCCAAGTAGCTGGGAGCTGGGACTACAGGTGCACACCACCATACCTGGCAAATTTTAAAATTTTTTGTAGAGATAGAGTCTCCATATGCTGCCCAGGCTGCCCTAGAACCCCTGGGCTCAAGTGCTCCTGCCTCGGCCTCCCAAAGTTCTGGGATTACAGGTGTGAGCCACTGCACCCAGCCTGGAGCTTTTGTTCTTTTTTGTGAGATGGAGTCTCGCTCTGTCCCCCAGGCTGGAGTGCAGTAGTGCGATCTTAGCTCACTGAAACCTCCGCCTCCCAGGTTCAAGCAATTCTTCCTGCCTTGGCCTCCCTAGTAGCTGGGATTACAGGTGTGCGCCACCATGCCTGGCTAATTTTTGTATTTTTTAGTAGAGATGGGGTTTTGCCGTGTTGGTCAGGCTGGCCTTGAACTCCTGAGTTCAGGTAATCCACCCACCTGGGCCTCCCAAAGTGCTGGGATTACAGGCGTGAGCCACCAAGCCTGGCTGAGCTTTTGTTCTTAACCTCTGTATTGTGCTATGTGAAAGCTTAAAAAATGTAGAGACCAGGAGCAGTGGCTCATGCCTGTAATCCCAGAACTTGGAGAGGCCAAGGTAGATGGATTGCTTGAGCCCAGGAGTTTGAGACTGGCCTGGGCAACATGGCAAAACCCTATCTCTACCAAAAAAAACCTCCCAAAACCAGAAAACACAACAAAAATTAGCCAGGTATGGTGGTATGCTCCTGTGGTCCTACCTACTCAGAGGCTGTGGTGGTAGGATCGCTTGAGTCTGGGAGGTTGAAAGACTCTGTCAGAAAAAAAAAAAGTAGAAACACAGGAAGGGGAAGAGGGTTCCTAAATGGTACAAGAGAAAGAACTTGGTCTTTGGTGTCAGGCAGGTCTTGTTACAACTTTGGCTGGCTCTGCCATTTAGCAGTTAGTTGACCTCAGGCAAACTACTTAAACTCTACAAACCTCAGATTTCTCATCTGTAAAGTGGATGCAGTAATATATACCCCATAGAATTCCTGGGAGGATTAAGTATGATGAAATATAACCATACAACTAGGATTCATGGGATATGATCAGCATTGTACCAAGTGTTTTATTTTATTTTTGAGACAGGGTCTTCCTCTGTCACCCAGGCTGGAGTGCAGTGGCCTGAACATGGGTCACTGCAGCCTCGACCTCTTGAACTCAAGCAGTCCTCGCACCTCAGCCTCCCGAGTAGCTGAGACTACAGGCATGTGCCACCATGCCCAGCTAATTTTTTGGATTTTTTTTTTTTGTAAAGATGGGGTCTTGCTATATTCCCCAAGCTGGTCTCAAACTCCTGGGCTCAAGCAATCCTCCCACCTTGGCCTCACAAAGTACTGGGATTATAGGTATGAGCCACCACACCCAGCCCTGTACAGAGTATTTTTTTTTTTTTGAGACGGAGTCTCGCTCTGTCACCTAGGCTGGAGTACAGTGGCACAATCTCCGCTCACTGCAAGCTGCGCCTCCTGGGTTCACGCCATTCTCCTGCCTCAGCCTCCCGAGTAGCTGGGACTACAGGCACCTGCCACCACGCCTGGCTAATTTTTTGTATTTTTAGTAGAGATGGGGTTTCACCATGTTAGCCAGGATGGTCTCGATCTCCTGACCTTGTGATCCGCCTGCCTCGGCCTCCCAAAGTGCTGGGATTACAGGCGTGAGCCACCTGCCCGGCCATGTACAGAGTATTTTAATTAAGGCAATTTACTTAATCTTTACAACAACGCTTTGAGGCAGGTATGCTCATCATTACTATTTTACAGATGAGCAAACTAAGGCTTAGAGAGATTAAGCGACTTGCCCTTGGTTACACAGTCAGCCCATGGCAGAGCAGGAATTCAAACTCAGGAAGTATGAATCCACAGTATAAGCTCTCATCTGCTTTTACTGTGTTACCTTCCTATGTGAAAAAGACTTGGAAGTTGGAGTTATATACAAGCTTGATAGGATTCTACAAGTATAGCAGCTTGCAAAAGGCCCTAAATTCAGATTTAGGGTACATTTATACAAAAATGGCATCCAGTGCATATATTCTGTGCTGTTTTGATTGCATCTGCAGTATTGTGTTCAAATTTGAATGATACATTTTATTTTTTATTTTTGCTGAGACGGAGTTTCACTCTTGTTGCCCAGGCTGGAGTGCAGTGGCACAATCTCGGCTCACTGCAACCTCTGTATCCTGGGTTCAAGCGATTCTACTGCCTCAGCCTCCCTAGTAGTGGGATTACAGGTGCCCACCATCACACCCGGCTAATTTTTTGTATTTTTAGCAGAGATGAGGTTTCACCATGTTGGCCAGGCTGATCTCGACTCCTGACCTCAGGTGATCCACCTGCCTTGGCCTCCCAAAGTACTGGGATTACAGGCGTGAGCCACCGCGCCCAGCCCGGATGATACCTTTTAACAGAGATACTGAGAAATGGAAATAACTACGATGATGACAGAGGTTGGAAATAGTCGCAAGAGAGAAACAGCTGAAAATGTTTTGGTTTGATGAAGGCATGCAAGGGGTCAGAGAGGTAGATGTCTTTGGGAAAGGCTGTCCAGATAGGTTGACAGTACCTTGAGTCCTCTTAGTTCTTGGTCTTGCAGGTGCAAGGATTTCACTTTATCAGTTAATTAGTATTCAGAGTTGATCTTGGCAACTGACTCATTCTAACCAAACTTGTAAGAGACTGTTGCATATACCAGAATGCCAATTAATTAACTTAAAATTAGGAACATAAGCACCAAACAGATTTTATACATGTATTTGTTGATCAGAGCATCTTGTTTTTCTAGGAGTTTTATCTTCTGTCAGCAAATATACATAAAAACTGTGGGCCGGGCATGGTGGCTCACGCCTGTAATCCCAGCACTTTGGGAGGCCAAGGTGGGTGGATCACCAGAGGTCAGGAGTTTGAGACCAGCCTGGCCAACATGGTGAAACCCCGTCTCTACTAAAAATACAAAAATTAGCTGGATGTGGTGGCAGATGCCTATAATCCCAGCTACTCAGGAGGCTGAGTCAGGAGAATTGCTTGAAGCTTGGGAGGCGGGCAAAGGTTGCAGTGAGCCGAGATCATGCCACTGCGCTCCTTGCTGGGCAACAGAGTGAGAATCCATCTCAAAAAAGAAAACAAAACCAAACCCAAAAACTGTGGTAGGCTAAAAGTTGTTAGCTTGCAGGTAGGGTAAAACTGCAGACTCTTCTCAATTTCTGATTTAAAGTCATGGTCAAAAACTGATATCTCATATTTCATTCACTGATTTTATTAACTTGATTTATATCTCATTTTATTAATTTGTTTTATTCACATTTTATATGTGGTTTTGAACATTTGTATCTTGTCAAATCTGCAATGTAAACAAATATAAACAAATCTGCAAATTGTTTATATGCTTTACCCATTTTTTAACTGGGTTATTTTTAATTGAATAGTAGATTTTCTACTGGGTTGTTTCTTATTGATCGATATGTTCTTTTTTTTCTTTAAGACGGAGTCTCGCTCTGTTGCCCAGGCTGGAGTGCAGTGACACAATCTTAGCTCACTGCAGCCTCTGCTTCCCGGGTTCAAGCAATTCTCCTGCCTCAGCCTCCCGAGTAGCTGGGACTACAGGTGCTCACCACTACATCCAGCTAATTTTTTTGTATTTTTAGTAGAGACAGGGTTTTGCCATGTTGGCCAGGTGGTCTTGAACTCCTGACCTCAGGTGATCTGTCTGCCTCAGCCTCCCAAAGTGCTGGGATTACAGGCGTGTGCCATGCGCCTGGCCTGATCAATAGGTTCTTTATATAAACATATATCTAAAATATTCAGCTAAATTTAGATAATTCAGATAAAATGTTATATATATAATATGTATAAATAATAAAATAGGCCGGGAGCGATGGTTCACACCTGTAATCCCAGCACTTTGGGAGGCCAAGGCAGGTGGATCACCTAGGTCAGGAGTTCAAGACCAGCCTGGCCAACATGGTGAAACCCCGTCTCTACTTAAAATACAAAAATTAGCTGGGCGTGGTGGCACGTGCCTGTAATCCCAGCTACTTGGGAGGCTGAAGCAAGAGAATTACTTGAACCCAGGAGGTGCAGGTTGCAGTGAGCCGAGATGGCGCCATTGCACTCCAGCCTGGGCAACAAGAGCAAAACTCCATCTCCATAACTAAAATTAAAAAACAAAATAAAGTGAGGTATAAAATTTTGTTACACCAGTTGCAAATATTTTATGTAATAATTCAGTTACTTCTCGACTTTTTGTACCTTCTGTCATACGTGAATGCATTTGGCTCTCTGTTTTGTTAAGATAGCTTTCTCCCTCCAAGGTTTTAAATATATTTTCTCACATTTTTTCTGTTATTCTTTTTTTTTTTTTTGAGACAGAGTTTCGCTCTTTTTGCCCAGGCTGGAGTGCAATGGTGCCATCTCGGCTCACTGCAACCTCCGCTTCCAGGGTTCAAGTGATTCTCCTGCTTCGGCCTCCTGAGTAGCTAGGATTACAGGCACCCGTCACCATGCCCGGCTAAATTTTATTTTTGTATTTTTTTATTTTATTATTATTATTATACTTTAAGTTTTAGGGTACATGTGCACAATGTGCAGGTTACATATGTATATATGTGCCATGCTGGTGTGCTGCACCCATTAACTTGTCATTTAGCATTAGGTATATCTCCTAAAGCTATCCCTCCCCTCTCCGCTCCCCCCACAACAGTCCCCAGAGTGTGATGTTCCCCTTCCTGTGTCCATGTGTTCTCATTGTTCAATTCCCACCTATGAGTGAGAATATGCAGTGTTTGGTTTTTTGTTCTTGTGATAGTTTACTGAGAAAGATGATTTCCAATTTCATCCATGTCCCTACAAAGGACATGAACTCATCATTTTTTATGGCTGCATAGTATCCCATGGTGTATATGTGCCACATTTTCTTAATCCAGTCTATCATTGTTGGACATTTGGGTTGGTTCCAAGTCTTTGCTATTGTGAATAGTGCCACACTAAACATATGTGTGCATGTGTCTTTATAGCAGCATGATTTATAGTCCTTTGGGTATATACCCAGTAATGGGATGGCTGGGTCAAATGGTATTTCTAGTTCTAGATCCCTGAGGAATCGCCACACTAACTTCCACAAGGGTTGAACTAGTTTACAGTCCCACCAACAGTGTAAAAGTGTTCCTATTTCTCCACATCCTCTCCAGCACCTGTTGTCTCCTGACTTTTTAATGATGGCCATTCTAACTGGTGTGAGATGGTATCTCATTGTGGTTTTGATTTGCATTTCTCTGATGGCCAGTGATGGTGAGCATTTTTTCATGTGTTTTTTGGCTGCATAAATGTCTTCTTTTGAGAAGTGTCTGTTCATGTCCTTTGCCCACTTTTTGATGGGGTTGTTTGTTTTTTTCTTGTAAATTTGTTTGAGTTCATTGTAGATTCTGGATATTAGCCCTTTGTCAGATGAGTAGGTTGCGAAAATTTTCTCCCATTCTGTAGGTTGCCTGTTCACTCTGATGGTAGTTTCTTTTGCTGTGCAGAAGCTCTTGAGTTTAATTAGATCCCATTTGTCAATTTTGGATTTTGTTGCCATTGCTTTTGGTGTTTTAGACATGAAGTCCTTGCCCATGCCTATGTCCTGAATGGTAATGCCTAGGTTTTCTTCTAGGGTTTTTATGGTTTTAGGTCCAACATTTAAGACTTTAATCCATCTTGAATTAATTTTTGTATAAGGTGTAAGGAAGGGATCCAGTTTCAGCTTTCTACATATGGCTAGCCAGTTTTCTCAACACCATTTATTAAATAGGGAATCCTTTCCCATTTTTTTTTTTTTTTTTTTTTTTTTTTTTTGTATTTTCAGTGGAGACGGGGGTTTCCTCATGTTGGCCAGGCTGGTCTTGATCTCCTGACCTCAGGTGATCCACCCCCCTCACTCTCCCAAAGTGCTAGGATTACAGGCGTGGGCCACTGCTCCCGGCCTTGGTTATTCTTCTAAAAACTACATTTTAAATACAATTGGAGGCGCTGCTCTGGGCCCAGTCCCGGCCCGGCGCGAGTAGGAGGAGGAGCTGCGGTGGCTGCGGCCACTCGCGCAGGTCGGCGGTGCTGCTGGTCCCCGGGCAGAGGAGGCGTGGGCGGCTCCGGGACCACGGAGCCTGGTGACGCGGCGCTCCCCTGCCCGGGTCGGGTTGCCCAGGCGCCGCCGCGGCGGCTGCTGCTGCTGCTGCCGCTGCTGCTGGGTAGGGGACTTCGAGTAACGGCCGAGGCCTCGGCCTCCTCCTCTGGGGCGGCGGTCGAGAACAGCAGCGCCATGGAGGAGCTCGTCACTGAGAAGGAGGCGGAAGAGAGCCACCGGCCAGACAGTGTGAGCCTGCTCACCTTCATCCTGCTGCTCACGCTGGCCATCCTCACCATATGGCTCTTCAAGTACTGCCGGGTGCACTTTCTGCATGAGACCGGGCTGGCCATGATCTGTGGGCTCATCGTTGGGGTGATCCTGAGGTATGGTACCCCTGGCACCAGGGGCCGTGACAAATTACTCAATTGCACTCAAGAAGATCAGGCCTTCAGCACTTTAGTAGTGGATGTCAGCGGTAAATTCTTCGAATACACCCTGAAAAGAGAAATCAGCCCTGGCAAGATCAACAGCGTAAAGCAGAATGACATGCTAGGGAAGGTAACATTCGACCCATAGGTATTTTTCAACATTCTTCTGCCTCCAGTTATTTTCCATGCTGGATACAGCTTAAAGAGACACTTTTTTAGAAATCTTGGGTCACTCCTTCTTGGGGACTGCTGTTTCGTGCTTCCGTATTGGAAATCTCAGGTATGGTATGGTGAAGCTCATGAGGATTATGAGACAGCTCTCAGATAAATTTTACTACACACATTGTCTCTTTTTTAGAGCAATCATCTCTGCCACTGACCCAGTGACTGTGCTGGTGATATCAATGAATTGCATGCAGACATGGATCTTTATGTACTTCTGTTTGGAGAGAGCATCCTAAATGACGTTGTTATGTTGTACTTTCCTCATCTATTGTTGGCTACCAGCCAGCAGGACTGAACTTCAACTCACGCCTTTGATGCTGCTGCCTTTTTAAAGTCAGTTGGCATTTTTCTAGGTATATTTAGTGGCTGTTTTACCATGGGAGCTGTGACTGGTGTTGTGACTGCTTTAGTGACCAAGTTTACCAAACTGGACTGCTTTCCCCTGCTGGAGACGGCGCTCTTCTTCCTCATGTCCTGGAGCACGTTTCTCTTGGCAGAAGCTTGCGGATTTACAGGCGTTGTAGCTGTCCTTTTCTGTGGAATCACACAAGCTCATTACACCTTCAACAATCTGTCGGTGGAATCAAGAAGTCGAAGCAAGCAGCTCTTTGAGGCAGAGAACTTCATCTTCTCCTGCATGATCCTGGCGCTATTTACCTTCCAGAAGCACGTTTTCAGCCCTGTTTTCATCATTGGAGCTTTTGTTGCTGTCTTCCTGGGCAGAGCCGCCCATATCTACCCGCTCTCTTTCTTCCTCAGCTTGGGCAGAAGGCATAAGATTGGCTGGAATTTTCAACACACGATGATGTTTTCAGGCCTCAGGGGAGCAATGGCATTTGCGTTGGCCATCTGTGACACGGCATCCTATGCTCGCCAGATGACGTTCCCCACCACGCCTTTCATCGTGTTCTTCACCATCTGGATCATTGGAGGAGGCACGACACCCATGTTGTCATGGCTTAATATCAGAGTTAGCATCAAGGAGCCCTCCAAAGAGGACCACAACGAACACCACCGACAGTACTTCAGAGTTGGTGTTGACCCTGATCAAGATCCACCACCCAACAATGACAGCTTTCAAGTCTTACAAGGGGACAGCCCAGATTCTGCCAGAGGAAACTGGACAAAACAGGAGAGCACATGGATATTCAGGCGGTGGTACAGCTTTGATCACAATTACCTGAAGCCCATCCTCACACACAGCGGCTCCCCGCTAACCACCACTCTCCCGCCTGGTGGAGACACAGCGGCTCCCCGCTAACCACCACTCTCCTGCCTGGTGTAGACAAAGCGGCTCCCCGCCAACCACCACTCTCCCGCCTGGTGTAGCTTGCTAGCTTGATGTCTGACCAGTCCCCAGGTGTACGATAACCAAGAGCCACTGAGAGAGGGAAACTCTGATTTTATTCTGACTGAAGGCGACCTCACATTGACCTATGGGGACAGCACAGTGACTGCAAATGGCTTCTCAGGTTCCCACACTGCCTCCACGAGTCTGGAGGGCAGCTGGAGAATGAAGAGCAGCTCAGAGGAAGTGCTGGAGCAGGACGTGGGAATGGGAAACCAGAAGGTTTCGAGCCAGGGTACCCGCCTAGTGTTTCCTCTGGAAGATAATGTTTGACTTTCCCTGCAAACCCTGGCACGATGGGGTAGGCTCCCAATGGGGTGAGGATGGCTTCAAGCCCTAATGTTGCTTGAGGTGGGGCAGTGACTAGATTGAATTAACTCTTCTATTTTATTGGGGTCTGAAGTTATTGTAACACTTAAAATTTAACTCATGATGCAGATGGTGAGGCAAAAGTGTCTCTAAATTCAGACAAATGTAGACCTATTTCTACTTTTTTTCACACAGTAGTGCGCTGTTTCAGAGTTAAACAAACAAAAAAATAGCATACTTTAATGGTCTCTTAATTCATTCACCTGCAGTGTCTGAACAAGGCAGGGCAGGTGCTGAGTGGGGGGCTTCCTCTTACAAGAGGTTGCATCTCAGTACACAGTGGTGCAAGTCAAGCTGACCATAGAAATATCAAGTTAGGGGAGAACAGGCTGGAAGAAAGATTGAGAAGGAAGGCAATTGAGATAGGACCTCCAAGGATTATGGGAAACTGTTGTTAAATGGAACAGAAAACATGAAAAAATAATATGAGTGGAGGCTCTGGCAAGGAAGGCTGTGTGACTGCAACCTCATATCAGGATTCCTGACTTTTATGCTACCTGTGTTTCTTCTAGACTGAAGATTTGAAAATATATCCATGAACATTTCAACATGAAACAAAGAATTATAGTTCCTTCTCTGGAGATGTCCATAAAGAAGTAATTATGATATGTTTAAAACCAGACCGGGTGTGGGGGCTCACGCCTGTAATCCCAGCACTTTGGGAGGCCGAGGCCGGCGCATCATCTGAGGTCAGGAGTTCAAGACCAGCCTGGCCAACATGGTGAAACCCCGTCTCTACTAAAAAATACAAATATTAGCCAGGCGTGGTGGCAAGCACCTTAATCCCAGCTACTTGGGAGGCAGAGGCAGGAGAATCGTTTGAACCCAGGAGGCTGAGGTTGCAGTGAGCCCAGATAAAGCCACTGCACTCAAACGTGGGGAACAAGAGTGAGACTTCTCTCAAAAAATAAATAAATAAATAAAATAATATAAAATAAACCAAAGGCAAATAGTGTTACACTGTTAATTTTTAGTTAATCTGAAGAAAGGAGGTATTTAGAAACTGATGATGGTATCACTGCAAAAAGCATTAAACTTTTGAGGGCTACCATATGAGCTGACAGCCTAGGAAATAATTAGTAAGACTGAGGTATCTACTGTGGGTTTAGAAATAACACCAAATTTTGTAGGATGCTATTATCTGGGGAAGAGAAGGCAGCAAGAAACCTACAAGGCAACAGGCTAGAAATCAGAGGGAAAGAAATCTCTATGCAAAAAATTAACTGCAAAGAAATACAAGATGGTAGTCTCAAGACCGGGTAGAATTCTGAACTTTGAGCTGTCGAATGCATGAGATTTCAGTGGCCACATGAGGAATCAGTGGGAAGTCAATGGAACGTTAAGTATTTTCAACCCACTAGAAGGTCCTGTCTTCTATAAGTTTAAGAATCTAAGTGTCTTTATGCCATTGAGTGCGGTGCAGAGAAGGGTCATTTTCCCTTTATCTGGGGAGGCTGCTTCACCAGCCTACCATGTGGGTGTGATTTGAAAGTTAGGTTTTCAGTTTGGGTTCTTTCTGGATGAGCTGTTCTGTCCGCCCACACCTGTAGTGCTGAAATACTGAAAGATCTCTCCGGAAAAGTTTGAGTTTCTCCCCATGTTTCTGTGCTTCAGCAATAGCATTTTTTTGGCAACCCAATTTCTAAAAAATGCTTTCAATAATGTGGGCATTTTCTTATTATGGCAGAAAAAATAGTGTCCCAGTCTAGTCTACCATAATGAAATCAGCCATTTAATCTTCTCAATTTGCATGTTTAATGGTTAATTTTTAAATAAGACATTGCTTCACATCTTTTTTTTTTTTTTTTTTTTTTGAGATGGAGTCTTGCTCTTTCGCCCGGGCTGGAGTGCAGTCGTGCAACCTCGGCTCGCTGCAATCTCTGCGCCCCCAGGTTCACGTGATTCTCCTGCCTCAGCCTCCCTAGTAGCTGGGATTGCAGGCACCCACCACCACACCTGGCTAATTTTGTATTTTTAGTAGAGATGGGGTTTTGCCATGTTGGCCAGGCTGGTCTTGAACTGCTGACCTCAGGTGATCCACCTGCCTTGGCCTCCCGAAGTGCTAGGATTACAGGCATGAGCCACCATGCCCGGCCTGCGTCATAACTTTGTGTTTGAATTGATAATTTGTGCAAATCAGGAAAATATATATTTAATTAAGTTGAGCCATATGAATTTGCTGATATTCAACCATTTTGTAAAAACAGGAGTGGCAATTTCATATGGTTCAATAAAATAAAATTGAGGCCGGGCACAGTGGCTTACACCCATAATCCCAACACTTTGGGAGGCTGAAGCAGGAGGATCGCTTGAGCTCAGGAGTTTGAGACCAGACTGAGCAACATGGCAGAACTCTGTCTCTACAAAAATACAAAAATGAGACAGGCATGGTGGCACATACCTTTAGTTCAGTTCTAGGTGATTGGGAGGCTGAGGTGGGAGGATCGCTTGAACCCAAGAGGCAGAGGATGCAGTGAGCCAAGATCATACCACTGGAAACCAGTCTGGGCAACAGAGTGAGAACCTGTCTCAAACAAACAAACAAACTGGAATTTATTTTTATGTATGGTATGAGAAAGGGATTTGTTTTTTTTTTTTTTTTTTTTTTTTTTTGATATGGAGTCTTACTCTGTTGCCCAGGCTGGAGTGCAGTGGCGCCATCTTGGCTCACTGCAACTTCTGCCTCCTTTCCTTTGTTCAAGCGATTCTCTTGTCCCTGAGTAGCTGGGATTACAGGCACCGGCCACCACGCCCAGCTATTTTTTGTATTTTTAGTAGAGACAGGGTTTCACCATGTTGGCCAGGCTGGTCTCAAACTCCTGACCTCAGGCATTCTGCCCCCCTTGGCCTCCGAAAGTGCTGGGATCACAGGCATGAGCCACTGTGCCCAGTCTGAGAAAGGGATTTAATTTACTTTTTTTCTTCCAAATGGATAGCTCCTTGTCCCAACACTCTCTATTAGTCTGTCATTTCCCAAGTGATTTTAAATGTCTCCTTTAACATATACTAAGATTACACACACACACACACACACACACACACACACATACACACAAATGGACACATATATGTGTGTGTGTGTATATATATTTTTCTGGACTTTTAAATTCTATTGTATTGATCCATTGGTCTGTTTTTCACAGTACTATTTCAATTATTGTGACTTTACAACATAGTTAACATCTGGTAAAGTTCTTTCTCTAATGAATCTTAACTTTTTTTGGCCCAACTCATAGATGAACTTTAAAATTAACTTGCCAATTCTATAAAATATGCTGTTGGAATTTTGATAAAATTATATTACATTTATTATTTAATTTGGGGGCATAATATCTGTATATTATTGAGTCTTTTCATCTAGAAATATCTTTTATGGCCTTCATTAAAATTATATGGTTATCCTCAAGAATTTTCTTTTCTTTTTTTTTGAGACAGGGTCTCACTCTGTCACCCAGGCTGGAGTGGAGTGGCACAATTTCTGCTCACTCAACTTCCTAGGCCCAGGTGATCCTCCCACCGCAGCCTCCCAAGTAGCTGGGACTATAGGCATGTGCCACCACACCTGGCTGATTTTTTGTAGAGACTGGGTTTCGCTACATTGCCCAGGCTGTTCTTGAACTCCTGGACTCAGGTGATCCGCCCATGTCAGCCTCCCAAAGTGCTAGGGTTACAGGCATGAGCTACCATGCCTGGCAACAGCTTTCATATTTGTAAGTTTTTTTTCCTAGGTAACCCAAGGTCTATTGAAATTGCATATAGCTTTCTTTTCTATTACATATTTAAATAGATTTTTTCTGATTTTAGAAAAGCTGTAGATTTTTATATGTTAATCTTGTTTCCTTTCTGAAAGTTTTTATTAGCCCATATAGATTTATGTGATTCACTGGATTTTCTAGGTATAAATCTACCTTGCCAATATTCATACTTATTTCTTTTTTTTCTGGTATTTTTACGTTGCCTGGTAACTCTAGGAAAATGTCTACTATTGATGATAAAAGTAAGCATCATTATGTGTTGTTTCTGAGTTCTATGGAGATGTGGTCTAATGTTTTGTTCTTCAGAATAATGTTTGGAGATTGGCAAAATGTTGATTATTGTTGAAGATGAGTGACAGGTCCATAGCGGCCATTAATCTATTTTCTCTATGCTTGTGTATGTTTGAAAATTTCCATAATAAAAGAGTTAAATTCTACAAAGAGTCAAATTTAAAAAAAGAACAAGACTTGTTTTAGGTTTTTGTTAGAAACCCCTTTTCAGGCTGCGTGTGGTGGCTCACACCTGTAATCCCAGCACTTTGGGAGGCTGAGGCGGGCAGATCACCTGAAGTCAGGAGTTTGAGACCAGCCTGGCCAACATAGTGAAACCTTGTCTCGATTAAAAATACAAAAATTAGCTGGGCGTGGTGGTGGGCATCTGTAATCCCAGCTACTTGGGAGGCTGAGGCAGGAGAATTGCTTGCATCCGGAAGGTGGAGGTTGCAGTGAGCTGAAATCACACCATTGCACTCCAGCCTGGGTGACAGAGTGAGACTCTATCTAAAAAAAAAAAAGAAAAGAAAAAGAAAATATCTTTTCCTAGTTTATTGTAAATTATTTTATTAGAAGTGGATGGAGAATTAATTGTATCATCAGAAAAATATCTTTTAAAAGAAAAGGTATCACAGGAGCCATCCATCTCAGAAAAGCAAGGAAAAAAAATATGAGACTTTCAATATTAAAAATGACCAAATATTTAGATTTGCTTCTCTCTCTTTCTTTTCATTAACTGACGCTTACCATTAGAGGAGAGGTGACTCTAGGGCCTAGCATATTGCTGAAAACACAGAAGGGAATAAATAAATTATGTATCGTCGGAGGTTTTTACTGGGGAGAGAGCTGTAGGTAATTGTTGCACCACACAGATGCTCCCTCCAGGACTGAAGGACTTACCCCTCCAGCTGCTGGGATTATAGTTGGCTGACACTCTCCAGCAGCTGGCAGTTTCCAGGAACTGCCTGTGGCTGAAGAGAACCACCTTACTCAAAGTTCTACCCTCCTCCTAGGGGCAGCTGCATCCAATGACTGGCCTATGTGGAGGTATAAATCCATCTTGCCAATATTCATACTTATTTACATAATTTACAATATTCATACTTAAAGATTCTGTGCCCTTACCCAACTCAGGATAGGCTAAAAGAACTAGCCCAGCTTGGCCGGGTGCACTGGCTCACGCCTGTAATCCTAGCACTTTGGGAGGCCGAGGCGGGCGGATCACGAGGTCAGGAGATTGAGACCATCCTGGCTAACACAGTGAAAACCCATCTCTACTAAAAAATACAAAAAAATTAGCAGGGCATGGTGGCAGGCGCCTGTAGTCCCAGCTACTTGGGAGGCTGAGGCAGGAGAATGGCATGAATCCGGGAGGCGGAGCTTTTGGTGAGCCGAGATCGCGCCACTGCACTCCAGCCTGGGTGACAGAGCGAGACTCCGTCTCAAAAAAAAAAAGAAAAAAATTAGTTGGGCGTGGTAACGCACGCCTGTAATCCCAGCTACTTGGGAGGCTGAGACAAGAGAATCACTCGAACCCGGAAGGCAGAGGCTGCAGTGAGCCTGCCACTGCACTCCAGCCTGGGCGACAGAGTGAGACTCTCTCTGCAAAAAAATAAAAATTAAAAAATGATAAAATGTTGCCAGGCGTGGTGGCTCACGCCTATCATCCCAGCACTTTGGGAGGCCGAGGTGGGTGGATCACTTGAGCTCAGGAGTTTGAGACCAGCCTTGGCAACATGGCGAAACGCTGTCTCTATTAAAATAAACAAAAAACAAAGAACAAAAATTCGCTGGGTGTGGTGGTGGGCGCCTGTAGTCCCAGCTACTCAGGAGGCTGTAGTGGGAGGATCGCTTGAGCCTGGGAGGCAACGAGCTGAGATTGCGCCACTGCACTCCAGCCTGGGCGACAGAGGAAGACCCTGTCTCAAACAAACAAACAAGCAAAATAACATGTGAATGCATATTTGCATAACAATTAACTTTCCATTAAAAATCCTCAAGAATTTTTTCACTGTTCATTGTGTTCTGTCGTAGTTATTGTTTGTTTCCTATATTTGAAATTCTTTGCAGTCTTTTTCCTTAGCATCCTTGTCTTGTTTCCTCTTTGTCCCTGTGTGTATTTTTAAAGCTTTCTCTTCGCAATGGTAAAGTCAGCAGCTGGCTCTAACTCCTGTTTAGATACCAGTTGGAGGCCTTCGTTGAATGAAAGAAGATCCATTAAAAGAAGAAGTAATTATGCATCTTGTTTATTTGGTAACAGGCAATTACCTTAAGTCTTACGGTCTCAGAATGTCTAATTGATCAGCATTCTCTGATTTTAAAAGGTTTGTGTTTTTAAAGTTTACAACTCAGCTATTTGAACTTGAAATACATTTTCTTGTAGAAACTGCAATAAAATGGTGTTTAAGACTCCTAGACCAGCCCATTGAAGCCCATAATACAGCAGAAATGTTTTACTGTCATTAGAAATAATTAGAAACATTTCCAATGATAGTTTTACAAAAGGAATACATTTAAAGAATAGAAACATAAACTGAGAAAAGGGTGTAAAAATAGATGAATGTTGATGCTTGAGGAAAAGCAAGCACTTAGACAATGAGGAGGGAGATGGCCACATTTGCTGTTTACTGAGCATATTGGTCGGGATTAAGGTCTTTTAATTGGAGGTAGTGAGTTTAGTCTCAGTTCAAAAATGGCATGAGGAGCTGGGCATGGTGGCTCATGCCTGTAATCCCAGCACTTTGGGAGGCCGAAGCAGGCAGATCACTTGAGGTCAGGAGTTTGAGACCAGCCTGGCCAACATGGTGAAACCCCATCTCTACTAAAAATATAAAAATTAGCTAAGTGTGGTGGCGCATGCCTGTAGTCCCAGCTACTCGGGAGGCTGAGGCAGGGGAATCGCTTGAACCTTAGAGGCAGAGGTTGCAGTGAGCTGAGATCACATCGCTGCACTCTGGCCTGGACAACAGAGCGAGACTCTGTCTCAAAAAAAAAAAAAAAAAAAAAAGGCATGAAGAGAATGATTGACAGAAGATTTTCTGGAATGAGACAACCACCCAGAGGCTGGGAGAGGTTGGGAAGGGAGAAGAGGCAATACAGATAGGCAGGTCCGTGCAAAGAAGAGCTTCTGGGAGGTGAAATTAGCTGAGTGAAAAGTGAGAAAAGGCTGGAGCCAGGGGAGAGGGGAGGGTCTCTGGATGCAGGACGTGCTGTGCCAGGATGTGACTGGTTAGTGAGGAAACCTGGTGTCTGTGGGACAGGAGCCCCCATGGGCTGCTTACTTTCTGCTCAGCCACGTCGGGGTTTTCTCTCAGTCATTCTCCCCAGGCTCCCGAGGGCACTTCAGATTTTCTTAGGTGAGGAGTTGGGGGTTGATGGGAGACAAGAGCTTGGAATATTTCTTTGAGAAAATTGGGAGAAATATTGTATTGCCTCATACAATAGTTGTATTGTTTTGTGTGTGTGTGTGTGTGTGTGTGTGTGTAAGAGAGAGAAACATCTTCCCACAGAGGAATTATACTGCCTTTCCTGGGAGGTACTAATACCTTCAGTGTGGCTGGTACCAGGAGACCCGACTGTGCAGTAAGAATGAAGTAGGGAGCGTGATGCATTATAGGAAATTAAGCCAACTAGTTTATTCCTGTTCAAAATGTTTGTTTTTGTTTTGCTTGAAATAAATTAGTTGTAAATAGAAGTCTAAATAAAACACAACTCCAGGAAAGAATGAAATCTCACAATGGTGCAACCACTGCTTAATAATTTCCTGCTTGTCTCCAAATGGACCAATTGCAGAAGGATTGGGGGAGATTTCATCTTACAACATGTTATGACAGAGAAGGAAGGGTTAAGAAATCATTCCATCTCATTGCCACATGTCTGGTGTACTTACAATAACTAGAGATTTTCTGGGATGCCCTCAATTCAAATATTCTGTTATGTTGACTTATGTACATTCCTACTTGTCAGATTGCAGCTCCCAAGTTCTGTTCAGAAGGTAGAGTTGGCATAGAAGTTCAGTAGCAGATTCCTAGCTGGTGTTCTCAACCCGACTCCTCTCTTCTATTAGAAGATGTTATCTATTAGATATTATCATTTATTTTTGTTTAAACAAAACAAAACGCTTATATGTGCCAATGCTTACAGAAACTCTGTAAGTTACAGAAATTTTGATAGTTCTCTATTATACATTGCAACAAGCCCAGACTTTTTTTTTTCTAGCATTAGAGAATTTGTCCTACTTAGGTAACTTTCTTTCTCCTGCTTCCTGGACACCCACCTTTTGTGCCAATCAAGTAGCTCTGTTCTCTTTTCCCTGCAACTGCCCTATTCATTCCTATCTGCTTTGCTTCCTTTCTATGTCTAAGTTTCTCTCCTGGGATGCTTTCCTCCTTTCTTTACTTATTAGAACTAAACTCACTTGTAAAATCTTAGCTGGAGTCTGACATCAAGCGAAACAAAGCACAGTATAGAGCTCATAGAGAATAGAAGATCTTTGTTCTTAAAGGGCCCTAGATGAGCCACTGCAAATGTGATCAGTATATTGAATGTACTGGCCTTGGGTGCTGTGTTAGTCTGCATTCTCCAGAGAAACAGAACAAGAGGAGTTCTATCAAGAGACTTACTATAAAGAATTAGCTCACATGATTATGGAGACAGAGAAGTCCCAAGATCTGCAGTCAGCAAGCTGGAGACCCAGGAGAGATGGTAATGTATTTCCAGTCCAAGTTTGAAGACCTGAGAACCAGGAGCACTGGTAGTGTAAGTTCTAGTCTGAGTCCAAGTCCAAAGGCAGGAGAAGACTGACTTTGCAGCTTGAAGACAGGCAGAGAACTAATTATTATTATTATTTTTCTCAACTTTTTATTCTACTAAGATCTTCAACAGATTGGATGAAGCCCACCCAAAGCAATCTGCTTTACTACCCTACTACCCTACTAATTTAATTTTTTTTTTTTTGAGACGGAGTCTTGCTCTGTCACCCAGGCTGGAGTGCAGTGGCACGATCTCTCTCTGCTCACTGCAACTTCTGCCTCCCAGGTTCAATCGATTCTCCTGCCTCACCCTCCTGAGTAGCTGGGATTACAGGCATGCACCAGCACGCCAGGAAAATTTTTGTAATTTTAGTAGAGATGGGGTTTCACCATGTTGGCCAGGCTGATACCAAATTCCTGACCTCAGGTTATCCGCCTGCCTCAGCCTCCCAAAGTGCTGGGATTACAGGTGTGAGCCACCGCACCCGGCCTAATTCAAATGTTATTTTCACCTCGAAACATCCTCACAGACACACCAGAAGTAATGTTTAATCTGGGCACTCCATGGCCCAGTCATGTTGACACAAAAATTAACCATCACATTGGCTGAGTGCGGTGACTCACGCCTGTAATCCCAGCATTTTATGAGGATGAGGTGGGTGGATCACCTGAGGTCAGGAGTTTGAGACCAGCCTGGCCAACATGATAAAACCCCATCTCTCCTAAAAATACAAAATTAGCCGGGTGTGGTGGTGCATGCCTGTAATCCCAGCTACTTGGGAGGCTGAGGCAGGAGAATTACTTGAATCTGAGAGGCAGAGGTTGCAGTGAGCTGAGATTGCACCATTGCATTCAAGCCTAGGCTACAAGACCAAAACTCCATCTCAAAAACAAACAATCAAAAACAATGAAAAAACAAAATTAACCATCACAGGTGCTATTCCAGCAGGAAACCATTGTATTCTTTGTCACCATTGCCTTCTAATAAAATCCTCAAATAAACTTCATTCCAACATCCTGGATGGTGTCTCAGGCAGAGCCGTTTGTTTTTCTGGACATTAGGGATCAGGATAGTTTCAGCTATTATAAATTTCAGCCTGATCTGAATAAAAACTTTAATCACATCTCTAATTAAAAGGCTTTCTTTCCTTATTCTCCCAGAGGCTTGAAGTAGGAAAGGAGGAGGTAAGATTTGCCTTTTTCTTCCATTCTCCACCTCTTGCCTCACTTGCTAGATGCTCTGGGGTTAGCCAGGTAGGAAGGGCTAGAATTTAAGAGCTATATATATGTATATTTTTTAACCTAGCCAGTCCTAGTCTCCAAAAACCTCCTGTGTAGCAAACATCCAAATACTGATAATTTTTCAATAAGGGGTTTTGTGGGTTCTTTGGAGACTCTCTGTTGGAGACCTCTGATAGCGCAAAATTTCCTGATATGGTGAGGTCCTCTCTTGCTGCCCTCTTATGACATGCCCTCGTCCCTACTTCAGCAGTTTACAGTACGTCACCTCTTTCTGGCTGGACACTGGTCAGCAGCCTTCTTGGGTGGGGTCTCTGCAGCATCTGCTCTGCATTTTGCCTCACTAAGCTCTGAAAGTGTGATGCTCTCTCTTTCTTCTTCATTATAGACAGCGCCAGCCAGCCTCTCCCTCTTGGACTTTTCTAGGGGAGAATCAGGCACCAGTCTCTGCACTTCCCGAACTCCAGGGAACACAGGTCAGTCCTCTGTGGTAGGCAGAATAATTGTGTCTCACAGATGTCCACACCCTGATCTCTGGAACCTGTGAATATGTTACCTTACCTGGCAAAAGGGGCTTTGCAGATGTGATTGAGGTTATGGACCTTGAGTGGGGGAGATTATCCTGGATTATCTATGTGGCCCCAGTCTAATTAACTCACCACAGGTGTCCTTAAAAGTGGGGCACCTTTTTAGATGGCTATAGTCAGGGAGAGAGATGTGACTACAGAAAAAGGGCAGAGACATATGACATGAGAAATACGTTCCCCACCATTGCTGACTTGAAGATGGAGGAAGACAGCCACAGGCCAAGTCAGTGAATAGCCTCTAGGAGCTGATAATGGCCCTGAGCTACAGCCAACAAGAAAGCATGTATCTCGGCCAGGTGTGGTGGCTCATGCCTGTAATCCCAGCACTTTGGGAGGCCAAGGCGGGTGGATCCCTTGAGGGCAGGAGTTCGAGACCAGCCTGACCAACATAGTGAAACTCTGTCTCAACTAAAAATACAAAAATTAGCCAGGCGAGGTGGCAGGCACCTGTAATCTCAGCTACTTGGGAGGCTGAGGCAGGAAACTCGCTTGAACCCAGGAGGTGAAGTTTGCAATGAGCCAAGATTGCGCCATTGCACTCCAGCCTGGGCAACAGAGTGAGACTCTGTCTTGAGAAAAAAAAAAAAAAAAAAAAAAAGAGAAAACATGTATCTCAATCCCACAACTGCAAGTAATTGAATTTTGCCAACAACCTAACTGATCAGGAGACAGATTATTCCATAGAGCTTCTAGAAGTCCGCTTAGTTTGCTGACACCTTGATTTTAGATTCCTACTAGAGATTTAGATTTAGAGATCCCTACTAGATTTCTGTTCTACAGATATACATTTGTGTTGTTTTAAGCCACTAAATTTGTGGCAATTTTTTAATGGCAGCAGTAGAAAACTAATGTACTCTCAGATTTTCTCACTGGGTCTACCAGTTCTGCCTTTTAGTAAGCAGGCAGGTAAGAGGATGGTGAGATGGTGTTCTTTTTTTGGCAGGGACTGTCTGCTTCCATTCTCTACCATTGCTTCTCTTGCGACTCCTCCTGCATGGTTTGGGAAGGCAGCAGAATGTTTTCCTTTTTCTTTTCTTTTTTTTTTTTTTCTTTTTGAGATGGAGTCTCACTCTTGTCGCCCAGGCTGGAGTGCAGTGGTGCGATTTTGGCTCACTGCAACCTCTGCCTCCCGGGTTCAAGTGATCCTCCTGCCTCAGCCTCCCGAATAGCTGGGATTACAGTCATGCACCACCATGCCAACTAATTTTTGTATTTTTAGTAGAGATGGGGTTTCACCATATTGGCTAGGCTAGTCTCAAACTCTTGACCTGAGGTGATCCACCCGCCTGGCCTCCCAAAGTGCTGGGACTGTAATCATGACTATGGGTGTGAGCCACTGCCCCCGGCCAACAGCATGTTTTTTTATACCACGGATTGACAACTTTGTTGTCCTCACTCTTTCTTATATATAGGCTCTAGGCTGGAGGTGGATTTCTTGATGTGTCCAGATCTTACTCTCTTAGTCACAATGTAGAGGCAGGAAAAGTCTCATTTAGCATTGTTGGACACATTTCACAAATCTTTGTCCCTTGTTGTGTGTTTCAGTGCAAGCACATGTAGACCATTTTTAAGCATTTCCGTTCCTCACCAGCTACCTGAATTCCCTCTGCCTGCATGAGGTCTGCTTGATGGAACTCCTGTTACTGATTGTCCTCTGCATTTTAGTGAACACACCTCTGATGTTGGACTATGCACTGTTGGTTCTATTGCCTGTCTGAAATTAATTTTATTTAATCAAAATAAAAACTTTAATCACATCTCTAATTATAAACCTCTCCTCCCATGTTCTCCCAGAGGCTTGAAGTAGGAAAGGAGGAGGTAAGATCTGCCTTTTTCTTCCACTCTCCACCTTTTTTTGTTTGTTGGTTTGTTTTTGAGACTGAGTTTTGCTCTTATTGCCCAGGCTGGAGTGCAATGGCGCGATCTTGGCTCACTGCAACCTCTGCCTCCCGGGTTCAAGCAATTCTCCTGCCTCGTCTCCCTAGTAGCTGGGATTACAGGCACCCACCACCATGCCTGGCTCATTTTTTTTGTATTTTTAGTAGAGACAGGGTTTCACCATGTTGGCCAGGCTGGTTGTGAACTCCGACCTCAGGTGATCCACCCGCCTCAGCCTCTCAAAGTGCTGGGATTACAGGCATGAGCCATCATGCCCAGCCCCACTCTCTACCTCTTGTCTCACTTGCTAGATGCTCTGGGATTAGCTAGGTAGGAGGAGCTAGAAGTTGAGAGCTATTTTTTTTCCTTTCTTTCTTTTTTTTTTTTTAACCTAGCCAGTCCTACTCTGCAAAAACCTCCTGTGCAGCAAACATCCAACGGACCAAGTCAGCTCCTTCAGCACATAGCCAGCAGGACATCATGGCTTATGTCTGAGCGTTCCAGAGCACAAACAGAGCCTCAGGTTTGCAAGGATAGAAGGCACCCTAAAGATCAGTTGTTTCACTGCTTCTCTTCTCCTGCTCTTTGAACTTGAATCCTCCCTCTTCATTGGTCTTCCAGGATACATATATGGCAGATCCTTAGGGGATCTCAGTACTTATTTTTTAAAAAAATATGTAAATGAGTTTTTTTAATGATTAAAAAAATTTTTTTCTTTTTCTTTTTTAATTTTCAAAAATTTTCCATAAGTTATTGGAATACAGGTGGTATTTGCTTATGTGACTAAGTTCTCTTTTTAAATTTTTTTTGAGATGGAATTTCACTCTTGTTGCCCAGGCCAGAGTGCAATGGTGCGGTCTCGGCTCACCGCAACCTCTGCCTCCTGGGTTCAAGTGATTCTTCTGCCTCAGCCTCCTGAGTAGCTGGGATTACAGGTATCCGCCACCACACCTGGCTAATTTTTGTATTTTTAGTAGAGACGGAGTTTCACCATGTTGGCCAGGCTGGTCTCAAACTCCTGACCCCAGGTGATCTGCCTACCTTGGCCTCCCAAAGTGCTGGGGTTACAGGCGTGAGCCACCACGCCCGGCCATGAGTAAATTCTTTGGGGTGATTTGTGTGATTTTGGTGCACCCATCACCCAAGCAGTATACACTGCACCATAGTGGTAGTCTTTTATCCCTCACCCCTCTCTGTCTTCCCACAAGTCGTCAAAGTCCATTGTATCGTTCTTATGCCTTTGCATCCTCATAGCTTAGCTCCCACATATCGGTGAGAACTTACGATGTTTGGTTTTCCATTCCCGAGTTACTTCACTTAAAGTATTAGTCTCCAGTCTCATCCAGGTGACTGCAAATGCTGTTAATTCATTCCTTTTTATGGCTGCATAGTATTCCATCATATATATATATATATATATATATATATATATATATATATATATATATATATATATATACCACAGTTTCTTTATCCACTCATCAATTGATGGGCATTTGGGGTGGTTCCACGATTTTGCAGTTGTAAATTGTACTGCTATAAACATGCGTGTGCAAGTATCTTTTTCGAATAATGATTTCTTCTCTGGTGGCACCTTATTCTGTTATGGAGATTTTCTTTGAGTTCTTTTGAGGGCAGGGAACAAATCTTAACCATTGCGTCAACATCAGCCCCAACTCAGAGCCTGAAGCCTTGCAGGAACTCAGTGAATGAATGAGTGAATGAATGAATGCATATTTTTGAGTCCCAAACTGGCTTCCCTGTAGTTTCCATAAGGTAGTCCTTGGGTAATTCAGAATGATTTAAATCCCCTCTCTACAGCATCACCTTTAACTATAAAAAGCTATCCTGTCCTAATTAAGTGTTTCATTCTGATTTGATATATTTTCAAACCCTTAAATGATATTCCCACACATCAGTTACAACCTTTTCTGTTTTAGTTATATAATCACCTCCTAAAGAATGTTCTGCTTTCTGGAAGACATTCAGCTTGAGGGTGGGGTGGAAGTGATTGTGTAACTATTGCAAAAGCCTGTGGTTTGAATCTTTCCAAAAGTCTTATCTCAGCAGCCCAGACGCAGTACTCTGCCAATAGTCACAGCTTCTCTGTTTCCCATTGTGTCATCTGCAGACAGCCCTGACGAGGGCGGAGAGCTCATATGGAAAGCGTCATGGTGTGTTTTAAGTGTAACAGAATATCAAATGGGACTTTTCATGGTGTCTTGAAATTTTATCTGAATCCCCAAAGTTGAGAGCAAGAGGTGATAATTATCCCCAGATTTCTGAATAGGATATTAGCACAGACATATCCATGCAGAAATTATGAAGCGACAGCAAAACTAGTATGGTGATTATCAACCTCAGTCATATCCTCCAGCTGAAAAGGAGGAAGGGGATTAGAAAGTGGCCTTGGGGTAGGGATAGTGTCATGGCATTTCCTGTTCTCTTCCTCTGGGGAAACTCTTGAGAGAGTTCAGGGCTCCTGTGGTGTCCTGGGATTGGAGTAGAGTGGAGGAGGAGAGATTATGAAGGAGTGGGTTTGTGTCTTCCGGCATTTAGGGACATAAATGAATGGAAACTAGGGTTTGCTTCCTGCCTGGTGAGTCTGGAATTTGGGGGGGTGGGTGTTGGTTGAAACCACCAGGGAATCCTAAATGAGAGGGTCATAGTGGAACCTGTTTACACAGCCAGAATTTGTAGTGGTGAGGGCATGCGTTTCCGAGGCACTACAATGGAAAACAGCTGGCCTTGAATCAGAAGTGCTGCCTATGGGGTGAAGGGACTCCAGCAATGAGCTGTTATATGCTGTACTTCTGAGCAGGAGCTGAGAAATTTGCAAGAAACTTCTGGGAGAAGGCTGGGCATGGTGGCTCATGCCTGTAATCCCAGCACTTTGGGAGGCCAAGGTGGGTGGTCACTTGAGGTCAGGAGTTTGAAACCAGCCTGGCCAACATGACAAAACCCTATCTCTACTAAAAATACAAAAGTTAGCTGGGTGTGATGGCGCATGTCTGTAATCCCAGCTACTCGGGAGGCTGAGGCAGGAGAATCTCTTGAACCTGGGAGGAGGAGGTTGCAGTGAGCTGAGATTGCACCACTGTACTCCAGCCTGGGCAACAGAAGGAGACTCTGTCTCAAAAAAAAAAAGAAACTTCTGGGAGAAGTGGGAGAGTGCACTGACTTTGAAGGGAGTTTTTCAGCCAGATGGTCCCCACAGAGAGCCTTCAAAAGCCCCACAAATGCTTCCCATTGGAGAGAGCCAGCATCTGGGCTCCTCCTACTGCAAGGCCATGGTATACTGTATTACAAGAGCATCTGCCACAAAGATATATTTGCCCTTCTTCCCTTAATCCCCCTGCTCCCTGACTGGACCCTGGAGAGCCCAGACACAGCAGAGCAAGAGGGAGCCATGTGAAAGAGTTGGAAGAAGAGCAGACAGTTCCTCCTTCCCATGCTGTAGGTCACCACACCAGGCTGAGACTGCACTGAGTACACGATTGAAGTATTTTTTTTTCTTTCCTTTTATTTTCAGGGACAGGGTCTCATTCAATTGCCCAGGCTGGAGTGCAGTGGTCTGATCATAGCTCACTATAACCTCAAACTCCTAGGCTCAAGAGATCCTTCTGCCTCAGCCTCCTGAGTGGCTAGGACTGCAAGAATGCACCACCATACCAAGCTAATTTTAAGTTTTTTGTAGTGATGGGGTCTTGCTATGTTGCCCAGGCTGGTGTTGGACTCCTGGCCTTAAGCAATCCCCCTACCCTGGCCTGCCAAAGCACTGGGAATACACATATGAGCCACGGTGCCTGGCCTGAAGTTTTTAATAGAAATGTTTAATGAGTTTTCATTCTTGAAAGTAATTTCAAAATCTATGAGATAAGCCCAAGATATTGCCCAGAGCTGGGGAAGGATGCTGTGATGTATCATATTCTGAAGGGGTTATCAGAGAAACATGAAACTGTTTTCTGTTTGTACACTAATGAGCTTAGCTCATTTGATAAACTTAATAAGTAAACAATAATTTTAGGTAAATTCCAGAGAGGCTAGTCCTGAGGAATAGGTGGGCAACACACTATTGTCTAGAACTTTGGTATTATAGACTTGTTTTTAAAGTTTTTGATATTGTTATTTAATTTTTTTAAAGTAATAATCACCTTTATTGAACAGTCACTATGTGCAGGCACTCTGACAAAGTGCATTGCAATATTCTTTCATTTAATTCTAACAATTCTGCAATACAGGAATTTTATCTTTATTCTACAAAAATAAGGAAATTGTATGTCAGAGAAGTTAACCAACTTGTGCAATACAATGATGCTAATAAATAGCAGAGATAGTGTTTAAAAAGTTTTTATTTTGTAATAATTTTATGATTACAGAAAAGTTGCAAAAATAGTACAGTGAGTCCCATATATTCTTCCTTCAGCTTCTCCTAATGTTCACTTCTTATATAACCATAATATAACTACTAAAACTAGGAAAGTAAGTAACATTGATACTTTTTTTTTTTTTGAGACAGTCTCTTCGAGACAGAGTCTGTCGTCTGTCGCCCAGGCTGGAGTACAGTAGCTTGATCTCAGCTCACTGCAACCTCTGCCTCCCGGGTTCAAGCAATTCTCCTGCCTCAGCCTCCCTAGTAGCTGGGATTACACGCTCTTACCACCACTCCCAGCTAATTTTTGTAGTCTTAGTAGAGACAGGGTTTCACCATGTTGGCCTGGCTGGTCTCGAACTCCTGACCTCAGGTGATCCACCTGCCTCAGCCTCCCAAAGTGCTAGGATTACAGGCATGAGCCACTGCGCCTGGCTGATACAATATTATTAACCAATCTATAGACCTTATTCAAATTTTGAGGTTCCTCAATTTTCCTAACGAATGTTCTTTTTGTGGTCAGAATCCAACCTTTGGTCCCACATTACATTTAGTTGTCATGTTTTCATAGTTTCCTCCTAAATCTTTCTTTGCATCATTAAATTTTAAGATTGGGAAGGACATTAAAGGTCTTCTAGATGAATCATCCTGTGGATTCTCAAATACCCTCCATCAAAATCCCTGCTGTTCATTATTCGCACGAAGACACTGCCAGTGGTGGTCTGACCTAAATGGGGCCACCTCCATTAGAAGGTCCACATTTGCTTTCTTAAAGCTTCCACCTATTGGTTCTGGTTCTTACCTTATATATGCCATTTAGAACAAGGCCAATTTCCCTTCTATATGATAGCTTTCAAATATATGAAGACCATTATATTTATACTCCCACTGGAACCCCACCCTCCACTCCTGCCACCAAATCTTTTCTTCTTTACAATGGGCATCTTTAATTCTATCAACTGTTCCCCATATGTTATGGGTTTAAGTCCTTCTGCTTAAAACTACGGGCTTTGCCCTAAAATAGCTTCAAACTAGTCTGGGCCATTGTACCCTGAACTAGCTCCAGTTTGTATACATAGATGTAGATGTGGGTCTGTCTACAGCCGACCCTTGAACAATGTGGGAGTTAGGGTTGCTGACCCTGGAGAATTGAAAATTTTTAAATTACTTTTGACTCCCCCAGAACTTAACTACGAATAGCTCACTGTTTACCAGAAGCCTTACTGATGACATAAACAGTTGAATCACACATATTTTGTGTGTGTGTATATATATATATATATATATATCATACTGCATTCTTACAATAAAGTAAGATAGAGAAAAGAAAATGTTATTAAGAAACTCATAAGGGCTGGGCGTGATGGCTCATGCCTGTAATCCCAGTTCTTTGGGAGGCTGAGGTGGGCAGATCATTTGAGGTCAAGAGTTCAAGACCAGCCTGGCCAACATGGCAAAACCTCATCTCTACTAAAAATACAAAAATTAGCCGGGTGTGGTGGCACATGCCTGTAATCCCAGCTGCTTGGGAGGCTGAGACAGGAGAATTGCTTGAACCTGAGAGGTGGAGATTGCAGTGAGCCGAGATCACACCACTGCACTCCAGGCTGGGCAATAGTGCGAGACTCTGTCTCAAAAAAGAAAAAAAAAAGTAAAAGAAACTCATAAGGAAGAGAAAATATATGCACTATTCATCAAGTGGAAGTGGATCATCATAAAAGTCTTCATTCTTGTCATCTTCACATTGAGTAGGCTGAGGAGGAGGAGAGGAGAGGTTGGTCTTGCTGTCTCAGGGATGACAGGCAGAAGAAAATCTCTAGCCTTGCTCTAGCCTGCCCTCCCTGTAAATAAGACTTCATGAGATATGCAATTGTAAGATTGCCCCTGCTTTTTGACACTGCCAAATTCAGAGAGAATCCAAAAATCCAGATTCTATAGCAAGTCCTTTCTGTCATTTTCATGCTGACATTCCCCATGGTTCCCAACAGCCTGCATTCTCTCCCACTGCAACTGGTAATAAATCCAACGTGTTCAATGTGCTACAGGTTGCGTGCAGTGTACAAGGGTTCCCTTTCCCTCTCTTCTCACCAAGACTTGTTATCTTTCAGCTTTTTGGTAATAGCCTCTCTAAAAGGTGGTATCTCATTTTTTAATTTGCATTTTCCTAATGATAATGATGTTGAGCAATTTTTCATGAACGTTTTAGCTGTTTTCAAGTTTTCTTTTGAGAAATGTCTGTTCAGGTCTTTTGCCCATTTTTAAATTGGATTATTGGTTTCTTTGCTATTGAGTTGAGTTCTTTCTATATTTTGGATTTTAACCCCTTATCAGATGTATGATTTGCAAATATTTTCTCCCACTCTATGGGTTGTCTCTTCACTTTGTTAATTGTTTCCTTTGCAGTGCAGAAGCTTTTTAATTTTGTGCAACCTCATTTGTCTATTTTTCCTTTTGTTACCTGTGCTTTTGGCATCATATCCAAAAAAATCATTGCCCAGACTGATATCATGGAGATTTTCACCTATGTTTTCTTCCAGTAGTTTTACAGTTTCAGGTCTTATATATAAGCCTTTATTTCATTTAGAGTTGATTTTTGTATTTAGTGTGAGATAAGATTCCAATTGTATTCTTCTGCATGTGGATATCCAGTTTTTCCAACACCATTTCTTGAAGAGACTGTCCTTTTCCCATTGTGTCTTCTTGGCAACTTTGTCAAAAATCAATTGACTATGAAGTGTGCGTTTTATTTCTGGGCTTTCTATTCTGTTCCATTGTTTGAGGTATCTTTTTTTACATCAGTACCATGCTGTTTTAATTACAATCACTTTATAACATATTTTAAAATCAGGGAGTGGGATGCCTCTAGATTGGTTCTTTTTGTTCAAGATTGTTTTGGCTTTCAGAGTCTTTTGTAATTCTATATGGATTTAAAGGATTTTTTTTTCTATTTCTGTGAAAATGTAATGGAATTTTGATAAGGATTGCGCTGAATCTAAAGAATGCTTTGGGAAGTATAGACATTTTAATATTAATTCTTCCAATCTGTGAACATGGAGTATCTTTCAATTTATTCGTGTTTTCTTCAATTTCTTTTTCATCAGTGTTTTGTAGTTTTCAGCATATAGGTCTTCCACCTCCTTGGTTAAATTTACGCCCAAATATTTTATTTTTCTGTTGCTATTGTAAATGGGAATATTTTCTTAATTTAATTTTTGGATAGTTTGTTATTGATGTGTAGAAACACTACTGATTTTTGTGTGTTGAGTTTGTATCTTACAACTTTATTAAATTCATTTATCTGTTCCAACAGCTTTTTTGATGGCATCTTTAGGATTTTCTATATATAAGATTATGTTGCCAGCAAACAGATACAATTTCACTTCTTCCTTTCCTATTAGGATTCCTTTTATTTCTTTTTCTTGCCTAATTGCTCTGGCTAGGACTTCCAATACTATGTTGAAAAGAAGTGGTGGAAATGGGCATCCTTTTCTTGTCCCTGATCTTGGAGGAAAAAGGTTTCAATTTTTCACTGTTATTTTATTTTATTTTTTAAAAAGTTTCCTAACCACTAAGTATGATGTTAGTTAGCTATGAGTTCTCCCATATGGCCTTTATTGAGTTGAGGTACATTTTCTCTATATCTAATCGGCTGAGAGTTTTTTTTATCATAAAAGAGGTTGAAATTTGCCAAATGCCTTTTTTTTTTTGCATCTGTTAAAATGATATGTTATATATTCTTTACTTTGTTAATATGGAATATCACATTTGTTAATTTGCATATGTTTAATCATCCTTGCATCTCAGGGATAAATCCCATTTGTCATGGTGAATGATTCTTGTAATGTGTTGTTAAATTTGGTTTGCTAATATTTTGTTGAGAATTTTTGCAACAATGTTCATCAGGAATATTGGCCTGTAATTTTCTTTTTTTGTAGTGTGCTTGTTTGGCTTTAATTTCAATAATATATTTTATTTACCCCATTATATCTAAAATATTATCATTTCCAAATGTTGTCAATATTAAAGTATTATTGAGATTTAGCACCTTCTTTTTTGTTTCATACTAAACCATATCTCATTTGAGACTAGGCACATTTCAAGTTGACCCTTGAACAATATGGGGCTGGGGTGCTGACCCCTCACATAGTTGAATATTCATGTATAACTTTTGACTATCCCAAACCTAACTACTAGTAGCCTGCTGTTAACCAGAAGCCTTACTGTTAACATACTGTTGATTCACACATATTTTGTATGTTATATGTATTATATACCATAATTCTTACAATAGAAAAAGCTAGAGAAAGAAGAAAAGAAAATGTTATTAAAAATTATAAAGAAGATTATATGTATTCTTCATAAGTGGAAGTACATCATCATAAAAGTCTTCATCCTCATCCTTTTCATGTTGAGGAGGCTGAGGAGGAGGAGAAAGAGGAGAGGTTGGTCTTGCTGTCTCAGAGGTGGCAGAGGCAGAAAAAAATCCGTGTATAGATGGACCTGCACAGTTTAAACCTGTGTTGTTCAAGGGTCAACTGTATTCAGTAGTTACATTTGGCTCCTGTATTGAACAGCACAGATCTAGAATCTATTGCTTTAGTTCTTCTGCTGATTTAGCAAATAATAAGCCGGGCATGGTAGCTCATGCCTGTAATCCCAGCACTTTGGAAGGCTGAGGTGGGCGAATCACTTGAGGTCAGGAGTTTGAGACCAGGCTGGACAACATGGTGAAACCTTGTCTCTACTAAAAATACAAAAAATTAGCTGAACATGGTGGCACATTCCTGTAATCCCCCCTCTACTCGAGAGGCTGAGGCAGGAGAATCACTTGAACCCGGGAGGTGGAGGTTGCAGTGAGTTGAGATCATGCCACTGTACTCTAACCTGGGCAATGAGCAAGACTCCATCTCAATAAATAAATAAATAAATAAAATAATTTTTGGCTGGGTGTGATGGCTCACTTCTGTAATCCTAGCACTTTGGGAAGCTGAGGCAGGAGGATCGCTTGAGGCCAGAAGTTTGAGACCAGCCTGGGCAACATAATAAGACCCCATCTTTAGAAAAAAATTAAGAAATTAGCTGGGCATGGTGGCGTGTATCTATAGTCCCAGCTACTCAGGGGGCTGAAGTGGGAGGATACTTTGAGCCCAGGAGGTTGAGGCTACTGTGAGCTGCAATCACATCACTGCACCCCAGCCTGGGCAACAGAGTAAAAACCTGTTTCAAAAAATATATTTTTATAATAATGTAGCATTATTATATGTGATATAATAATAAATGCTAGGACATGGGAGTGGGCAAAGGGAAATAAATACTACAAAATTAATATAAACATTTAAAAAACCTTACATGCACTTAGAAATGAGAAAAAAGGAAAGAGAAGCAACAATTTAAATAATTTATGGTTTAAAGTAGAAATTAAAAACCACAATTATAGAGTACTTGGAAAACATGGAATATGAGAACATCATAAGGGATGAGGCTGAAGGTGTGTTCAGAAGCAAATTGATTATTATTGTATTTCTTTTTTTCTGGCATGAAGTCTCACTCTGTCACCCCGGCTGGAGTGCAGTGCACGATCTTGGCTCACTGCAACCTCCACCTCCTGGGTTCAAGTGATTCTCCTGCCTCGGTGTCCTTTGTAGCTGGGATTACAAGTGCACGCCACCATGCCCACATAATTTATATATTTTTAGTAGAGACGGAGTTTCACCATGTTGGCCAGGCTGGTCTCGAACTCCTGACCTCAAGTGATCCGCCCACCTTGGCCTCCCAAAGTGCTGGGATTACAGGTGTGAGCCACCGCCCCCAGCTGGAATTCATTATTTAACAAGCAAGCACTCAACCTGAGAAAAACAAACTGAACCAACCTAAGGAGAGCAGTAGTAAGAATGAAATATTAAATTAACAGAAATCGCTGAAAACAGAAGCACTGCAGAGTTGATATTAATGCAAGAGAAGACTCTGAGAAACCAATGTCTTTAAGAAAATCTTGGGAAAAATAGAAGAGAAAAAACAAAAAATTAAAAATGAGGTAAAATTTTAGACATAGAAAAGGTTAAACTTTTATATAAAAAAGTTCTTTTCTGTGAGAATTATTGAAATGCATATGGGTGAGTAACAGGAAGTCTGGAGTTTGTTTTAAATCACAGTGCTGTGCTTAAAAAAGTAATAGGGAAATAGGCAAAGGAGTATTGGTGAAAATGATGATTACTTTTGAAGCTGGTAATGGGTGCTTGGGTGTTCATTATACTATTCTAACCACTTATATGTATGCTTAAGCATTTCTGCTATGGTTTGAATGTGGTTTGTTTGTCATCACCAAAACTCATGTTGAAATTTTGTCCCTTGGGTGGCAATGTTTGGAGGTGGGCCTATTGGAAAGTGTTTGATTCATGGGGTGGCTCCCTCATGAATGGCTTGGTTTCCTTTTCGAGGTAGTGAGTGAGTTCTCACACAGGTGAGACTGATTAGTTTTTAGTTCCCACTGGAATGGATTAGTTCCCGAGAGAGTGGGTTGTTATAAAGCTAGGATGTCCCTCAGGTTTGTGTCTTCACATGTTTGCTTCCCTTTTGACCTTCTTCACCATGTTACAATGCAGCACTGAAAGCCCTGCCAGAAGCTATGCCCTTGAACTGTCCAGCCTGCAGAACCATGAGCAAAATAAACCTCTTTTCAAGTTACCCACTCTCAAGTATTTCGTTATAGCAACACAAACAGACTAAGACAATTTCCATAATTAAATAATTTAGAAGAGAATGTTACGCTTGACTTAATGCTAATACATTTGAAAATCTCCCCAATGAAGTAGATGGTTTTCTGATAAAACATATTAATAAAATTGACTCAAGAAGCGACAATCTGAATAGAAAAACAACCCTGAAAGAAATTATAAAATAATTACCTCACAGAGAGATTCCCAGATCTAATTATTTTGTTTCTTCAAGAAACATATAAATCTTATGCTCTGTTAATTACATAGAAATAAATGATACCAACAAATTCATTCTATACAGTTAGCACAGCCTCACCATTTGGACCTGATATATAAAAAACAAAAATATCAAACTATAGAACAATTTTATGTGCAAATACATATGAGAAATTTGTAATGGAAAAAAATAGGAAAATTAAACTCAATTATATTCAGTTGATCAATCTCTACTTAACTGATTCACCAGATTAAGAAAAGTTCATCATTTTGTCTATAAAACATTGACTTCTGTCCACAGAAGGATGAATCCTTATGGCTAATTTGCCCTCATGTTCCCTGGCAGTTCAGTTCCTATAATAATAGGTTTCCAAACAAGTTTATGTCAATTGTATTTGTTAATATATTTATGGAATCTAATTAAATATTTATGTAAACTGATGAAATACGAACATGGAAAAAGAATTGTTCCTATGAAAACTAAATTGAATATCAGATGAACTCAATACAAGTGATCCATTAAAAATTAAATTAGGTGAGAATGAGACAACTGTAAAATTTGGGAAGAAGTCACAAAACTCTAGAATCCTGTACATTTTTTTTTTTTTTTTCTGAGACAGAGTCTTGCTCTGTCACCCAGGCTGGAGTGCAGTGGCATGATCTTGGCTCACTGCAACCTCCACCTCCCAGGTTCAAGCAATTCTCCTGCCTCAGCCTCCTGAGTGGCTGAGACTACAGGCGCGTGCCACCATACATGACTAATTTTTTGTATGTTTAGTAGTGACGGGGTTTCACCGTGTTAGCCAGGATGGTCTCGATCTCTTGACCTCGTGATCCACCTGCCTCGGCCTCCCAAAGAGCTGAGATTACAGACATGAGCCACCATGCCCAGCGAATCCTGTACTTATTTTAAGAGCAAGTTGAAATTACTTTCTTTAAAGAAGCTAAATTGGAAATAACAATGCATTAGGGGTTTCATTTAGGTAAGAAAGATTATATAGAATTCTAATTAGGAAACTGTTACTCAAAGAAAAGTTATTAGTTAGTTTCAAAACTAGTTAGGACAATGCTAGTTTTGGTTATACTAGACAAACCCCTAAATCTCAATGGCTTAATACAATTAGCACTTTTCTTAGTTACATCAAATCTAAAATGGGTTCCTGGTGGATAGGCATCAGGCTACTTCTACCTTTTGGCTCTGACGTTTTCAACATATGGCTTCCAAGGTGGCCATGCTCTAATGCATTAAGCCACAGAAGGAAAGAAAGCACAAAGTCTACCATGTCGAAGTTCTCATGGGTGGGTCAAGCCTAGGAAGTGATCACATCACTTGGGTTCACATTTCAAGGGCTATAACTTAGGCACATGGTTATAGCTAACTGCAGGCAAGATGGGGAATGTGGTTTCACCATGTGCCCAGGAAGAAGTGGAAACAAAGAATACAGGTTGAGCATTCCTTTATTTATTTATTTTTTTGAGATGAAATTTTGCTCTTGTTGTCCAGCTGCAGTGCAATGGTGCAGTCTTGGCTCACTGCAACCTCCGCCTCTGAGGTTCAAGCAATTCTCCTGCCTCAGCCTCCCAAGTAGCTGGGATTACAGGGGCCCACCACTATGTCTGGCTAATTTTTGTATTGTTAGTAGAGATAGGATTTCACCATGTAGGCCAGGCTGGTCTCGAACTCCTGACCTCAGGTAATCTGCACACCTTGGCCTCCCAAATTGCTGGGATTAGAGGCGTAACCACTGCGCTCGGTCAGGTTGAGCATTTCTAATCTGAAAATTTGAAATCTGAAATGCTCCAAAATTTGAAATTTTTGAGTGTCAACATGATGATACAAATGGAAAATTCCATGCATAAGTACTTAACATAAACTTTGTTTCATACACAACTTTATTTAAAATATTGTATAAAATTATCATCAGGTTATGTGTGTAAAGTATACATATAGATTAAAAGAAGGAGGTCATGTGCTTCAATATTTTTATTTAGCAAGAAATAAGGATTGTCTTTGTGTCAGCATTTATAGCAAGAAATATAAACTAAGCTTGTGTTTAGACTGGGGTCCCATCATCAAGGTATGCCATTATATGTTTGCAGATATTCCAATATCCAAAAAGTTCCAAAATCCAAAATTTTGGAATTTTGGTCCCAAGCATTTTGGATAAGAGATACTCAATCTGTAATAATCCTTCCCCCAACTTGGCAAATCAATATTGTCTTACATGTTTTAAGTTAGAACAAAATTTTTAAAGTATGTGTATTTTTAATGATTCTTCACTTTGTCAAGCATCTTTCAGAGCAGAGTGTTATAGTATAGTGAATAAAAGCATGGCTTCTGGAGCCAGAATTCTTGAGTTCAAATCCCAGCTCTTCTAGATGTTAAGCTTTGAACAAATTATTTAACCTCTCTGTGCCTTAATTTTCTTATCTCTAAAACGGGGATGGTAATAGTTTTAGGGGTGTTAACATCTATAAAACTTAGAATAGTGTCTAGACACATGGTAATTACTCAGTAAAAATGTTAGCTATTGTTACTATTATTATTCTTTTTTTGAGACGGAGTCTCACTTGGTCACCCAGGCTGGAGTGCAGTGGCATGATCTCGGCTCACTGCAACCTCCACCTCCCAGGTTCAAGCGATTCTTCTGCCTCAACCTCCCAAGTAGCTGGGATTACAAGCATGTGCCACATCGCCTGGCTAGTTTTTGTATTTTTAGTACAGACGGAGTTTCACCATATTGGCCAGGCTGGTCTTGAACTCCTGACCTCGTGATCCACCCGCCTTGGCCTCCCAAAGTGTTAGGATTACAGGCGTGAGCCACCGCGCCCGGCTGCTATTGTTATTATTTTTATTTTTTGAGGCAAGCTCTCACTCTGTTGCCCAGGCTGTAGTGCAGTGGCACAATCATAGCCCTCTGTAACCTCCAACTCTTGGGTTCAAGTGATTCTCCTCCTTCAGCCTCCGAAGTAGCTAGGACTACAGGTGCACAGTACCACACCTGGATAATTTTGAAATTTTTTTGTAGAGATGGGGTCTTACTATGTTGCCCAGGCTTGTCTTGAATTCCTGGCCTCAAGCAATTCTCTCACTTCAGCCTCCCCAAGTGCTGGGATTACAAGTGTGAGCCACCAGCCCCAGCCTAATGAAAGCTTCTATTAAACTTTGAAAAAATCGGTGTCTTAGAGGTACTACTGAATATGCTGTAGATGAAAAAGAAAAAAACACAACAAAACCCAAAAGCCAAACCTTACTCAAACTAGCTTAATAATAAAGGATAATTCCTGGTACATATAAGGATGATATTAAAAATATTTAACAGCCACTACAGCATAGGTATTAACCAATTAGAGTAGGCATCTGAGTAATAAGAATGATGTGAATATAAATCATTCTGTTATAAAGATACATGCACATGTATGTTCATTGCAGCACTATTCACAATAGCAAAGATATGGAATCAACCCAAATGCCCATCAGTGATAGACTGGATAAAGAAAATGTGGTACATGTGTACCATGGAATACTATGCATCCATAAAAAGGAACGAGATTATGTCCTTTGCAGGGACGTGGATGAAGCTGGAAGCCATTATCCTCAGCAAACTAATGCAGGAATAGAAAACCAAATACTGCATGTTCTCACTTATAAATGGGAGCTGAACAATGAGAATACATGGACACAGGGAGGGGAACAACACACACTGGGGCCTGTCGGGGGAGGGGGAGGGGTGAGAGAAGGGCATCAGGAAACATAGCTAATGCATGACGGGCTTAATACCTAGGGGATGGCACACATTTACCTGTGTATCAAACCTGCACATCCTGCACATGTACCCCCGAACTTAAAATAAAATTAAAAAAAAAAAAAGAATGATGTCACCCATGGATGACAGGGATGGCTATTCCAGTGTGTACTGCTCAGTATATCTTCTTGGCTTCATGGAACTAAAATATCCATTAGTAGGGTCCCCTCAGGTGAGGCTTGATCTGGTAGCTCCATAATATTATGCCAAAAACTATTTATTATCTGCCCTGTCTTCTTTGCTATGACTTTCATCCTAAACCGAGTCCCCAGGTTGGCTGCCAGTGGCTTCTGAGGTTGTGTGCTTCAATATTTTTATTTAGCAAGAAGTAGGGATTGTCTCTCTGTGTCAGCATTTATAGCAAGAATCTTGAGTTTTCCCCTGATTAGAATGATTTGGGTCACATGCTCACCCTTATACCAACCGTGTTGGTGAGGGCCATGACTTGGTTGGTCAAGGTCTATGTCCCACCTGGAGTTGGGGGTCTAATCAGCTTTTCTGGTACCACTTGGATCCCCAAACAAGCATTAGGATACTACAGGGAAGGGGCGAGTGTGGATACTGAGGAAACAATCAACAAATATTCTCTGTATTAATGCAAAATATGTTATCAATAGATCTAACAAGAAAAACTACATGGTGATCTTATTGGATTAAAAGACATTCTATATAATAATTATTTTATGAATTAAAGAGTAAAATATTAATATCTCCAAAGAAAAGTGGGCAAAGTGTATAAATCTATCACTGAAAGAATACAACTGGTCAATAAAAATGTAAAAAAGCACATATAAGTTAGTAATCAAAGAAATAAAAGTAAAAATGTTTATTTCTGCTTTTTGCTTAATCAAATGGCTAAATTTTATGCAGGGAGTATAATTGTCCCACATAACCCAGTGAGCTTATCTGGGTGGCCTGGCCAAAGGGTAATTAGGACTCGGGGTCTTGCCCTTCTCTCAGTTGGAGGGGCAGTGCCCAAGCTCGTCTTCTCATGTAACTGGTGCTTTCATTCCCTGCCGAGGACATGTTGGCAATGGGCTGAAACATCCTACAGGCTCCAGAGTCCCTAGGTGCTGAGTGTCTGGCATTCTAAATAACTCTTGTAAATAGCAGGCAACCCTAAACCACACTGCTTGGTATACTGATAAGGCTGTTCTCTCATGCTTATCATAGAAGGAGGAAGAGCCAGCCAACATCCCTGATATGCCTCTTTATAGATTACAGGAGCAACTGCGGGGGGCTTTTGTCAAGCTGAACCTGGCCTTGAAAATTTCTTCTTTTTCCAATTAAGCTGATTCCCTAGCTCATAGCATGTGATATGAGATTTCACCCAAACCCTAGGGAATATTGTACACAAAATAAATATTAAAAAAAATGATATACTGGGGCAGGCGCAGTGGCTCAAGCTTGTAATCCCAGCATTTTGGGAGGCCAAGGTAGGCGGATCACCTGAGGTCAGGAGTTCGAGACCAGCCTGGTCAACATGGTGAAACCCCGTCTCTACTGAAAATAGAAAACTTAGCTGGGTGCGGTGGCAGGTGCCTGTAATCTCAGCTACTTCAGAGGCTGAGGCAGGAGAGTCGCTTGAACCTAGGAGGCAGAGGTTGTAGTGAGTCAGTATCGTGCCACTGCCCTCCAGCCTGGGTGACAGAGTGAGACTCCATCTCAAAAAAAAAAAAAAAAAATTGATATACTGAATGATGATGAAGTACAGGTGATGGATATTCTCATCTTGTCTGTTAGTCTAAAACTAATTGCAACCTTTTGCAGAAACAATTTATAATATGTTTAAAGGACTTTCAGCATATCACTTTTTAAAAAATACACTCATTAAATAGTAGGTTGATCACTATGGTCAATAATGTCATCCAGATTCCAAGGAAACTCAACAAAAGTATATAACATTGTACAGGAAATACTTTGGCTCTAAGATTAGAGTAAAAAATGTGTAATATTCTATTTCCTTCCCCTGGAGATTCTAGAAATTAGACACCCGCATTGTTATTGGTAAACTAGGTTAAAAACCTAGTGAATAACAAAAAAATCTGTCACTTGATGATTATGATTTTAATAGCAACCTTTAAAATATACATCTGGGCCCATCATCTGGCTTCAAGGACTAAAACTGTAACTTAAACATACAGTATAATGTGGTTCTGAACAGTGAGGCCATCTGGTGGCCGTCTGGAAATTTTCTGACACCCGGTGTCTGCATTCCTGACACTAAACCCCGTCTGGCCTTAAAAGTGAAGCTGCTGCACGGTCGTGAGAACCTGTGGTATTTCCTGAACTAAATCTTCTGGAATGAGTCCAAGATTTAACTGCCAAAGCCAAATTCCATTATACGTGAGGTGGTTAGTGTTGCAGAAGGGTTTCATGCTATATGGCTAGTCCGTGTCCAGCCCGTCACCTGTTCACAGACAGGCTTGTCTATAAATTGCCTTGTTGCAGTGGAAGGTCTTAAAACAAAAGATTCTGCTGGAAACATATAACATGGAGTTATATGAACCGAAGCAGGGCCATATGGGAAGGGCAATATTCAGAAATATATTTCTGAACCTTCCTTGTCTCAGTTTTTTGTGGATTACTTATAAAGAATATGGTCAGTTTCCAGAACACATATTAACCCCTGTGTGGGTAAAATAATAATGTTGTCAAGATGTGGTGAAGCACAGGTGAGTCCTGTTTTCTGAGAATCTCTTTTTCCCTGGACAAAGCTCTAGATAGAGATGATAATGTACTTGAGTTGTGTAATTATGACTTGAGTAGTGATAAGTAAATGTATCTTTGCTTAACAAAGATACATAAGTACTTGGAATATTGCCTTGACAATTTTATCTCTTCATGCTGCAAATTCACAACTCCTACTTGACTCTATCAATTAACTTTATAAATGTAACCTCTTTTCAATCATTCTTAAATGTGAGATGTAATTTTCCTTTTTAATTCTCAACTTGTCTCTTTCTTTTTGAGACAGGGTCTCACTCTGTTGCCCAGGCTGCAGTGCAATGGCATGTCCACGGCTCACTGCAGCCTTGGACTCCTGGACTCAAGCAATTGTTCTACCTCAGCCTCTTGAATAGCTGGGACCACAGGTATGTGCCACCATGCCTGGCTAATTTTTTTTTATTATTTATAGAGGCAGGGTCTCACTATATTGCGCAGGCTGGTCTCCATCTCCTGGGTTAAAGTAATCCTCCTGCCTCAGCCTCTCTGTCATGCTCAGGGCCAGGTTCCAGCGCCAGCTGAGGGCTGAGGGGTATGGGCGGATGTGGGCAGGAAAGTGGAAGAACACTCAAGAAACAGCAGGTAGATGAGACATGGCTTTATTCAGCAGCCCCTCACAGGGTCAGTGTTACATTTATACCTACACAGACATTAGTGACTGAGAGCCAGGTGGGGAGCTTCTCTATGTTGTGTCTACATGGCTATGATTGTATGAGACATGGGAGTGTGCGCGTGCACCCCAATCCCTCTGAGTCATTTAGGCTGTTTACCTTGGCCTATGCCTGCTGCCCTATGCCTGCTTGGCTACAGCACAGCCATGTTCCTTACACTCCATCCTCTAGGCCAAGGGGATCCTCTTGGTGGGGACCTGTGCACATATGGCAGTACCCTGGACCCATAGGCCACAGCAACCACACAGAGAGCAACAACCTACCAGGAATATCCTGCTATGCTACTTATGATTATGAGAGCCCAACATAGGCCAGAGCCCAAAAGACGCCCACCATCTCTGTAGGGGGTCATCAGTAAGGTGCTCAATTGCCTTAATCTCCTATGACACCCCTTGCAAAGCTGCCGTTACATTCCAGTGGTTTTCAGGGATAAATGTACAACATTGTGTCCCTACAAGGCACAGGGGCCACCTATGTCCTTGCATGTCTAAGGCTATGTCTAAGGCCATCGTGTTTTGCAGCACCACCTTCCTGACCTGGTCAACTTCATTAGTTAACAAAAGGAGAGCAACTTGGGTGTAATTTAGGGCCCCAGCTGTGTGCTCTGCAAAGGCTGTAACCTGCTTTTCCAAAGTAATGACACCTGCTCCAGGGATACGTATTGCTAAGGGATAAAACCACCAGGGGGTGCCCTGCACTCAGAAAAAGTGGGAATGCAGTGCCTCCCAATTATGTGGGCAACTAGGCAATGTGGGAAGCATGATGGCAGGCACATAAGGCCACCCCCAGGTACAACGTCCAGTCCAATTGGCTGGCAGATTTGGCCATCCTGTGTCCCCACAGACCCATAAATTCCCAGGGGGCACAAAGTCCATGGGGGCCCGGCCTTGGTAAGGTCGCTTGTTCCTCCACACCCTTGGTGTGGTGACACATGTTTTATTTGCACAAACCTCAGCAGGCAACCATCCTACAGTGACATTACCCCAGTGCTTCTCTATACATCATGGTACCTGCAATGGGGGCACTATGTGTTTCCCATTAACCAGCCCCATTCATCATGGACACTGCGAGTCAGCCAGGGGGCAGGCTCGCCATGGGGTTTGCCATGCCCCCATCCAAAGCCCACTGTGTTGCATCCCACGCATTGTCTGTGGGACCTCAAGTCTCTAGCTATGTCCGGTTCTTCACAGAAGCTGGATGCACATGCCAGGGCCAGCTGTCTGCAGCTGCTGCTGGAAGGGCGGTGCAGATCCAACAGTTGGAGACATTGGTCACCTCGGCGTAGGTGTGGGCCCAGTCTACGATGCTGTTGGAGCCGCCAATCTACCACTGGAATGACAAAACAGGCACAGGAACTAACAGGGCAAGTCACGTCCCTCAGGCAACATACAGGCTAACTTTTCATCTCTGGATAACGATGCAGCCACCAAGGGCTTCTGCCCTGGGTGATGAAACCACACCTTCTCGGCTCCCCGTGGTTCTTTTGGGTCTTGTACTTGTGCCAAAGTCACAGGAGAGCTCACAACAGGCCACACAGACAGTACATATATCCCCCCAAGGAGGGTCCCTTCCCTGGCTGTTCCCCTATGACGGTCAATCGTAGAGGCTACATACACATTAAATACCCAAGGAGTAACATGTAAGTCATACCGCAGGCCCTCCCCTAAGGGCTTGGAGGTTCCATGGCTGACACCAGGATTTCTGTTCCCCTGTCTTCAGGAGCACTGGGGCAGGCAACAATAGATTACTATTTGTCCCCATACTTGGCCGGAGGAGGTCATCCTAGATGTGTATAGATGGACGGGCATGGCGGCCTGGTGTAACAGTGCCTCCACCAGGGCTGGGCCGCCTTTCTGTGGCAACTCATTCAAAATTTGAAGCACCAGGTCCAACCTTGAACTCCAGCCCCGCAAAGATGGGGGAGTAACATGCTACCGTAACCCGTTCTTCAAGAGTCCATTATATCGCTCAATCAGTGGCTTGTGGGTTATAAGGAACATGAAACCCCCATCATATGTCCATCTGTAGTGCCCACTGTTATACCTGCTGTCCAGTGAAACGTGTTCCCCTATCACTTTCAACAGCCAGGGGTTGGCCATATAGAGCACATAAGTATTGCAGGGTTCAAATGGTGTGTTGCTGGTTAGCCACCCTGCAAGGGTAGGCAAACAACAAGCCAGAGGCTGTGTCTACAGCCGTCAGTGCATATGTGTAGCCCTGCGCTTTTGGAAGTGGCCCAATGTAATCTATTTGCCATCTGGTCAAGGGCATCCATCCTACCGTCACTCGCTGTGTTACAGTGGGCAGCTGTCTCCGTCTGGGGTATGCCTGGGCGCATGCCTGGCACTTCCGGCAGGCCTCCAAAGTGTCCTGCGAAGGCAAAGACAGACCCCAGTACCTACTGACCTGTTACATCAGTTCAGTACATCAGTTCAGAAACTGTCCCAGTTTCCTGTGTAGCCACAAAGCTACATCTTGTGTAGGTGCCGACTCTAACCATCAGACCTTGGCTAAGGCATCCGCCTCAACATTACAGGGGGTGGCCAAAGGCACATGACCTGACACATAATAGTTACCTATTTCTGATGACCTATTTCCCAGAGGTCTTGCCACATCGCTTAGCCCCAAATGGGCCAATCGCCTACAAGCCAATTCAGCAGCCCCTCACAGGGTCAGCGTTACATTTATACCCTACACAAACAATAGTAGCTGAGAGCCAGGTGGGGAGCTTCTCTGTGTTGTGTCTACTACCTCAGCCAGTAGTCACTTCATATATGCGGTGCCCCATATATGGGGGTGCTAAAAGCACTCTAGCCAAAAGCACTCGGGGGCGCTGAGCCCAGCACAAGATCCCTCATGTGGGAGGTAAAACGTTCTGGCCCCTGGATATTCAGATAAAACATAGCCTGTCACCTGCCCATCTCCCAGAGTACCTGCACCAAATCAGAATATGATTGCCATTTACTCACAATTTTTGATATCTCTCTGGCATCATTCCAAACAGTCCATATGGCTGCCATCAGCCACTCTATTAATGTCCACACCTTGCCCGTGTGCCAATGATTGGCACAGCTGCAGTGTCTGACGAAGGGAGGAGTGAGTTGTAATAGAGGCCAGCTTCTCCATCTCGGAGGCAGAGCAAGAAATGCTATCAGCCCCCTCATCCCAAAAACGGAGTAGCCAGGCTGGCAGGGGCTCCCCTGGGCGCTGCCAACACTGTTTACTCAACTCCTGCAACTCAGTGGGGGTATAAGCACTATAAGAAGTGTGTTCCACCACTGTTGTGGGGGGTCCTGGGCTCTCCCCTGGGGTCCCATCGGCTCCTCATGTTCTACCTTCTGACGGATCACAGGGCGAGCCCGCAGGGAAGGAGCCCCTCCTCCTTAGCATCAGATCCAACAGAAGTGTCTGACTGGGACGACTGGCTGAAGATCGCACTAACAGCCATTGCTAACTCCTGTTCCAGGCTGCTTATCTGGGCCTCCAAGCGCCCTGCTTGTGCCTGCAGGTCCCCCACCCCCAGGTCCTGGTCTAAGCTGTGCACTTGGGCCCCCAGGCACGTGGCTTGCGCTGGGAGGTCCCTTACCTGTGGGACTGAGCATGTACTCTGCCTAGTGCAGTCAGAAATGCTCATCCGACTCCGCCAGCGAAGGTGCATTCCTTCTTGGTGCTGTGAGCTTCCAGCTGCTTCAGTGCCTTCTCCACACTCGCAGGAGACCCGTTACTGCCTCCCATATTTCCACTGGGGCCCATCCAAGCAGCACCTCTGCCACTGGGTACCACAGCCCATGCTGCGGCCACATAGCAGACCCGGGATTCTCAAAGGCTGAAGACTCACTCACCTCATCCTGCCGACTTCGCCAGTTGTCGTGCTCAGGGTCAGGTTCCAGCCCCAGCTGAGGGCTGAGGGGAGTGAGTGGATGTGGGGCAGGGAGCTGGAAGAACACTCGAGAGACAGCAGGTAGTTGAGACATGGCTTTATTCAGCAGCCCCTCACAGGGTCAGTGTTACATTTATACCTACACAGACAATAGTGGCTGAGAGCCAGGTGGGGAGCTTCTCTATGTTGTGTCTACATGGCTATGATTATATGAGACATGGGAGTGTGTGCGTGCGCCCCAATCCTGCTGAGTCTTCTAGGCTGTTTTCCTCGGTCTATGCCTGCTGCCCTATGCCTGCTTGGCTGCAGCACAGCCATGTTCCTTACACCTCCAAAGTGCTGGGATTACATGCATCAGCCACCACGCCTGGCTTCAATTTCTCTAACTTTTCTGTTTTTTCTCCTCCAAATCAAAATCTAAAATTTTCCTCTAGACTAGAGAAACAAAAACCAAAAATCATATTTTGAGCCAAGTGTTTTCCTTCTCCTTTCAATCACTTAAGCTTCCTCAGACTATCTTTTTGAGTTGGAATACTGCTTGAAGAAGTGTGTGAAATATGAAACAAACGCAGACCTATTCTTCGGCAACTTTGAGCTTGTGCAGGGAGACAGATTAAGGGAACTGGAAGAAAAACAAAGACCAAAGAGAATTGGAATGCATAGTGAATCTGCCTGAAAAATTTATCACAGACTTTAGACATTGCACTGTAATATTAACAGCCTATACTTGTCTGGCGATTTCCAGTTTCTAAAGTGCTTTTATGTCCATTACCTCGAGACCACCCTAAAGAGAAGGGCAGGACAGGCATTGCTTTTTTTTACGAAGAAGAGCTTAGGAGAGACTGAATGCTTAGCATGCAGCAACTCACCATGTGCAACTCACCCTGTCAACATGGGAACTAGCATTTAAACCTGGCTCTGCTGGCCCCAAGTCCTAGCCTTTTTCTGCCTTACCACAAACTCCACCTACTTGGGTTACCCTGGAAAGGCGCCCGGTGTCCACACCCCTCTTCTAGTAAGACTCAAGGCTGTTGACTTGCATTCCTGGGCCGCCTGCAGGCCCACGCCCCCACCATCTGCATACTATAAATGCTTTCTTCATGGAAGAACTCTAGACAGGGAAATATTTTGGTACTGGTCTGAATTAAATACCAAAGCCTTATTTGTAATTTCTGCTTAGGCAATGACACGTAAGGGATTCCAAAGGGCGACAAGTGTGAGTCCATTTGGCATTCCTTCTTTGGGCAATGGGGAAGGAGATGGCAAGTCAAGGGAAGTTAGAGTTATCCAGCCCCGACTAAGTCCAGCTGCCAGGGCTTAAGCTGAATTGACAGTCAGAGGAAGAACTAGCAGAGAGCTCTGAATCAGATTTCAGTGGTTCCACCTCAAATGGGAGTTTCTCATTGGTCTGGCAAGAGCTGTGGCTGGATTTAAAGTGAAACTGAGCCATGGACCCTGGGGGACAGCACAGGATATTACAAATGACAGCTGCTTGTCTCAATAGCAACATCTGGTCAAGAGGCCTGATCCATGACCCTTGGTGTGTGAAGCATGGGGATGTATTGACATCTGGGTTTGAGTATCTGAGGAAAGCTGTTTTAGAGCAGAGCAGAGACTCAAAGCATTGGTTCTCATTCATTACTAGTCTTCTGATTTTGAATCAGGCACATGGCTTCTCTAAGCCTCAGTTTGCTAATCTGTAAACAGGAGAGTAATAGTACTTGCCTCTCAGGTTCTTTTTTTTCTTTTGTCAAAAGCATTTTATAAGCTACAAAGGGGTCTAGAAATGTAGTTTATTACAATCGTTGTTACTTACAGGTCTGAATTTCCTGCAGGAAAAGGGGATAGAAAAGTATAAGAAATAATGGTAGCTTTGCACAGTGGCAGTATGGTAGCCCATGAGGTTTATCCGAGGCCCGATTATGGCTAGTTGAAAATGTTTCCCAATACCCTGCCATGATGATTTAAAATATAGTCGGCATGGGCAATTTTTGCAGTCTGTATTGAAACTGAACTGAAAAAAAAACAACAACAAAAAACGAAGGCAATAAGGAAATAAGGGGAGGAACTGAAGAACAGAAAAAGGAGCAGAGATAACATCCTTTAAATTAATTTTTAAAGTGTTTTTAGGCACCTGGAGCTGTGCTAAGAGCTATAAAAATAAGGTTCAGAGATGTCACTGTAGATTCAAGGCCTTTGCACGAAATGGTGCAAAGCTGATAAGGAATGGGGTAGAGATGGGATTTGGGGAGGACAGGAGTAACATTAATGGAGCATCTACGACGTCCAAGGCATTGCTGAGGATGCCATTATCTCAAGTAAGGCTTTGCATAGAGTATGCACCAGCCTCATTTTAGGGAGGAGGAAACCAAGACTCAGAGACATTGAGCAACTTGCTCAAGGTCACATGGCTAGTAAGTGATAGAGATGGGACTTGTCTGCCTCTAAAGCACATCCTCATATGCAGACAAATGAGTCAATAAAGAAAAGTATAAATTGGGTAATTCATAGGACATGTTATTAAAAAGGTGAAGGCTGAGAGAGAAAAAGAAAGCCCTGGCAGCTTGGTGACTGACTTCAGTCCTGTTGGCCTGGGACTTTCCCCATTTTAGAGTGAAAAGTCCTGTATCCTGGGAAGCCTCTCAGTCCCCGACAATCTGGGATGGTTGGTCACCCTACAGCTGATAGCTAATTGCTGGCTTATTTGCTACCAGTTGGGTCATGCTGTTGCCTTGGTGAACACAGGCAGAATGTTGATATCAGATGAGAACTTTCAAGGATGTGATGGAACAAGACAAAAACAAGACAACTCTGTAATTATGCCTGAACAGAGATAAAAACAGACACTGTATAACTGCAAAAATGACCAAATACCCCCCTCTCCTGGCTAATGGGAGTGACTACTGCTTCTTCTTCGATCATAACTCTATCCCTACCTCTTTTTTTTTTTTTTTTTTTTTTGAGATGGAGTGCAGTGGCACGATCTCAGCTCACTGCAACCTCCGCCTCCTGGGTTCAAGCGAGTCTCCTGCCTAGCCTCCCAAGTAGCTTGGAATACAGGTGCATGCCACCATGCCTGGCTAGTTTTTGTATTTTTATTTTTATTTATTTTTTTAGTAGAGACAAGGTTTCATCATGTCGGCCAGGCTGGTCTCGAACTTCTGACCTTGTGATCCACCTGCCTCGGCCTCCCAAAGTGCTGGGATTACATGGGATTGCAGGTGTGAGCCACCGCGCCTGGCCAACTCTAGCTCTACTTCTATCCTCCTACCCACTAAAGAAAAATGAAGATAATCATTAAATTTCCGTATGTTATATCTGACAGCTTCCATCCCGCACAGATCCCCCAGTTCCTTGAGTGCTCCCTGAAATCAGCTAACGTACTGATTCAGCTGAAATCAGCCAACACTCCCATAACAATCCCTTTCTAACACCCTCTTTCTGAGACACTTCATGGATACTCATGGTGTGAGCGGATCTCACCATGAAGAGCAAACCCAATTCTGTTTCACATCAGATGCGTTCCTGGAGGATCTTTGACTTGAGGGCATTGATGGGGCTTACACAAGGGCAGTGTGTGAAGAGTGGCCACCCCTAGCTTGTGGTGTTATAATTTTCTGTTTCTGGGCTAGCTAGACCAGATGCTTCTTTAAAGCAGAATCTCATGCTAAAAATAACTAGCATTTTTTGAGGGTTCTCACTTGCCAGGCACTGTACTAGGCTCTCTCCATGGACTGACCCATTTAATGCTCATCTGCACTTTGCAAAGTAGGTGCAATTATTCTTCTCGTATCATGGATGCAGAAGAGGCATCTGTATAAAACTACAGAAATTGCTCAGAGTAAGTGGCAGAGTCAGGATGACTCTAGAACCCTGCTGACACCCACCAAACATTCAGTGTTTGGGGGATGAATCAATGGCCAACGTGTCTTCAAATGAGTCACAGAAGGTCCTGGGCTAATGATAAGACTAAGTCCTCCTACTCTGGTTCAGGCATAGTTTTGAACACTGGACATGTATTCACTCACTTGACCCTCACAACAACCCCATGCAGTCAGTATTATTATTACTCCCAATTTACAGATAAAAACTAAGGCCCAAAGGTGTATATAAAACATTTATTTAGCATTATAATGAATGAAATGCTTTCGTATTTTCTTTTTCTTTCTTCACAACAGCCCTATGAAGTATTGTATTTGATATAATCTAAGATGCCATCAATTATAAGAAACACCATTGTGATTTTATGTGCCATCAAGAAAAAAACCCAACAATTACATTTATAAGAAGTCCTTGAATTGTATCCAGTTTTCAGAGACACTAAAATGAGAGGAAGAATGCATTTTAGAATTGATGAAATGGAATAGGTATTATTTATCCCCATTGTACAGATGCAGAACCTGAGCCTCTGAAATGAGTGCATTTCTCAAAGTCACAAAATTGGCAAAAAAGGGACTTGGATCTAGGTCCATAAAATATGCTTTTTCTTCAGAGTTATTCTAAATGTTATGGGTATCTTTGATCTCTGAATTTGAAGGAGGGCTTACTGAGTGTGTCTGGCTCATTGGCACTCCTGAGGCAGAACACTTTTCAGGCAAGGGAGTACTACCTGTGCTGTTCAAATTACGTCTTGTGGGTGGCCAACTACCTCATCTGAATGCAGGTGAGCTTTTCTTCTTTGCTGGCCCCTGCCAGCTTGTGGGAACCCTCACCCTGGCCCCAGTCCCTTTGCTTGTGTTCTCAAGCCGTTTGCGACCTGTTTGCAAGGCCTGCCATGCTCTCCCCAGAAAAGCCTAAATTACGTAGATAATAAACCTTTTCATATTCTTTTGGTATACGTGTGGCTTTATCAGTCTTGACATCCAGACCAAATTTCGAGTGGAGGTCCCTCCTGCTTCTGCAGAGTGGTTACAACTGGTCCCTAAGAAAAACTCAGTGGAAGGCCACATCATTTAAAAGCCATTTAAAATTCTTTTAACAGAGAAAATATTAACCATATCTTCCTAGCTATTTTTAAAACGAAGAGAGGTCGTGCTGTCAGCTTCCAAGTTTAATTGAAAGTCTGTGGACACCTCTCAATGGTACTTCACTATGCTTTCCTCACAAGATCCAAAGGAGAGCTGGTGGAAGGATGGCAGTGAGTGGCTTGGCCATCCTGCATGGGCCAGCACATGTGAGGATAAAGGCCGGAAAGGAAAAGACCTTCCATATTGTCAGTCAGAAGAGGCAAGGCTAAGAGAATCTGGATGGCTTTAAAAGGTCCTTCTGGAGTGAACGAGAGATGGAATATATAAATCAGACAGAAAAAGGATAAAATACAAAAAAGATAAATTAGAGGGAAAGAGATTTTGAAATTGGAAGGAAAATAGGTAAATTAGAAAGAAAAAGAAGAGGCTGGGCGCCGTGGCTCACGCCTGTAATCCCAGCACTTTGGGAGGCTGAGGCAGGCGGATCACGAGGTCAGGAGATAGAGACCGTCCTGGCTAACATGGTGAAACCCCGTCTCTACTAAAAATAAAAAAAATTAGCCGGGTGTGGTGGCGGGCGCCTGTAGTCCCAGCTACTCAGGAGGCTGAGGCAGGAGAATGGCGTGAACCCGGGAGGCGGAGCTTGCAGTGAGCTGAGATCGCGCCACTGCACTCCAGCCTGGGTGACAGAGCGAGATTCCGTCTCAAAAAAAAAAAAAAAAAAAAAAAGAAAAAGAAAAAGAAAAAGAAGAATGAAAAACTATACTGAATTAGCAGAGAAACGTGGCACATTGAGAAATGGAAAGAGAAATAAAAAAATAAAAAAAGGAGTAATGGACAAGGGGAAGACGGTAACCAAGATAAACAACAATGTGAGGAAATGATATTCCCATCTAGTAGAGGCTTTTAATCGAGAACCATGAAGTTTTACCACATGAAGGTTAAAATACACCCACTTCTGGGGGGTGGTATAAATAGGGTAGGCTAGTTGCTGCTTGGACACGATTCATACAGTAATTACAAGGTCTAACAACACTGTTCCCAAGACTGAATCATTAATCACCATTTCCGATGATGTTGACAACCGTAATGAGAAAACACATACCAATGCATTCTAGGTCAATTTCAAGCTCTGTTATAAGAGGTATGGAGAGAAATCGATGGTATATTATTTTCCTGATTCTGAGTCGACATTTCAAACAGCACAGTGTGAAAATATAAAGACAGTGCCCTTTTAAAGGTCAACAGTGATTTCCATTACAATCCCTGATTTATCATTCAGCCCAGAAGATTTATTCTAGGCTGGGATGTAACCTAAGAGTTTGTTCTACACAAGGGAAAAGCAAAGTAGAAAAAAAAAAGCAAAACTACATAGTGGTTTTAAGGGCCTTTCTCCCCCTTTACGTTTTCTCCTTCGAGTTCAAAAGGAAGGCACCTGAAAAGACCACATCTTCAAACATTTACATTTGGATTTTTCTCTCTGTTTTATCCAAGTGATAAAATTATTTTTAACCCCTCCATAGAAGCTCTGCACCCTCCTCGTAGGCTGGAAGATCTGGGGAAAATGCCTCTCCTTATGGCATCTTGAAGAAGTATTTTTGAAGAATGTTAAGGGTGTCTTCCTTGCTCTTCTCCCGTCTTCCTCTATCTTGCTTTGCCAGCCAGAGAGAACTGCTGTCAGAGAATTCCTCAGGATCTTTGACCATCCAGGAAAAGAACAACTTCAGACAGAGGATCTTGAATATTTAAGAAAGGGCTATTCTGTGTGGCCTCTGCTGACCAAGGCAAGGTTCCTACTACCTTCACCAGAAGCTCAGTGGCTTGGGAGTGATTTGGGCCAAATCAGGGAGCAAGCTGGCTGGGAAGCTTTAGAGCAAGCCACACAACCAAAGATAGATCAATGAAAGTGATAGAAAGCATTATTTCCTAGGGTTTTTATTTTTTTTCATAGTTATATTACTGGCCAATAGTATTGTGCATTCCAATAATGATGAAAAAAGGCTAAATTATTTAGGCTGCCTGAACCTCTGTTTATTTTGTTGACATGAGAGTGATGTTTTCTCCTGTAATCATTAACATTGGCCTGGTGGGCTTAATGCACTTGGCCAAATTCAGGCTCTCTACAGACAGCATCTGAAAATAGGTGTATCTGAAGTCAAGGCAAGGTGGGGGTGGGAGAAAGGAAACTCCAGTCTTGATGTTTTATTCCACTGGAGAGACTGGGAGCCCCATTAGTTTACTGGTCTCTTGGTTTCCTCCCTCCCTCTGTCTGTGGGAGGTGAAGTGCTGCCTCTGATCAGCCAGCATGGACTCACGAACTGTGCATTTGGGACCCACATCTTGCTGCCCTTGTTCTTGGGATGAGCTGTCCAGGAAACCTGTGTTCTCCTCTGCTCTCCTACTCCATAATTTTTAAGGAAAAAATTAGCTCCCCTACCCTCAAACAGAGAGAGACTGCTGAGATTTGAGGTCGAGTTTATACAATTCTGAGATTGAGTATGATGGGGCCACTTACCAAGTTTTTTGATTTCAGCTTGATTAAAGGTAAAATTTTGATCCTCTAACTACAGCCCCATTGCTTTACTACTCAATTTGTTCAGAAAGGAGAAGAGAGTGCTATTTATTGTGCCTCTTTAGGTTCCCCCAAAAGGCTGAAATTCTGATTTCCCTTAATCATCTTGGGAATTTAATACAAGTAGTTGATGGCATGGAGAGATTCTATAAGAGATTTGCTTCCATACTTGGTGGTTTCACTCATTTCCTGAATAATTTTTTTTTTTTTTTTTTTTTTTTTTTTTTAGATAGAGTAGGGATCTATCACCCAGGCTGGAGTGCAGTGGTGTGATCTCGGCTCACTGCAACCTACGCCTCCTGGGCTCAAGCAATCCTCCCATCTCAGCTTCCTGACTAGCTGGGACTGCAGGCACACACCACCATACCCAGCTAATTTTTGTGTTTTTTCAGAGATGTAATTTCACTGTGTTGCCTAGGCTGGTCTCGAACTCCTGAGCTCAAGCAATTCACCCACCTCTGCCTCCCAAAATGCTGGGATTACAGGTGTGAGCCACTGTGCCTGGCCCTGAACAAATATTTTTTGGACACCTACAGCGTACTGGGACTGTGCCTCAGCCATGATCAAGACAGACAAAATCAAGAACTTCTAGAGGAGAAAAATAGCAACAATAAGAGGAAATTGTTATAAATTGTGATTATTCCTGTGATGGAAATAAGAGAAGTGAAGAATAAGAGGCAGAGGGTGACTTTACATAGAATGAATCTGGTTAAAAGAAGTTCTCATCTTTGCACATACTACCATTAATTAAAATTGCTCATGATATTTGAATGGATACAAAACCAATAGTTAATAAACATAGTGATTCCTTGATATATACTATTAGAATTTTTAGTCTCCCCATAATTGGCATGTTTCTACTAGACTTTTTACGCATTGTCATACATTCATTTATTCAGTCAATGCATATTTTATGCCAGGAAATTTGCTAGGGGCTAAGGATACAGGGATGAATAAGACCTTCTTGCCACCTCAAGGAACAAACTATCTATTTAGGAGAACTAGTGACATAAATAAATATAATATAATATGATGAGATAAGCTGTCATGAAACAGAGTAGGGAGTGAAGGAGTGATCAGCTTGAGATAGAGAAGTTGGGGAATTTCAGGCAGAGGGGAATAAGCATCAAAAAACAACAAAAAGCATGACTTGTTTTTAAGTGGAGCAGGAGTGGGGGTGTGCTAAGGAGAGAGTATGGCCAAGGTACCAACGTTCTGGAAAACTAGAGCATTTTCAGCATTACTCAGAAACATAGGCCCAATTCACCTTTTGCTTTGAACTTGTCCTTAAATGGAAGCTTAATTATTATTTTCATTTTAAAGGCAAACAAACCAAATCTCAAATGGGTGAGGTGCCTCATCCAGGTCACACGTTTGATAAGGAGAACAGCCAGGTTAGAATGACCATGAATGTAAAATGATCTTACTGGTATTGCTGTTAGAGTATATAGAAAGTCAGGGTTTAGATAGGTTTTAAAAAATGTGTCCCACAAAGTACACATTCTTGTTTTGTGCAAAATTTCTGCAGAATCTTCAGAAAAATACACAAAATCCCATGAAACTTTGATGGTGGTTGTGGATTTATCTGTGCTTTCTAATAAAATTTTAATTTTGAGGAGGATTAATTCTCAGCTAAAACATGGCAGCCAAAATTTAATAGTGAAAAGGAGTGAGATTGAAAAACAAGGAAAAAAGTCAGTGTCTTGGTCCATTTTCTGTTGCTATAACAGAATGCCACAGATTAGGTAATGCTAAAGAAAATTTTATTTAGTTCACAGTTCTGGAGGCTGGGAAGTCCAAAATCATGGTGCTGACATCTGGTGAAAGCCTTCTTGCTGTGTCATAACATGGCAGAGGGCATCACATGGTGAAGGGCAAGAGTGTGCCAGCTCAGGTCTCTTTTCCTCTTTTTATAAAGCCAGCAGTCCCATCACAGGGGTCCTACCCTGATGAGCATGTCTAATCCTAATTACTTTTGAAAGGTCCCTCCTCCAAATTCCATCAACATATGAATCTGAGGATTAAGTTTCCAGCAAATGAAATTTGGGAGATGCATGTAAACCATAGCAGTCAGTTTAATTATTATTTCAGTTGGCCTGAGGGAAAAGAATTTCTTGCTTAAACTTTTTTTGGATAGAGTTAAAAGACATTTTCTAAAATATCCAGGACAGTCTTTGGTGAATAGGTCTTGGTATGTATTTAGGAGGATAATTAGAGAAAAGGGGGGCTTTAAAAGTGACTTATGCGCTATCTCTACTAATTATTTTTAATAAGGAGGGATTCGTGATGCAGAGTACTATTTTTTTCTCCCTTTGCATGTCCAAAGCAGAAGCAGTGTTGTATATGTGCTGAGGCATATCAAAGCCTGGCTGAATCTTCCTTAGCAGGTCTGGTAGTTTGATGTTAGTTCAAAGGAAACCTCCAGTCCCAAAGACTTTTAAATTTCTTTCTGCAAAATAAATTAAATGCTGAAAAGCCAAAAGCCAATATAAACCTCTCTGTGCCTCTGTATGTGAATGACATAAGCAAGTTGTTTCTCTTCAAAGTATTCTTTGGAAATGCATGTTTTTCTTGTGCATAGCATATATTTACATGATGTTCAACGTATGATGCAATCTTGGAAAGACAGACCAAGAAGATGGGGGCTGCTGCTGAAGATGGCTCAGCTCAGAGTTTTGTGCTTGGCTCAAAGTGGGGCACTGTGGGAGGCTGAATGATTGCATGCTATGCCATACTTTATTCTTCACATTGAAGTCTTCTTGTTTTTTAAATTACATTTTAATTTTTTTTCTTGTAGTTAGAGATAGGGTCTACCTATGTTTCCCAGGCTGGTCTCGAATTCCTGGGCTCAAGTGATCCTCCTGTGTCAGCCTCCTAAAGTGCTGGGATTATAGGCATGAGCCACTGTGCCCAGCCACATTGAAATTTTCTTTTCTTTTCTTGACAGAGTCTCGTTCTGTCACCCAGGCTGGAGTGCAGTGGTACAATCTATACTACAACTTCTGCCTCCTGGTCTCAAGCGATTCTCCTCCTTCACCCTCCTGAGTAGCTGGCATTACAGGCACATGTCACCACACCCAGCTTATTTTTGTATTATTGGTAGAGACAGGGTTTGGTCAGGCTGGTTTTGAACTCCTGACCTCAAGTGATCTGCCTGCCTCAGCCTCCCAAAGTGCTGGGATTACAAGCATGAGACACCATGCCTGGCCACACATTGAAGTTTTCTAAGGCACACCTATAAGCATGTCATCCTCTCCCCCAGGTGAATAAAGAAAGACATCCTACATTTGACCTATAGGTTCTGCAGGGTCTTACCCTTTCCTCATTTTCCAGCCCCACTTAATTCCATCCTCGTTCTTTTGTTTCTTCACCTTCCTCCTACTACAGGGCCTCTGCATGACCATTTCCTTTCTCATGGAAAAAATACCATCCTTGTTCTTCTGTTTCTTCACCTTCCTCTTACCACAGGGCCTCTGCATGACCATTTCCTTTCTCACGGAATTGACCTTCTGACCTCTTTGCGTTGCATAACTCCTATTATCATTTAGATGTCAGCTATCATCACTGCTTTATACAAATCTTTTCTGATGTCCTTGTACAGTTCAAACCTATTACACGCTCCCAGACCAGGATGCACCTCCTTTTATGGTGTCATCATCATTGCTGTAGTTACACATTTATTTGTGTGATCAGCTAATTCATATCCATCTCCCCCACTAGACTGTAGTCTTTATGGGCCATGAGACTGTCTCTTTTCACTCACTGTTACATCTCCTGTGTCAAACACTGATTCATTATGGGTGCTTAATAGATATTTCTTGCATGAGTGAGCAAATGAATACCAAAGCCAGTAGATTTCAGAAAAAGTTGGGTAGAAGCGGTGTGGCATGGTGGAAAGAGGACTGGCCTAATGTCAAGAGCCCAGAGCACTACACTTACTAAGTCAATAAACCAAGTATTAATCTGACCTCCTATGAGCTACACACAGTGGATACCCAGGTTGGTGAGAAGACTAAGATGCCATCTTTGCCCTTGAGGACTTCATTGTCTGCTTAGGGAAACAGAAACACAAATTGGTCCTTAAAATACATTGTGGTAGGTACCATGATGAACATATCAAAGTCACGGTGTGTGTGTGTAGGTGTGTATGCATAAACAATAGCATTGACTTTAGCTTGGGTGGTTAGGTCAGGCATCACAGAGGAGATCCCTTTCACTTGGGTCTTTAAGGGCAACAGGAGTTTGCTTTTTGACTCTGGGAAAATAATTCATCCTCACTCATTCCACAAATAATTTTGAGAACCAATCAATAGGGATTATTATTTAATTTTCTGAAGACTCAGGTTTTTCATCTGTAAAAGTGGCAATGATGCATTTTTTTTTGAGAGAGCATCTCCCTCTGTTGTTTACACTAGAGTGCAGTGGCGTGATCACGGCTTATTGCAGCCTTGACTTCCCAGGCTCAAGCAGATCCTCCTACCTCAGTCTCCTGAGTCACTGGGACTACAGGCATGAGCTACCATGCCCAGCAAATTTTTATTTTTTTTGTAGAGATAAGGTATCTGTATGTTGCCCAGGCTGGTCTTGAACTCCTGGGCTCAAGCAATCCTCCCATATTGGCCTCCCAAAGTGCTTGGATTACAGGTGTGAGCCACTGCGCCACCAGGCAATGATGGAGTTTTCCCTGCCTACTTCACAGGGCTTGTGGTGGTTTGGTATCGGAACTCATCATCATCCTTTCCAACCTCCATAGGGCACCTTCCAGAACAACAGAAACTGGAAAGGTAGGCATTGCATTTCCAAGACTCTCTTGCAGCTAGGGTTACAACCATGATTTAGATTTCTCCTAGTTCCAATAACTCATCATATGAAAGATGGACTTTAGGTGGAAGCCATCTTCTTGTTGCTTTGCTGGTTTGACTGTTTGGGCTGGTGAGCCTGGTCACAGAGGCATTTTCCCCCTGCAGCAATGTTCCAGTGCTTACTACCTAGTTCTGAGGGTGCTGAGAGGGATCTGCAGCACCAATGACTTCCTGATCCTTGTTTTGCAAGCTCAGTGGTATGTCCTTGAATTCAATAGTTCCAGGAGTGGCCTCTCCGTGGACCCTTGTAACTGATTCTGGCAAAGTGGGGGCCAGTTCAACAGTGTTGTTTAGGTGGTCATTCCTGGAGGCCCAGTTTAGAACCCATTCTTCTAGCCCTCCAACAATTTTGTAAGAGATGAATTTTTTTGGGCCGGGTGCGGTGGCTCACGCCTTTAATCCCAGCACTTTGGGAGGCTGGGGCAGGCAGATCATGAGGTCAGGAGATTGAGACCATCCTGGCTAACACGGTGAAACCCTGTCTCTACTAAAAATACAAAAAATTAGCCAGGCGTGGTGGCAGGTGCCTGTGGTCCCAGCTGCTCAGGAGGCTGAGGCAGGAGAATGGCGTGAACCCGGGAGGCGGAGCTTGCAGTGAGCCGAGATCGCACCACTGCACTCCAGCCTGGGTGATAGAGCGAGACTCCATCTCAAAAAAAAAAATAAAAATAAAAATAAATAAATAAAAAAAGATGAATTTTTTGGATTAAAATTTTTCTGATTAAAATAACTGGAGTGCTGTCTTCAGTCTCCTTTTACTGAAGTCTAACTCATAAAAGGCTAGTGTGCTGTACCAGTGAGGCAATAAGTGTAGAAGCACTGTTCATTCATAATTTATTCAATAGATACTTTTTGAGTATCTACTATGACCAGATACCGAGCTCAGCGCTTGGAAATACAACAGTGAATAAGAGAATACAGTCCTTGAATCATGGAGCTTATGCCCTAGGGGAGGAAGCAAACAGGAAATAAGTGAAAAACACTTAAGATAATTACAGATGGTGACAAATGTTATGAAGAACATATAAAAGGGATTGAGCTAGAGGATACAAGGCAGTGGGAGGAGGAGAACTTAGAGAAATCGGAATAGATGTCTCTGAAGAAGTGACAACTAAAGAAGCAGTTATATGAATGTGTGTGCGCGTATGTCCATGCACGTGCACGTGTGCACAAATTCATGTGCATAGCCAGGGTAGCAAGAATACTCCAAGCAGAGGGAACAGCATACGCAAAGGCTCAAGGTTATTGTATAAACAGCGATATTGCTGGCTTGAAGGTGAAAACTTCCTAAACTGGGTGGGTAAGCTCAAGGCGACATTGTAAAGCCTGTGGTTTATTGTTAGTATTTCCTGTTGGCCCTTTCAGCTCATTCTCTTACCTAAACAGCTCCTTCCACAACACTTCTGGAAACTTCTGCTGCCCATTCAATAAACTCATTCACTCAACACATATTTATGGAGCACTTGCCATGTCTCAGAGTGGTGCTGTGCACTGAGAATAGATATATACATAACAAAGACATAGTCTCTGCCCTTGAAGAACTTACAGGCTCCATCTGGGCCTGCCAATCTGCAGGTTTTAGACACTTTACTTCCTTTCTGTCCTTATTAAAGTGACTAGTCCTGTGTCCCAACCTCAGAACTCAGCTGACCTGCTAGCCAGGTTTCTAAAAATACACTGGCAATTTAATTCCACTCCATACTCCTCTTAGCATATGGTGGTTGTCAAATGAACATGGCATGCAGAAGGGAATGCAATTGCAAGCCCAGGAAAAGACTTGGCAGGGGGACCTTATTTTGGTGAATTTACCGGAGTCCAAGATTTAGTCCGCAGCCTTGTAGTCTCAGAGACCTGACTGGCCAAGGGTACCTGAGAGCAGATTCATCTTTCTTGGATGGGCACATGAACCAAGTCCACAGAGAGTCATCAGTGAAACCAGAAAGACTCTTCTTAATCTCCATCAAGAACTATTAATGTCAAGCAAACTGGCCACTGGACTTTAGGTGTGTCTTGACCCAGAACATTCTTTCCCTAAAGGCACGCTACAGGGGAAGGCACAGAAGACATTGCTTGGTAAACTTGGAATCAGTACCAGGGTGTGAGTACTGTGCTTAATGACACGGTTTCTGCTTTGTGCTCTTCCTTGCCAGAAAAATGCTTGCTCTAGGGCTCCTTGGGCAGTGGCTCAGTGGCATCTGCCTCAGTGGCTCCCCTTTTCCATACTCCTGGGGTCAGTCAATCCCACTTCCGAGTCACAGTTTTCTGGATGTGTCAACAAAGGGATGCACTTATATGCTATCCTTGCCATCATTCACCCCTTGTGTGCATGGCAGACATTACTAATCAATTGTAGCTCTCTTTCCTGCTAGACTCAGAAGAAGTCTCAAAAATCCTTCTCTATGCAGCACTCCAGGGAACCAGTCATTTGACTGGAATTGGCATGTTGAATGTAAAAGACTTGTCTCCTTGGGTCATAAGTTTGGTTAGAGTCTATCCTTGCTTATGATGACTTACATACCGATGTTCCTTTTTATTCCCAGAGGGCAAGTCCAAATTCTTGTTGGGGAGCATGACTGCCCTTCATGTACCACTTCCATGAGATAATTACCATTTTACTAAGACCTTCAATGTTTTCATTTATTCATTCTGTGAATATCTATGGGGAGCTATTCAGTGCCAGGTTCTGGGTCTTACTGATGAACACTGCTGTCCTGAGGCTTAGGGTTGAGAGGCCAGAACCTAGGAATGGTTCTTAAGATAGAAACTTGAAGCAGACCCACTGCAGAGCCCATACTGGGTTCCAGTGCTCCCCCAGAAGCAGGCACCTGTTTTCCTCAAGGTACGGGTTGTCCTTTGAAACTCTGGCATCCAAACCCATTACAGATGAGTTCCTTTCAGATTATAAGTTTTATTTTCTCCTTTGAGTTGTGTCCCCAGGGGGCCCATTCTTATTTACAAAACTATGCAATGGTGCCTGAACTTGGTTCCTGGAACACAAGGCTTTTAACGAAGTGACAATCACATGTCCCCTTGCCGTCCAAAGAAAACCACAGAAGGAAAGGTGTTTAAATATTCTCCCAATATCCCAATAAATGTCTGTTATAATGTATTAAAATAAGGAGAGGAAGCAATAAGTTCACTCCACAAGTCAAAAAGTAGTAGGACAAACAAACAAACAATATCCCTTAGGAGGAAGTGAATAACCTAGAAGGAACAGAGCCTGTTGAAAGGGGAGGACCAGCTGAGTGGGTTAAAAATAGCAGGAAAGCGAGCACTGCTGCCGAGCCTCCTTTTCCTGCCTCCTCCCTGTGGATGAGACAATATGTTAAGGCTAATGGGTTAGGGAAAGTTACTGCACAGGCAACTCTGTCTGCCATCCGCTCTGAGTCCCCACTGTGTAGTTCCTGCTTCCTGTGCTGGGGAGAGGCCAGCACTTCGCCTGTGTCCTGTGGTGTTCTTCTGTTGACAGGTGACGTGGGGCTCAGATATTTGCAGCTGGGGGCCTCTCTACCAGTTTCTTCCTCTCACTTCCTTCCAGAAAAGTTTGTCCTTGGAAATGATGGGTATTTAGAAGTGGCCTACTTTCATGTCAAGGAAGAAAGTAAGAGAGAGAGAGAGAGAGAGGAGAACGGAGGTAAAGGAAAAGCAGAAAGAGGCATTATAACAGAATATTAAGGGCTTGGGTCAAGGGGTCCGACCTGGGTTCAAATTCTGAATTTGCCATTTACTAGCTTTGAGTTGCTGGACATGCTATTTAACCTCCCCAAGCTTCAGTTTCTTCCTTTATAAAATGGAGATAATTATTGGTCACAAGGAGTTGTAAATGAGATGAAAGCAAAAAGCCTGGGAGGCAGCAAGGACTCAAAACTGGTGTCTATCACAATCATGATGTCATGCTGGTGCTGTTGCTATTGATAATGGTGACACTGACAACCACCTCTTGGGGCTTTGGTTTTGTTATTAATGAGTGACTTGGACCAGGCAGTCCATGAAATCCCTTCTGAGAGTCCACACTTTCATGTTGAAGAGCAACAAGACATGGTAGGTTTAAAATAAAAGACAAGCATGATTGACATTTGAATAGTACATCAGGCTTGCGAGTCACTTTTCTATACATTTTCATTAGAACCCCATAGCAATTCAGTGACTAGTGGTAATGACTCCAGTTTACAGACAAGGAAACTGAGGGTCAGAAAAGTCAAGTGATCGACTTGACTTGATCAACTCAAGGTCATGAGGTTACAAAATGGTGGAATCAAGACCCATCTGTCCAACACGATACCAGAGTGCATTTAAGGTTCCCTGAACTGGCATTCACATCTATACCACTGTGTTTCTGCTCATCCTCTTTCCTCGGCCTAGAACATTCTCCCCATCAAAATGTCCCTTCCCAAATTCTATCAGTGCCTCTTCTAGGCTTTGAGAGCATGTACTGTGTACACGCTGCTATCACTGCATTTCATCCCCTATGGCTGTCCCCTTCACTGCACGGGGCAGCCCTGTAAGACAGAACCCAGTTTGTATTTATCTTTCCATTCCTAGTTCCTGTCACATCATCTGACGTGTAATAGGTTATCCATAAATTTTCAACCAGTGAAATGTGTATAAATGATGCACATTGCCCATCAGCCTGGCTGGGCACAGAGATATATTTGATGTGGTATAAAAATATTGGGAAATCAATCCATTTTTGAGATGGCCTACATGAATCATCATTAAAAAAATAAGACCTCAGTCTTTGAAACTTGTATAACATTTTTTTTTGAAACCCATTAAAAATGACAATCCCCCTTCTTGGAAATTTTGGTTAGTCACTGTTTTCAAGGTGGCATTCAGAACTAAAATTACATCTGAAGGGCTAAATTAGATGAATATCATTCAATTCCAGGTAGACCACAAACAGAGACCAACACAAAATGATGTGTTGTGAGTGATGCGTTTGATGGAGACCTTACTTCTTTAAGGTCTGTTTTTATTTCTTTCTCATCCTGGGCTTATGGATCATTTATTTTATCCCCCGAAGGCTCAGTCTGATGGTTGTTTTAGAGTACTCTGATAAGATTTTAAATGTCACAGCTCTGTGGAGGAGGAGGCGATTCAAGGTTAATGAGAACCCAGACCACACTGAGTGTAAATCCAGCCTTTGGATTGACAGCCATGGGTGACAGAGACTGGAAATGCCTGTGCACAAATAATGGATGCAGTTTGACCTTTACCTGTTGAAGCAAATGAGCTGACTCATTCTGAGCTAGATAGAACTCTGCTGGGATTAAAGTTTCAGGAAGATCAGCTGGTGATTAAGTTGTGATGGTCAGAGCCAAAGAATCCGAGAGCCAGAAGGGACCTTGAGGGATCTCTTGTGTGTGTGTGTGTATATATATATATGTGTGTGTGTGTGTGTGTTTGTGTGTGTATTACATGTGCATATGCATATATATATTTGTGTATATATAATACATATATGTGTATGTATGTGTATTGCCATCTCATCCCCTCTATGCTTAAGGCATTTAAGCATAGAAGGATTTGCAGAGATATACTCAAGGGATTTGTGAAACCCATGAAATTGTGTGCAAAATGTAGTGTGCATATGTACAATTTTCACCATCTTCTCAAAATAGGTCCCTGTATGGTGGATCGTTTCTTCCCCATTCTTTTTTTTTTTTCTGTTTTCTTTTTTTCTTCCCCATTCTTTATTTACTGTTGAGGAGAAGGAATTTTTATTTTACTCCCCAGAAGCATACAGCATGGGAACATTCCCTCGGCCACCTGGCTCACTCCTCCCGGGGGGCCATTTCTCTGGTTAGGGAAGGAAGTGAGAGTGCTTGGGTCAAGGGGTCTTGCTTCTAAGTGCCTGCTTGGCTCCTCTCCAGCTGCATGGGTGTGTGATCTGTGTGGCTGCACAGGGCACTGTGTTCAGAAGGGCCTCATGCTTGGTTTAATGCCCTGCTGTTGCCCTTTTGAAATTATTAACAACTTTTGGACAAGGGGCCCCACGTCTTCATTTGGCACTGGTCCTTGAAAATTGTGCGGCCAGTTCTGCCTGAGAGGGCATATTGTCATCTGCTCTCCAATAAGGGGAAGGCTCTGCCCTTGCGAGGGGAGGCCTGACGTTTTGGAGGAGTAAATTTCAATTTACAAGGGATGCTTTAGGAAGCCCCTTTGACTATAGAACCAAGGTTTGCTCTCCCCCTAGCTCCATTGGCATGGTGGGTGTTTGAGAGGCAGCATTGCATGGTGGTTATAAGTGTGGGCCACTACTGGGTACAAATCCCAGTTCTGCCACCTTCTAGGTGTACGACCTTGGGCAAATGATTCAACTTCATGTGCCTCAGTTTCCTATCCTGTAAAGCTTGGGTAACACTATTAAATGACTTAACATATCTAAGTACTCATGGTTCCTAGAACATAATGTTATTAATAATAGCTATTATAATTTTATCACCAGGACTCCTGTACCTTACTTATTACTTGATTTGGAATTCAGAAGGGGAAGACAGGGAGTGACTTATGGGGCTCTCTAAAACCTCAGCAGACCCTATGTCTTGAAACAGAGTAAGAACTGCTGTTAGTTTATTTATTTATTTTTTTGAGACAGGTTCTTGCTCTGTCGCCCAGGCTGGAGTGCAGTGGTGCGATCTTGGCTCATTGCAGCCTCTGCCTCCTGGGTTCAAGCGATTCTCCTGCCTCAGCCTTCCAAGTAGCTGGGACTACAGGCATGAGTGACTATGCCCAGCTACACTGTTAGGTGTTTAAAGAAGAGTCTCTCCCTGCCCTCAAGGAGCTTGTAAATTCATAATCTAAAAACTGACACTCTGGGGTAACAGGGGATAAGAACTTTATAAGAGTTAAAAATTAAATCCTTTAGGCTCAGCCAGTGACAGATGAACCCCTCTCATTAAAAGAAGACTCTTTTATCCTGTCTTTGTAACGTCCTCCAAGGGTACATGGATGGGTATTCTCCCTCCCTAGACAATAGCTGCAAGCATGTGTCTGAGAAGATGATGTATTTATAAGAGATTTGGTTTTCAACCCAATAAATCAGGCCCAGTGCAGTGTTCAGGCAGAGCTGTGAGCCTGTGACTGGCTTAGTAATTGTCCAGAATCATCTTGATTGTTCTCTGAACGCTGAAGGGGGATGATTATTCTTTCACAGCATTTTTGACCTCAGGAAGCTTATAGGCTAGTGAGGCAACCAAAATATAGGCAAGGATTAAGCAGGGTGTGCAAGGGGTAGGAACGTGGGCAGGAGAGGGGGTACTTTAGCCAACAGGGAGAGCTTCACAGAGGAGTTCAACTCACCTAAAATAAGAGTAGAGTTTCCATGGCAGACATGTAGGTGCAGAGGGTGTGTGTTTGTGTGCGCACGTGCACGCACAATGTGTGTGTGTGTGTATGTGTGTGTGTAATGAATCTTTTAAGAAAAGAGGAATTTAAAAATATTAATATGCAGCTATAGCTTGTTCTCATGGTGGTGATTGCTTTCATTTCAGACTCATCGGTGCTGTAAATGAAAATCTTAATTTAAATACTCTTCCCAACAAAGACTCCCCTGCCCTTCTTTTCTCCCTAGAATGCCTTTATTTCCTTTAAAACCATCCTTACTTGTGATTCATATCTGATTTAACAAAATTTCTCCCCGGGAGTTTATCTCTGGTAAATAGTTTTCTAGAGGACCACGAAGGCATAAAGATCTGAGAAGCCCCAAATGGCTTTGAAGTGCTCTGAGTGTAGATGCCGTGGGGGGACGTGGGAAGGAAGGAAGGATGACTCAGCAGAGAGAGGCCCGGTGTGAGCAGCAGACAACGCCCACAGCTGAGCCCTCGGCAGGAGGCCACTCACAGCTTTGAAGGCAAGCCTTTGGCTTCTGCGGGGTGGACTTTGTGAAAAGACAAAGAAGAAATGCCTCAAAATAGGTCCCAGATTAGGACTTAGAACAACATCTCTGCTGAAACCCTTTGTCTACGAGTAAAACTAGTGATGGGGCCCTGCTGTACTGAACCTGCAAGAAGTTTGCTAGGTATGAAGGTGTCCTCCGCTAGTGAGGAGACCTCAGTTTTGTCCCTGTGCTGCTGTGGACTTTGTGACTTAGGGCAAGCCCTCTAATTTCTCTGGTCTCAGTTTCCACATCTGTGAAGCGGTGCCCCTGTCTCACAGCAATCCCAAATGAGATGTTTGTAAATTGTCAAGAACTTTGGGTGTTATTTTTCCACCTCATTATAGATTTACTCTACACCATGCAGCATGTTTGGAAGCTACCTGAAAACAGGAAGAAAGTAGACCAAATTAAACAAAAAGCAAAAGAAAAATGGGGATCTCTTTGAAGCCAAATAAGAACTTGGGCAGCTTGTAACTGTGATCACCCCTACAGCCAGAAAGCCTCACGAAAATGGCAGAAGCTCTGTTTAGGGGACCACAGGCCTGTGTCAAAACAGACAGAAATGGTTTCTGTTGAAATTATATATCAGTGCTACAGTAAGGATGCCTGCCTCCCTTCCTCCCTTCCTCCCTTCCTCCCTCCCATTTCTTGTCTGTTATATGATGGGCATGGTGCTAAGAAAATGTAGGAGTTCACAACCCAAAGTGGGGAGAGGTCTTTAAACCTGCCGCCACGACACAAGGCAGAAATAGCTGGAATGGGAGTTGAGGGTTCTAGGTGCAGCTGGACACCAAGGAAGGGGCTCCCAAGACTGATGGTGGCAGTTGAGGAGTTGTTCCTTTCATTTCGGCCTGTTTATTAAGGTTTGAGTTCATATTTTGTTTGCACATGTTTGTTTATTTCTGTATTTACTTTTTGAGATGGAGTCTCACTGTGTCGTTCAGGCTGGAGTGCAGTGGCGTGATCTCGGCTCACTGCAAACTCTGCCTCCCGGGTTCAAGCGATTCTCCTGCCTCAGCCTCTCGAGCAGCTGGGATTACAGGCGTGCACCACCATGCCCGACTAATTTTTGTATTTTTAGTAGAGATGGGGTTTCACCATGTTGCCCAGGCTGGTCTCAAACTTCTGACCTCAGGTGATCCGCCTGCCTTGGCCTCCCAAAGTGCTGGGATTATAGGCATGAGCCACCGCTCCTGGCCTGTATTTGTTTATTCAGTATTTATTTGTAAAGTATTAGAAACTGGCTTTATACTGTAGACCTGGTGGACGATATCTGACCTTCATTTAGCCAGAACATACACGGACACCTGACTTTTTTGAGATCTTTTCTGACAAAACTCTCTCCTTGGTGCAAGATGCAGAGAGGATGCTTCCCTTTGGCCTAAAGTATACAGTGCTTGCATGGGTTTAGGAACAGTTCACCAAACCCTGGTCTTTGTCCCAACATACCCCTGTTCATTTTATGCTAATTCAATTCCCTTCACTTTACTCCAACTCAATTACATTTTTTTTTTGAGATGGAGTCTGGCTCTGTAGCTCAGGCTGGAGTGCGGTGGTGCGATCTCGGCTCACTGCAACCTCCGCCTCCCAGGTTCAGGAGAGTCTCCCACCTCAGCCTCCCGAGTAGCTGGGACTACAGGCGTGCGCCATCACACCCGGCTAATTTTTTTGTATTTTTAGTAGAGACGAGGTTTCACCATGTTGCCAGGCTGGTCTTGAACTCCTGACCTCAGATGATCCGCCCGCCTCGCCCTCCCGAAGTGTTGGTATTACAAGCGTGAGCCACCACGCCCGGCACAATTACATTTAATTCAACTCAATTTGGTTCAGAATATTTCCGAGCATTTGCAAGGCGCTTCAGGTCCAAGGACAACCAAAGCGCGGATCAGTTTCCTGGTTCTGACAGTCTCCATTGTGGCCACTGGGTGGCAGTGTGTCACACGGAATGTTCATTCCGCGGGACTGCCGAGTGGCTCCTCCCCAAGGCCTAAGGCTCAGAGATTGTTGCCTCTTACTTGGATTTATTTAATGTACACTTTCAAATTGAAGCGACAGCTGGTATTATAGCCGTGCGTGTGCAGTATATGTGCTTAATTATACTGTGGAATTAAATTCAAAAGGGTGAGAATGTGGTTACATGTGTATGTTTCCAAAGCCGGTTCGAGTTCGCAGCTTCTGCCTGGGGCTCAGTCAGGGATGAGGAAAGTGGAGAGGAAGCCGAGGGAAGCCTCAGACCGAGCGGCAGGTGGCATCAAAAGGAAACTCTGCAAATTTGGCTTCCTGGGCCACTGACAGCCACAGCCCCGAGGTTCCCTTCCCTGCCTACCTGCTGCCTGAGGGTTTTTCTGGAACGGTCAGATTTTTATTATTTGTTTTTTCCAGTATCATGGGCATAAAATGGTATCTAAATGTGATTTCAATTTTGTGTTTCTATTTTACCTGTGAGGCTGAACATCTTTCCACAAGTTCATTGGCCATTCCTCGTGGAGTAAATGATGGTCTCATTTTTATCTGCTCAGATTTCAAGGTACCCATTGTTAGTTTTTTTTTTTTTTTTAAACAGATGTTCTCACATAACAAAGCCTGTCCGTGGTATTTTTCATACCAGCTAAGATGCTTTTGGCCTCAAGTTACAAAACACACAACTAACAATAGCTTAAATAACAAAGATGGCCAGGCTCGGTGGCTCATGCCTGTAATCCCAGAACTTTGGGAGGCCAAGGCGGGTGGATCACCTGAGGTCAGGAGTTTGAGACCAGCCTGGCCAACATGGTGAAACCCTGTTTCTACTAAAAATACAAAAAAATTAGCCGGGTGTGGTGGCGCGTGCCTGTAATCTCAGCTACTCGGGAGGCTGAGGTGGGAGAATCGCTTGAACCTGGGAGGCGGGGGTTGCAGTGAGCTGATATTGCGCCACTGCATTTCAGGCTGGGCCACAGAGCAACATTCCGTCTCAAAACCATAAACAGAAACAAAACAAATAAACCCCCCAAAGCCCCCAAACAACAACAACAAAAAACAAAGACATAGAATCATCTCATAAAATAAGAATCATGGCTGTAGGTGGTTCCGGGGTAGATTTAGAGGTGGATGTAGACCCGGCTGTCCCTGTCTTTTTTTTTTCACCATCCTCAATATGTTGGCCAGATCTCTTCTGGTGGTCCCAAGACCCCTGTTGCACTTCCAAGGAGCATGTTCTTATTCTACATAAGTAGGAAGCAGGAAGGAGGATGGCAGGAGCCAAAACTGAACCTTTGCCTTCTGTTGTTCTTTGACTAGGGATCACATTCTTTCTTAGAATCCTCTTGAAGTCTTGCCCTATATCTCATAAGCCAGAATTGGTCACATGCCTTTATTAGATGAATTGTTGGCAACCACAACAATCTACCTCATGGGGCTGTACTGCACACCTAAGCTGGACGTTGCTGATGGAATGAGGCATTATAGATCCAGAGAGAAGGAAGGTGTATTAGATTTTAATTTATAATAACCCATCCAAGACCCAGGGTCTTAGACTGACAGATCCCAATACAAAGGTCAACATCTTGGAGGATTTCTAAAATTAGATTCTTGTTTACTCCTAAAATGAAGCTGTGTTCTTCCCTCTGGGGCTGCATGAGGTTAAGGGGCTCTCAAAAGGTGGCAGAAAAAACATTACTTGGAGATTTCACATTTCTGCATAGGAATTTACTAGGCTCTGATGTGTGTGTTTTAAAATTAAAACTAAGTCTTAGTGTAAGGTTTAGGCCAGTCTCAGTTCATCCATGGGAGCTGGGCAGATTGCTGCCCAAACAAAATCCAGTGGCATGTACAAAGGGGGAAATGGCTGTGGGTAGGCAGCCAGCTGTGCCTCCCTCTCCCCAAATCAAAAACAATCGGATAATTAGTCCTCTGTCCCACTGTTTCCCCCATGGCCTGCTTCACAGCTCTCTCCCTTGGACTTCCCTCCACCACTCTTCTTTGGTGGGTCACTTTTCTAAAAACCCTGTCTTCCTCTTTTTGCTTTCTCTCTCTCCTTTTGCAAAAGCCTAATCCTTCAGTAACTTCCTAAGAGATAATGCATAGGAGATACAAGCTGAACCTTGCTTGTGTGAGAATGTCAGTATTCTATCCTCACGTTAGACTCATCATTTGGTTGGAATAGAATGCTAGGCTTCAAATAATTTTTTTTTTTTTTTTGAGACCAAGTCTCACTCTGCTGCCCAGGCTAGAGTGCAATGGCACGATCTTGGCTCACTGCAACCTCTGCCTCCTGGGTTCAAGTGATTCTCCTGCCTCAGCCTCCCAAGTAGCTGGGACTACAGACATGTGCCATCATGCCTGGCTAATTTTTGCACTTTTTTTTTTTTTTTTTGAGATGGAGTCTCGCTCTGTCCCCCAGGCTGGAGTGCAGTGGCATGATCTTGGCTCATTGCAACCTCCACATCCCCATTCAAGCCATTCTCCTGGCTCAGCCACCCAAGTAGCTGGGATTACAGGCACATACCACCACGTCCAGCCTAATTTTTGTATTTTTAGTAGAGACAGGGTTTTGCCATATTGGCCAGACTGGTCTCAAACTCCTGGCCTCATGTGATCCACCTGCCTTGGCCTCCCAAAGTGCTGGGATTACAGGTGTGAGCCACTTCGCCCGGCCCAAGTAATCTTCTCTCTGAATTTTGGAGTCATTGCTCCATTATTTTCTTATTTCCAAAGTCTGGAAGTCCACAGTCATCCAGAGTCCAGATCCTTTGATGAAAACCCTACTTCTATTCTCAAAAGCTCTCCAATTCTCTTTATCTCTGGTCTTCCGGAATCCACAGGGCTGTACTGTGGTGTTGAGCCCGCATAGAGCTCTCTCAGCAGAGACTTCTACCTACAGTCCTGGGTAATGTGCTTGTTTTATGCCTCGAATAGTTCCCTTCCCTCCATTTTTGTTTGTGTCAAATGCCTGGAACTCCTGTTGGTTGCATGGTAGACTTCCTGGATGAACCCCTTAGCACTCATCATTTTTTGGCCAAGTTCTCCTCTCTTTATCTCTTTGTTTTACTTTTTGTGAGATTTTTTTGGCTTGATTGTCCAAACTCGAGTTGTTTATTTGCTTTCATGGTCTTACTAAGAGCTCATTTTTGTTCTTTAATAGATTCCCTTTTGCAGCATCATATTTTATGTATGAAATATTGCCTTGGGGATTTATGTTTTTTGAGATTTTCTTGTTTCTTGAATTTTCTATTGTCTCTAGGTTCCTTTTGTTTTTAGTATGTTTTCCTGTCCTAAGAGAAAGGAAAGCATACTAAAAACAAAGCAAAACAAAAGGAACCTAGAGACATTGGTCTGTCCACATTCATGAAGCAGGCACCAAATGTCAGTTGGAGGCTCTCAGTGTGTGGATTGGGTTTGTTGACAGGAGGGCCTTATGTTTGGGGCGTAGGCTAACCTTCTGATGAAATACTCCAAAATGTCAAAGTATGTAGGCCTTTACTCTAGACCATTTCCAATTTGGTCTTGATACTACCCAACAGTGGATCTCTGTAGCATCAAGTTTCTGCCTTGTTGATTTATTCATATTCTTTAAGATACCAAACTTCCTTAGGCCTCAGTTTCCTTGTCTGTAATCAGATGGAATTGGGCTAGGTGACCTCAAATGACTCTTTCTACTCTACGGTTTTATAATATGATTCAAGACAGAGATTAGTTAAGAGATGGAAGCATATTAGAGGGAATCAACTATGCTAAAATATAAAAATCCTTTGAAGCTGTTAGGAGATAGGCTTCTAGAATCTAATAAAAATTTTGACTCATTGGAGACCTGACTCAATGGGAGATAATTAGAAATAAACTTGGGAGGGAGGATTCAAGGAGGGCTAATATTTGTGGCAGCACCTTAATTAATTTTGTCTATGCCCTTGGGATGCTGAAGTCACCAGGTTTTGCAGTCTACCTCATGGGGCTGTACTGCACACCTAAGCTGGACGTTGCTGATGGAATGAGGCATTATAGATCCAGAGAGAAGGAAGGCATATTAGATTTTAATTTATAATAACCCATCCAAGACCCAGGGTCTTAGACTGACAGATCGCAATACAAAGGTCAACATCTTGGAGGATTTCTAAAATTAGATTCTTGTTTACTCCTAAAATGAAGCTGTGTTCTTCCCTCTGGGGCTGCATGAGGTTAAGGGGCTCTCAAAAGGTGGCAGAAAAAACATTACTTGGAGATTTCACGTTTCTGCATAGGAATTTACTAGGCTCTGATGTGTGTGTTTTAAAATTAAAACTAAGTCTTAGTTTCAACTCTATTTGCTTACTTAAACTGTCAGTTCCTGCAAAATTGGTGCCTGCGTCCCTCCTTTTAATGTACCACTCACACAGTGCGTGTAGTTTGTGTTTATTACATATTCCAATAAATGCATATATTGAGATCCAAACATGCCATAGAAAACTGCTTCCTTTTTTTCCACCTCTAACTCACGATGAAAATCTATAGGTCGCCCTTCAAGTTCAGTGTGTTCTAAGCAGGCTGAGGATCAGAACTGGGGCTAGTTTAAAAGATGAAGGTACATTCAGCTCCATTTGATGGAATTCCAATGTCACAAAATTCCTTGAGGAATAACATCTTGGCCAATACTCCTCCCTTTGGCAGAGTGACTTGTCTTGCAGTCACCTCAATATCATATTGCCTGAGTAGAAATATAGCTAACCTGTCATAATGTATTTACACAGAGCGCAGGAGAGAGTGATGATGGGGGAGACATTTAGGGGAGATTTCCTGGATTTATGATATTGATTTTTGTTCTTTGTATGTGGAAGAAATTAACATCCTTTCTCCAGGAAATATGTTCTCTGTAATGAGCCTGGTTAACTTCATGAAATACAACTTACCAAGTTAGTGTTTGCCAAGGAGGAGGACTGTGTTGAATTCAGAGAGGGACTGGTCTCACTTCAGGAAGGAGGTGTATTAAATTGCAGTCGAGGGAGGGGAAGGCTTAGGCTGCCTTGGGTCCTGGCAACATTGATAAAAGACAAGTCTTCGTTAGGGAAACTTGTTTAAGAAATCATTAGGGAGGGCTGGGCATGGTGGCTCATGCATGCAATCCCAGCACTTTGGGAGGCCAATGTGGGCTGCTCACCTGAGGTCAGGAGTTCGAGATCAGCCTGGCCAACATGGTGAAACCCCATCTCTACTAAAAATACAAAAATTAGCTGGGCATGGTGGTGCGTGCCTGTAATCCCAGCTACTTGGGAGGGTGAGGCAGGAGAATTGCTTGAACCCGGGAGGCAGAGGTTGCAGTGAGCCAAGATTACACCACTGCACTCCAGCCTTGGTGGCAGAGCAAGACTTTGCCTAAAAAAAAACAAAAGAAAAGAAAAAAAAGAAATAATTGGAGACGAGGGAGGATTTGCATTACAGCACAGAGTTAGGGGCTGCTTTTTATGTTTGTGTTTTAATAGAACAATTCATTCATTCATCTATGCAACAGACATTTACTAAGGGCTAGACACTGTCTTCATCATTCAGGATGTGAGGAGTTGCTTTTAGGGAGCTTACAAACCAGAAGAGGAAACCAACCAAACCATCTTCTTAGCAGCTGAGCGTGGAGACTTGAACTCGGGAAATTCAGAATCTCCCAGAAGCTTTATAAAATGGGAAACTTAATTTTGGAAAAGCCTAAATCTGTGTATCACCTTTAGTTCTCCGGTGCCCAGCACATTATCTGGCTTGAACTTTGAAATCAGTCCTTCTAAAAATATGCCTTTCATCATTTTCCGCATTCTTAGGGATCTAGAGTGACTTCCTATGTTGCCTGTTGCACTCGAGCTCAAAAGCCTATGCCTGAGTTTTAAGTCTGCTCATAATTTAGCTTATCTTCCTTTCTGGCTGCATGGGTATAGTCCCCTGGGGTGCAGATTTTTTCTCAAGATTGCTCTCATCGGCTGTTACCCTCTCATAGAGTCTTTAGATTGCTAAACCATTGGTAGATAGCTGCTGTCCCAGGAGCACTGTCACCCCCCAAACCAAGGTGTGCTTTTGCCTGGGACTCATCCATCTGTCCGCAACCCAGCAACTAAACAAGGGTTAACAGCTGGCAACCAGGAAGCACCAGCCTCATCACTGTGTGCTCTGCTGCATCTGAGCCCCAGCCAGACAGTTAGTGAAACACTTTGTGTGCACCGTGCACAGACCCAGGGAACGAACTCTGTACTCTTTCCACCTTCCCTGCTTGCTCCTTTTCTTCTGTGTTTGTTTAGGTGCTTTCCGTTTTTCAAGATCGAATGTAGCAAACAAGTTATCTATGCAGTTAATGATGATTTATTGAGGGCCTACAAAACGGGCACAGTGGTACAAAACGGGCACAGTGGTGCAAAACAGACATCGCCAAACCTTCATGGAGCCTAGAGTTCAGATGGAGGAAAGATGTTACATCAAACAGTCATGTAAATCAGCATAAGTTGTGTGGTGTGGGCCATGCAGGCAGTACACTGGGGCAGTGGTAGCAGGGTGTTAGGGTGGTAGAGTCTGTGGGAACTCTCACCTCAGTGTCTGGCTGGGACTTTGCACCTGGGCCCTGGACCTGCTCTGTGGATGGGGACGGGGAGGTCAGAGAAGTTTTCCATGCAGTCCTGGCCTTTGGGCTGAGGTCTGAGTAGATGTTAACTAGGCCTATAGGAGGAGAGGTAGTGTCATTCAGCAGGAGTGGCATGTATAAAGTCTCTTGGGTAAGAGAAGTATTGTGCATTTCAGGAATTGACAGTAGCCAGTGTGGTGGCCTAAAAGTCCCATTTCTCCCATGGACTCTTCTAGAACTCAGAATTTTACCCTTATAGGCTTTTTTTTTTTTTTTTTTTTTTTTTTTTGAGATGGAGCCTCGCCCTGTCGCCCAGGCTGGAGTGCAATGGCGTGATCTCGATTCACTGCAACCTCCGCCTCCCAGGTTCAAGTGATTCTCCTGCCTCAGCCTCCCAAGTAGCTGGGATTACAGGAGCATGCCACCACGCCCGGCTAATTTTTTGTATCTTTAGTAGAGATGGGGTTTCACCATGTTGGCCAGGCTGGTCTTGAACTCCTGACCTCGTGATCCACCCGCCTGGGCCTCCCAAAGTGCTGGGATTACAGGTGTGAGCCACTGTACCTGGCCCCTTAGAGCCTCTTATTTATTCATTTGTAAAGAGATTGATGGCTTCAACAAGCAATAATTTGGGGCCTATTGTGAACTGTGCAAGGCACAGAGAATACAAAGCCTGCTACAAGTGCCCACAGTACTTTTTCCTTTCCCTTTATGCTCAGTCCACTTTTATTTTATTATTTTATTTTTTTAGAAATGTGGTCTTGCTCTGCCACTCAGGCTGGAGTACAGTGGCACAGTTATAGCTCATTGCAGCCTCAACCTCCCAGGCTCAAGTGATCATCCCACCTCAGCCTCCTGAGTAGCTGGGACTACAGGTGCACACCCCCATGCCCAGCTAATTTTTGTATTTTTTGTAGAGAGGGGGTTTCACCATGTTGCCTAGGCTGGTCTCAACCCTTGGGCTCAAATGATTCTCCTGCCTTGGCCTCCCAAAGTGCTGGGATTACAGGCGTGAGCCACTGCATCTGGCCTCAGCTCACTTTTAAATATTGTCTATTGCTTATTACCCCTTTCTTGTACTCCATCAGAGGCTATAAGTTACGTTCTGAAGGGACTGTGTTCTAGAATATCCTAGATACTGGGGCACAGAGCCTGGCACATAAAAGATGTTCAACATATGTTTGTTGAATGATTACGTGTGTTGAATTAAAGCCTGATGAAACATGGTTGTGACCTTAAGGATCTTACATCTGGCAATGGCTTAGCATACCACTCTGCATTATTCTTTAATTGCTTCATGTGCAAGGCCTCTCCCACCAGACTGTGAGCTCTCAGAGGGCAGGACCAGTCAGTTAGGAACTGGCTGTGAAGCATTAGTCTAAGACTTCATAAGAAGGAGAGGATATGATTTGAGTTGGAATCTAGCTGATAGACAGAAGTTTGCAAAATAGAACCCATCATGATAAAATGAAGTCTTTTGAAACTTCTAGGAAAAATCATTTTGAGAGTTAATAGTAATAGTAATTATAATAAAGTTTAACTCAATTTTCTCAGCACTATGGTGCTGCTTCTGTGAATTCTTGGCTTTACAGTACAGGGTTCCATATTTATCGGGATTGAGGAAGGTATGTAGCCTGCCAAGTAAGCACCATCTGTATTTTATTTTTTGACATTTGAGAAGCACTGCAGATAGACCCAATCTCCATCCACTTCCCATCTCAGCTTCCTGGGTCACTGCCTGAACTCTCACATAGAAAGGTGACACGAAAAGCCGGTGGGGTTATTATTACCTCTATCCCATGCCTTATTGCCTCCATTAAAGAAAAATGGGTCTGAGATGGGATCCTTCGCCCAGGGATCTGAGGAGGCTAGCCTCAGGCCCAGGGGTCATTTTTTACCACAGTGAGCCTGATGCAGGGAGTTCTTAGAGGGAAAACTTGTTAGCCAGAGAATGAAATTCTATCTGGGGCTTCGCAGCTCTGTAATAACCCCTCTAGTGACCTCACCCAGATGCATAAGTCCACTGATGCAAGCTGGCCAGTTTGGCCTTCTCTTCTGTGTTGTAGGCAACGGCTTCGGGGAAGAAAAGAGGGCAAGGTGCACGGGAAGAAATGAGCTCAAAGGAGATTGTGCCAATTACTGCACCTGTCAGTGTTCAACAACAGATAAAATTAATTCGGAAACCCAAACAGTCTGCAGAAAACCGAACACAATTATCTAAGAAATTAAGTTATACCGTTGCCATGACCTTTAATCAATCATCCAACCGTTAATGTTAATTTTGTGATCTAAAAATCATAGTTCTATTTGCATTTTAATGGCTGCTAAATGAGTGTCATCAGGAAGAAATAATGGCAGGGTGGCCTTTTGCTACAAATTCTTCCTTCCTAATGGTGATGCACAAAGCGAGGAAACGGGTGTTTGGAAAAGGTTTTGTTTCACCTCCCAGCAGATGTATGGAGCTGCCCTTCTCAAATGAAAAAACAAGCAATTCCCCACAAATACCACCACCTGTTGTTATAAATAAATCCAAGCTGTAAAATGGAACGAAAGCTTAATGGCAAAATCATTATGCACCTCCCACCCCCTCCCGTCAACCCTTCATAATAGCCTCTTAACAACTTGTTCCTCAGTCGTGTACCTTTTTAAGTTTTCGACCGCCATCAGGTCCCAGCCCTAACCAAGAGAAATGGCCTGTGGATTTGTGGCTAAAAATAAAAAGTTACCAACCTCGGGGAAAATGATCACACGTCCATTTGCACGGTTTAAGTGGCTAGAAACTGGCTACGTGCCACTCTACACTTAGGGTTCCCTTTAATTCTTAATCCAGACATCCAGTGGCTTATTTTACAGCTAATGAACCTAACCTTCAGGTGGGAGCATAAAATCCTAATTAAATCCGGGCATCATGAGGTTATTGGCAGGCTGTCTATAATTCGGCAGAATCTTGATTCTGTGAGTAGCGATAGGAAAATTATAAAACATTTGAATTGGAATGTTTTATCCTTTAATTATCCTCTTACCCATCTCCAAACTCTATTTCCCGACGGACTTTATCACTCTATCTATAAATATTGATTGTTTAGCAGGCCCGGGATATTACACTTATTAAAAATATTGCATTCCTCACCTGAAACTCAGCTTCTTTCCTTAAATCTCCTGTGAGAAGACTTAGATGAATTATTTCTTCTGATGAAAGAGGTCTTAACATTATAAATTGGGGGAGAAAAAAGCTTTAAAAATAAAGAGCTTCAGAGATTTTTTCTGAGTACAGGACACTCAAATAAGGAAGGGAGGGTAAAATATTAGAGATGGATGCTAACTTATTTTTTTCCTGCAAAGAAAAGGTGGGGGGTGGGTAATGTTCCTGCAAAGATTGCAAAACTCCATTTCATAAAAGATTTATTAGCAATGACAGAGGGAGATTGCTGAGTGGAACTCTGATAAATGCCTCGGCTTTTTTTCCCTGCTTTAAAATTATGGGTTCTGTCCATAAAGTACTGATTAATTCATATTCACTCAATGACATACCCTTTTTTTTTCCTCCCCCAAGCAAAGATTGTAAGCATTTTACTTCAACAAACAGTACTCTGGGTGGGATGCATACTAATTCATTTAGCACTGGAACTCGCACCACAACTTATGCAGCTAATCACAGCAAAGCAGGAAAGAATCTTTTCTTTTACTGTGACAAGACCTGCCTACCTTTCAGCGTTTTTCCCCCTAAGGTATTATTAATCTCAAAACTTTACAAAATTGAAGACTTATCTAAGATCCTTCAAAACAGAATAGCGTCATATGTAGCAACTCCCCAAGAGAGAAAATTCTTTGCTTTTCTAAAAGACTGACTGCAGCAATTGGGAGTCCTTTCTTGTTTTAAAAAAATCCAGATAAGTAACTGGAATGTGTTCTAAATTTTCAGATTTAAAAATACAGTATTTATTTTGGAATACTGGAAGGTTCCGGAAGAGAAAAAATGGCAAAGGACCTGGAGGGAGGAGAGTAGATGTTCGGCCACAGATCAGGAGCCAGTGGTGGCCATTCCCTGAGGTTTACCTGGGAGAAACACGAGGGTAGTAAAACAAGATGGCCAGACCTCCCTGCTTCCGAAGGTTACCTTCGTGCAGAGAGTCAGCAAGCATTTTTCCTTTTTTTCTTTTTTTTTTTTTTCTTGAGACAGAGTCTCGGTTTGTCTCCCAGGCTGGAGTGCAGTGGCGTGACCTCGGCTCACTGCAATCTCTGCCTCCTGGGTTCAAATGATTCTCCTGCCTCAGCCTCCTGAGTAGCTGGGATTACAGGTGCCTGCCACCACGCCCGGCTAATTTTTGTATTTTTAGTAGAGACAGGGTTTCACCATGTTGTCCAGGCTGGTCTTGAACTCCTGACCTCAGGTGATCTGCCCGCCTGGGCCTCCCAAAGTGCTGGTATTACAGGCGTGAGTCACTGAGCCTGGCCACATTTTTCAATTTTAATAAAGTTTTAAAATAAGAACAAAAATACATTTAAAATATTGGAAAATATAGTGAATTACTAGCAAAAGAATGATTTTACCAGCTAGTACTGTGCTAGACATAAATCTGGATTAGTAAGAAATTTTCCACAAAAAAGGATCTCTTTAATTCTGGTTTGGGAAACAGGGGACTGTAACCTCCATGAGGGCAGGTACCATGTCTATCTGATACTCACATGGCCCCGTGCTTGGCATACGGTAGATGCTCATATATATTTGTTGAGGGAATGAAGTTCTAAATAAATATTAAACAACAGTGTATGTCCAAATTTGATTTTGGATAACTTTGATTTGAAAGACCTAAAAGTATTGAAGCAGCGTTGTTCATCTGGGGTAACACCTGAGGCTTGTTGTCTTATGGCAAGGAAATCAAAGACACGGACACATCTGGAGTGAGGTTAAGAGCAGAGGTTTAATAGGCGAAAGAAAGAGAAAAGAGAATAGCTCTCTGCAGAGAGAGAGAGGGGTGCCTGAGTGGGTCTGCTGGTTTTGTGGTGAAGTTGTGTCCAGGGGAAGAACATGTAGGATTCCTGAACCTTTTAACTAGGGATCCAAGATCTGAAAACTGTTGTGATGAGACTCCCACAGGTTTGAAGAGGCTGAGTTCCAATCAAACACAGGGTTTTATAGATGAGCTTGAGGAGGTGGTGTCTGATTAACACAGGGCCCAAAGATGGTTGGACCAGGTGTGCCATTTACATAGCCTGTGAAGAAGCTGGCCACCCCACCCTAGTCTTTTATTGTGCAGATGAGTTCTCTAGCTGGCGGCTCCATGTTGTCTGTTCCTTACTGAACATGTGGTTGACAAAGAAAAGGGAAGAGGGAGCTGCCATGTTGAACATGCCTGGCCCCCAGGTAGCCTTTTTCTATTGGCATAGCTGCTGGTATTTACCTATGTAAGCTTTTAGCTTGCTTATCTATGCTTGCAGCTTGATTTTTCAGGCTGCTTTTTGTTAGGAAAGAAATGATTTTGGGGCTGCTTTTGTTTTTTTTAAAAGGAAACCTTATTGAGAACTCTCTTACCCTCCCTATCTGCCTAAATAATTTCTTTTTAGCTCCTGTATCAGTATTGTCATGATCTAGGCTTTTGAGCGATTTCTAAGTTGTTTCATTAAGGTCTAGTTTAAATAGGTGGAGAATGGCTAGACACCAAGTTGCAGGGGAGGGGGGACATGCTACGATGGAAGATGCCTTCCACCAAGAATAACATCGACTTATTGAAAGTTTCTCTGTGACAACTACGGAACTAAATCTAATTTACCTCTTTCAGTCTTTACAACAACTCTGAGAGGTATGAGTTTTTATCGCTATTTTATAGTTTGGCTCAGAAAGCATCATAAGTGATTGATTGAGATCATACAGCTAGTAGGTGGCAGACCTGGGACTCAAATGCTCCTTGTATGACTGCAGCCTTTGGGCTCATAAATGCCATGCTTTACTGTCTGGAGGCTAGGTCAGCCAGAGATGGGAGCCAAATGTAGCACATCCAGGGTTGGCACATAGGGATGTGAGTTTAGAAGATCCCTCTCAAGGAGTTGCGTCCAGGGGAAGAACATGTAGGATTCCTGAACCTTTTAACCAGGGTCTACTAGGGATGCAAGATCTGAAAACTGTTGGGATGAGACTCCCACAGCTTTGAAGAGGCTGAGTTCCAATCAAACTGGCACTAGCACTGGGAAAGCCAGGAAAAAGTAGTCAGGGAGCTGGTGACAGGTGTTGAGAGACAGGAAAGGTAGCCATGGTGGCTGGGGCATAGAATTCTGCTTTCAGCGACTGGGAAGATTGAGGCTTTACAGTGGAAAAACTCAACATGTAAGCCATGGGGTTCAGCCCCTGGTGGACACAGAATTAATCAAGATGGACTCCATAAGTCTCCTTGTTGACAGAGAGGTCAATCTATTTGTCTTAATTGGGGACAAAACTAGTACCAGGGCCTGGAATTGAACCTAAAGGGAATCAAGTTGACTCAGTTGCCAGGGTTGGAAGGTATGATTCAGTGAGGGGTAGCCTATCTCATGTTTGTCTGACCTGAGGAAATAGTCACATTAAATATAGGAGAATCAGATTCGTTTTTGCTAAAGTTGATTGAAATGTTGCTTATTTTAATCTTTCTTCTTTAATAGTAATGATAGCTTATGTTTATTGTGCATCTAATATGGGTTGGCAGCAGTGGGTGGCACTTTGCTTGCATCTCATTTAATCCTCACAACAATTCAGGGTGATAGGCATTATTATCATCATCTCCATCTTATGAATAAGTGAAATGAAGGCTTGGAAGGGTTAAGTCATTTGTGTAAGGTCATGAATCTAAGAAGTATGGAGGTCCTGAGTTAATTTTTGTGTAAGGTGTAAGGACGGAGTGAGTATAGCAGGAGGTCTCTGGGGCCAGCATCTCCTCTCTTGAGCTAGGTGTACATATTTTGTTTAAAAATAAAAAAATAAAAAAATTCTAATTGACAAATTGTATATATGTGTGATGTACAACATGATGTTTTGGCATATATATAAACACTGTGGAGTGGCTAAATCAAGCTAATTAGCTTATCTATTATCTCATATGCTTAATTAAAAAAAATATTTTGAGCTGGGTGCGGTGGCTCACACCTGTAATCCCAGCACTTTGGGAGGCCAAGGCGAGCAGATCACAAGGTCAGGAGTTGGAGACCTGTCTGACCGACATGGTGAAACCTCATCTCCACTAAAAATACAAAAATGAGCTGGGCCTGGTGGCGGGCGCCTGTAATCCCAGCTACTCAGGAGGCTGAGGCAGGAAAATCGCTTGAACCTGGGAGGCGGAGGTTGCAGTGAGGCGAGATTGTGCCACTGCACACCAGCCTGGATGACAGAGTGGACTCTGTCTCAAAAAAAATGTATTTTAAGTTCTGGGGCACATGTGCAGGATGTGCAGTTTCGTTACGTAGGTACACGTGTGCCATGGGGGTTTGCTGCACCTATCAACTCATCGCTTAGTATTAAGCCCAGCATGAATTAGTTATTTTTCCTGATCCTCTCCCTCTCCCCACACCCCCCTACTCACAGGCCCCAGTGTGTGTTTTTCCCCTCCCTGTGTCCAGGTGTTCTCATTGTTCAGCTCCTGCTTATGTGTGAGAACATCTGGTGTTTGGTTTTCTATTCCTGTGTTAGTTTGCTGAGAATAATGGCTTCCAGCTCCATTCATGTCCCTGTAAAGGCCATGATCTCATTTCTTCTTATGGCTGCATAGTATTCCATGGTGTATATGTACCACATTTTTTTAATCCAGTCTGTCACTGATGGGCATTTGGGTTGATTCCACATCTTTGCTATTGTGAATAGTGCTGCAATCAACTTATGCATGCATGTATCTTTATAAAAGAATGATTTATATTCCTTTGTGTATCTACCCAGTAATGGGATTGCTGGGTCAAATAGTATTTCTGGTTGCAGGTCTTTGAGGAATTGCCACACTATCTTCCACAATGGTTGAACTAATTTACATTCTTACCAACAGTGTAAAAGCATTCCTATCTCTCTGCACCTTTGCCAGCATCTGTTGTTTCTTGACTTTTTAATAATCACCATTCTGATTGGCTTGAGAAGGTAAATTGTGGTTTTGATTTGCATTTTTCTAATGATCAGTGATGCTGAGCTTTTTCTCATATGTTTGTTGGTTGCATTTATGTCTTCTTTTGAGAAGTATCTGTTAATGTTCTTTGTCCATTGTTAATGAGGTTTTTTTTTTCTTGTAAATTTGCTTAAGTTCCTTGTAGACTCTGGATATTAGACATTTGTCAGGTTAGGATGGATAAAATGGAAAATTTTTCTCCCATTCTGTAGGTTGTCTGTTCACTCTGATGATAGTTTCTTTTGCCGTGCAGAAGCTCTTTAGTTTAATTAGATCCTATTTGTCAATTTTTGCTTTTGTTGCAATTGCTTTTGATGGTTTTGTCATGAAATGTTTGCCCATACCTATGTCCTGAATGGTATTGCCTAGATTGTCTTCTAGGGTTTTTATAGTTTTGGGTTTTACAGTTAAGTCTTTAATCCATCTTGAATTAATTTTTGTATAAGGTGTAAGGAAGGGGTCCAGTTTCAATTTTCTGCATATGGCTAGCCAGTTCTCCCAGCACCATTTATTAAATAGGGACTCCTTTCCCCATTGCTTGTTTTTGTTAAGTTTGTCAAAGATTAGATGGCTGTAGATGTGTGGTCTTATTTCTGAGTTCTCTATTCTGTTCTGTTGGTCTATGTGTCTGTTTTGTACCAGTATCATGCTGTTTTGGTTACTGTAGCCTTGTAGTATAGTTCGAAGTCAGGTAGCATGATGCCTCCAGCTTTGTTCTTTTTGCTTAGAATTATCTTGGGTATACAGGCTCTTTTTCGGTTCCATATGAATTTCAAAATAGTTTTTTATAATTCTGTGAAGAATGTTAATGGTAGTATGGGAATAGTATTGAATCTATAAATTACTTTGGGCAGTATGGCCATTTTCACTATATTGATTCTTCCTATCCATGAGCATGGAATGTTTTTCCATTTGTTTGTGTCCTCTCTGATTTCCTTGAGCAGTGGTTTGTAGTTCTTCTTGAAGAGGTCCTTCACTTACCTTGTTAGCTGCATTCCTGGATATTTTATTCTTTTTGTAGTAATTGTGAAAGGGAGTTCATTCATGATTTGGCTCTCTGCTTCTCTATTGTTGCTATATAGGAATGCTTGTTATTTTTGCGCATTGATTTTGTGTCCTGAGACTTTGCTAAATTTGCTTATCAGCTTAAGAAGCTTTTGGGTTGAGACAATGGGGTTTTTCTAGATATAGGATCATGTCATCTGCAAACAAAGACAATTTGACTTCCTCTTTTCCTATCTGAATACCCTTTATTTCTTTCTCTTGCCTGATTGCCCTGGCCAGAACTTCCAATACCGTGTTGAATAAGAGTAGTGAGAGAGGGCATCCTTGTCTTGTGCTGGTTTTCAAGGGGAATGCTTCCAGCTTTTGCCCATTCAATATGATGTTGGCTGTGGGTTTCACATACTTATTTTTTCATAGTGGGAACACTTAAAATCTCCTTTCTTAGCAATTTTCAATTATACAATATGTTATTATTAACTATAGTTACCATGATGTACAGTAGATCTCCTGAACTTATTCTTCCTGAAATTTTGTATCCGTTATCTCCCCTGACACTCTGTGTGTGCTTTGAATCTCACCCCTGGGTGGAGGCAGTTTTCATGGCATGCATCCTACCTGGCAGGCTAAGGTTCAATAAGCTTAAACTTTCTTTTTTCTTTTTTTTTTTTTTGAGACGGAGTTTTGCACTTGTCGCACAAGCTGGAGTGCAGTGGTGTGATCTCGGCTCACAGCAACCTCTGCCTCCTGGGTTCAAGCAATTCTCCTGCCTCAGCCTCCAGAGTAGCTGGGGTTACAGATGCCTGCCACCATGCCCAGCTAATTTTTGTATTTTTCGTAGAGATGGGGTTTCACCATGTTGGCCAGGCTGATCTTGAACTCCTGACCTCAGGTGATCCGCCCACCTTGGCGTCCCAAAGTGCTGGGATTACAGGCATGAGCCACCATGCCTGGCCAGTTCAAACTTTCTATAAGAGAAGATGTGAATCCTCCTGAGGGTTTAGATGCAGAAACTCCTGCCTGGTGCTGGTTCACCAGTGGTAGCTTCAGGGAAGGCCCGATTGTCTTTCAATATCAACAATATCAACCCAATATCTTTTCTCAGATTTTTGGGCTTTGCCCTTTGTAAATGTGCCAATCCTCTTAAAAACTGCTTATATTTTCTTCCATTCCTTTCTGTAGGGCAGATGGTGAAATAACGGGGCAGGTAAATGAACTCCAAGAATGTTAAGGTATTTCAGCACCGTTTAATGCAAAGAGCTGGGATCTGAAGGTAGCTGACTTGAGTTCATCTCTTGGCTCCATCAGTTATCTGTGTGACCTTGGACAGGCTATGAAACCTCTTTTAGTCTCTTCGTTTGCAAAATGGGGTAATTATATCCATTTTCCTAGATTCCTACCATCCATTCATTTATGTCTTTTCACCAGAGAAAGACCAAATTAATATCACAATAGATGCAGTCTACCACGCAATTCAGTTGTCCAGTCCTTGGGGGCAGGGGACTGAAAAATTGGCAGAGCAGGCTATTAATAGTTTCCAAGATAGAATTCACACCAAATGCTATACTATCCTCTGCTCCAAAAAGCAGACGTGGGTTTTCTGTCTTATTTGTTGTGATGGGTTTGTTAATTGGAGTTTTCCTTTTAGAACTGTCTAGAACTTTTCCAATTTAAGTGATTCTGAAATGACATTTCCAAAACTAACCTAAGACTTTTCTCTGCTGTCCCTAGCTTCACCTCACATCCCCATAAAAGCACACCCAGGCTTCATTACATTTACCAAGATAGACTCAAATAAATCCTACTGTAGATAAACAGCCCACAGAATTAACCATGGGTGAGTAGGCTGGCTCTAAATGTACTCTTTAAAGGGCATGCTCTTTAAGGGGAGAAACCAACCAGGGAATGGATTTGGAGATAATTTGTGTCTTGCAGGTGTGGACTGATAAGGCACACAAAAGCTCAACTTTATGATTGTAGAAAGGCAATATGCCTGTCGTCAGTGTAGCCTACATAAGCAAAGTCATTTATCAGAGCAAGATAAATTTTTCCAGTTATTTGTCAGGAGTGAAAACTAATAGGTATAATAATAATACAGTAAAATTTGTTAAGTACTTGTTGTATATATTATCTCTTGAGTCTTTAAAGCTACTGCATGTGATAGGTGTTGCTGTTCCTATTTTACAAGTGAAGAAATTAACACTCATGAGGTTTACTGATTTATCTCAGTTTCCATAGATAGGAGTTAGAGTAGTGGTTCTCAACCTGAAGGGACACTTGGGAATGTCTGAAGACAACTTTGGCTGCCACGGCTGGTGGTGGGGTGGGAGTGGGGAGGAGATACTAGTGGAATCTAGTGGGCAAAGGCCAGGAATGCTGCTAATATCTCCTATATGAAAGAATTATGTGGTTTCAGTAGTGTTGAGGTTAAGAAACCCTGAGTTGGGGAAGTGGCAACAAACCAGGTTTTTTGATTCCTAGTTCAATACTTATTTCTCTACAAGTTTTACAAGACAGTGGTGTAGTAGAACTGCTGTCAGTAGTCCTAAGTTTCTCCAGGCTGACGTTGCTCTGGCAGTACATGCTGGTGTCATCTGGAATCATTTTAATGGGTTGTTGGGTCCACTCCCATGGTTTCCTTCAGAACAGGTTGTAGGCTATTCTGAATATCACCTCTGGGTGTCTCATGACCAAAATTGGCAGTATGTGATTTTTAGGTAGTTAGAGGAAGAATCTCCTTATGATGGAGCCAAGAGGATATCTTGTGGAGAAAAATGAACTGGAAGTTAAGAAAAAAATCTCATTTTGCCCACCCATGTAAATAATAATTATCCATATATACAGTGCTTTATCATTTTCAAAGCACGTTCATATTCCTTCAGCAAATATTTGTTGAGGAGAAAAAAAGTGCCAGGTTCTGTTCCAGTTCTGAGCATTCAGTAGTGATGGAGACAAAGTGCCTTACTTTCTGGAGTTTTTTAATGAGAGGCAGAAAATATGCACAATAAAACAAGTAAGTATCAAAATACCAGGGAAGGTAAGTGCTATAGAAAACAATAAAGCAGAGGAAGGAAACTAGGGAGTATGGTGTTGCCATTTCACATAGGAGGGCAGGAAAGGTCTAACAGTATTTTTGCATAGACATGAGAACAGGAGGCAGGGAATCATCTGGATATCAGGGGGAGGAGGGTTCTGGGAAGAAAGAACAGCAAAAGCTCTGTGATTGGTGTGTGCTTGAGTGCCAGTTTAAGGAACAGCAAAGAGACCAGTGTGGGTGAAGTGAAGTGGGCAAGGGGGCAACTGTGAGGAGAGGGGCCATAGAGCTAGCAGCAGATGGACCTTGAAGCCACTGGGGGACTTTGGGTTTAACTCTGATTGAGATGGGGAGCTATGGAAGAGTTGTGAGCAGCGGAATGACATGATCAATCATAGTGCCATGATTGCACATAGTAGATCAGTCCGGCTGCTGTGTTGAGAACAAACTAGAGGAGTCTAGGTTTACAGTCAGGAAACCAGTTCCAAGGCTACTGTATCAATCCAAAGAAGAAACAATAGTGGTTGAAACCAGAGATGTAGCATTGGAGGTAGGTATATTTTGATGGTTGAGCCAACAAGATTTGCAGCATATATGGAGTATGAGATAAAGAGAGGGGAAAGAGATGGCGCCCAGGATTTTGGCCTGAGCAATTTTCCCATTTGAGATGGTGAGTCTGTAGGAGAAGCAGATTTGATGTGCAACATCAGGAAGTCTGTTTAAATGTGTTAGTGTAAGGTGCTTATTAGACATTAGTGGAGATGTTGAGTTATATTGCATGGCATATAGCATATCCAATGTTATAGCATATCTCTCTTTGATCAAAAGCCAGGATTTAATTAACATGACCATTGCTACAACATGATGGAACTGGGGTGAAATAGTACTTTATGTGATTCCAACACCAATGTCCTTCTACTGACAGAGAATTCTAGATATGAGTCAGTATATGGAAAGAATACCATACCTTCAAATACCTTCAGTTTCTAACAACTGTCTTTAAACCATGCTTCTCTGTGACCTTCCCTAAAAAGCAAGGAGTGGTCACATTGGGACAAAGGCACAGGTCACATCCAAATAAGACAACTTGATTCCTAAAGACTGCAGTGTGCATATGATTAACCAAGTTCCATATTGAACCCTTTATGTTTTACACATGTGAGTCCCTTGGTTTTCAGTGGCTGTCTTGCAAACAACATGCAGTTGAATTTTGAATTTAGATCTTATCTAAGAATGTATGTCTTTTAAAGAGGAGCATAGAACCTCATCACATTGATTGTGATTATGGAATGTTAGTTCTTACTGCTATCCTATTTTAGGTCTTTCTTTGTATATGCCTCCTTGACATTTCCCCCTTTTCCTTTTAAAATCTTGAGTCACTTTTTCATGTTTCTTTTGATCTTTTCCCTCCAGTGAACATATTCTATTTTTTTCCAACTAGTAGCTACCTTTAACTTAAATACATATTGAGTCTAAATTTCCTTATTTACATCAAGAATAAAACAGCATCTATTGCCTCTTCCCTTGTGAGATGAGATAATTTAACTTCCTTTACTTTCTTTGGCTGCTGAACCATTTCAAGGTTTTGGCCTAAGAAATCACAGACTAAGAGCATATGAGGCTCTTATTTTGCAAGAGGGGGAAACTGAGGCCCAGAGAAGTAAAAAGATTTACTTCTTCTGAAAAGCCCCATGTTCTGAAGAGAAGAATTGGAGAGCTAGACCCAGACACAGGGCATCTAGTCTATCCTTCACTGTCAGCTTGGACAATACTCAAACAGCCCTTAAAACTCTCAGACAGATGAGAAAATATGCTAGGTTTAGAGACTTAAAGAAAATGGATTTCTCAATTCATTGAATTTAGATCTCATCTAATTCTAATTCATCGTAGAAGTTTAAAAGCTTTTCAGGAAATTCTTCCATCTCTATAATAAATTTTTTTTTAGCCTATGTTCTATTAATCTTTCTGTTCATGACGGAAAGCCTTTTGCTTAATAATATCCCCTCAAATATTTGAAGACTATTCTTAAGTCTCCCCATAGACTCCTTTTCTCCAGAGTAAATAATCTAAATTCCTTTAAACTTTTCTCATAAATTCTTCTTCCCATTCTTTTATTAATCTTTATCACTTTCTTCATTTTTTTTCTATCTTGTGAAGCCAGGAGAGAACAAAGTACTATGATACTGATTGTATAGTTCACACCAAACTGTGAGTTGAGGGTGGGGGCCACTTCCTATTCAACTTTGTATTCCTAGATCAGAGGTCGGCAATTTTTTTTTTTTTTTTTCCTGAGGAGAGCCAGAGAGTAAATATTTTAGACTTGGCAGGCTGAGAGGCAATGTATTCTTTGAGCGACTATTCTCTCCAAAAGGCTAATACTCTGTTTTATATTTTATATTAAAAATGTACGAATCATTCTTAGCTCAAGGGCCATGCAAAAATAGTGTGGCTGGTGGGCTGCTGTAGATTACTGAGCTTTGCCTTAAATTTTAGCACAATACGTGGAGCATAGAAGGCATTTGATAAAGTTTGCTGAATAAAAGAATGCATGCATCTATGAAGATATTTCCATAGCTTGTCTTTTATATTCTTGTTAACACTTCTATGATGTTGCTGACTCAATGAGCTTGTCCACTAAGATCTCCAGATCTTCTTCTGTCATACATACATGGCCAGCGCTTTTGCATGCTGTTTGTACCTGGGAAGTTTTGTTGTTCTTCCCTTAATCTAAGCTGCAGTAGGGGTTCTCTATTAACCTTCATTTGCTGGTGGCTTTGGATCTCACCTTTAATTTAGTGAGGCTGTTTTGAACTTTTGTTTTTCCAGTGTATTCAGCAGCTGTCCTAGTTAGAAGTCATCTGTGAACTCAACAAGTAAGCCCAGGCAACTGATAAAACCAAAATGCTGGACCCAGTTTAACTCCTCAACTGGGGCTCCCAGCTCTGTTTTCATTCTTATGGCTTCCACCTGCCTTGTAGGGATGGGGGAGCTCATTTCTACTTATTGTTCTGGAATAGATTGGAAGGAATCAGACAGGTTCACAGAGAAGGCTGGCACTAACGACAGAAGGAAAAAACCCTTCCTTTCTTTCTTCTTAGTCTTTGGGCCTGTAGAGAACACTTGTCACAGCCTGAGGGAGAGCTCTGTATTAGAAGAATTTCCATTCTGAGTTGAATTTGGATGAAGCAGTCTTGAGCATCACAAATCCATAGCGTCAGGAAGATGGAGCTGCTTTACAGAATGCCTAGAGGCTGACCCCTGAGACTGAGCACATCCTCCTGCCACTGTCTCTTTGTCCCCACCCCAGTTTCAGTTGAATTAATTAATAGGTGCGCAGAGACTTTTCTGATCAAAGTCCCCTATTTAGCTGCAATGATCTTATGTGGGTACCTGTTATCTCTCTCCACTAGGGTCCAGTCAACAAGAAGCCATGTCTCTTCATTCCTCTGCATCCTGCCTTGGTACACAAAGGGGCGATTAGAGTTAGCCAGATGTGATGTCAAGGCTGATGGGAAACAAGGCAGGGAACATTTCTTTTCCTCCAAGCTCCTGACTAGCTGTTAGGTGGTTACAACTTTCAATCTGAGGGAACTGGGAAAAGCTTTACCCTGGTTCCCTAGAGGTGAAATATGTTACCTATAGCCCATTATATCCACTCTCGCTCCTCTCTGCTCCCCTCCCCTCTGTGTGGCTGAAATTGCTGTGATTGCTACCATTTAAAATGTCCTGGAAAGCTGCATTTATTTACAATTGCTTCCTTCTTAAACAGGTGGGGGAAGTTGCAAAATAGCTAACCCAGTGGTGGATCAATCTTTAACATTTCTTTCAAATGTGGAAGGAAAGAAGATGATGACAATTTTAAGGGTCTATTAGGTGGAAATGATCTACGAGGGATGGCGGACAGCTGAAGGTCACAAATCAGGCACTGCCTCTGGCTCAGTGATTCAGAAGAATAGTGGAATGGGAAGTGTGTTCCTGAGTTTTATCAGAGTCCAAGTTTAGGAATTTATCAACGTGTGCCTGGGATTTGCTGTAATGAGCCTCTTCACTCCTCTCATAAAACAAACCGGTGTCTGATTAAAGCTGGCGGGCCTTCCTTGGATATAGAAATGAATTCATTTAGAATTTTGGGAAAAACATCATGTCTTTGTCTGGCTTAACTGAAAAATAGCCTCATTGGTATGTGGGGATCATGCTTATTCCCCACCTGGTTAAAAGATAATGTCAATGCCATTGAATTTTCATATTTTCTATCAATAATGTTTGGAGAGCCTCTTTCAAGGTGTTTTCAATTCTATACTTTCTCTTTTTCTATTTTTGTCAGCGATTTTTCTTTACCCCGTGTAGGGTCAGGATGGACTCAGCTATGCTGCAGTAGCAGAAATACTTTGAAATCTCACTACCCAAAGACAATAAAGGTTTATTTCATTCTTATACATGTCCATCACATTCTGCATGGCTACCCTCCACGTCGTTTTCTCTCAGTGACCCCACCACCAAGAGCAGGGTTTGGCAAACTTTTTCTGTAAAGGGTCAGACAGCACAGTACACAGCTTTGCTGGCCATGTGGTTTCTATTGCAGCTGCTTAACTGCCATTATAGCATGGAAACAGCTGCAATGTGTAAAGAGATAGGCATGGCTGTGTTCCAATAAAATTTTATTTATAAAAACTGACAGAGGACTGGATTTGGTCTGCAGGGAGTGTAGTTTGCCCACCTTGTGGTGGCAAGGGGAAGGAAATGTGGTGAATTTTGCAGCGCTTCTTTAAATCTTAACTTCCACTCACATTTTATTGGCCACAGCAAGCCACAGGGCCACATCTAACTTCATGGAGGTACAGAAAGTGCAGTGCTCATTTGTGCCCAGAAGGAGGAGAACCAGAAACATTGGTGGACAGCACCATTGAAGACACATTCCTTTCCTATTCTTTTTAGAAAAGTCTGGTATTTCTAGATTAGCACTTCTTCAAAAAGCATCCATTAACTGCAGTCTACATGTTTTACAACTCAGTTGCTGTGATCGGAACTAAACAAATTTAGGAGATGAACAGGATCAAATTTCCAGGAGTCATTCTAAATAGTAAGTATGTGACTTCTTTTGACAGAGTCTCGCTCTGTCGCTCAGGCTGGAGTGCAGTGGCGCGATCTTGGTTCACTGCAACCTCTGCCTCCTGGGTTCTAAGCAATTCTCCTGCTTCAGCCTCTGGAGTAGCTGGGATTACAGGCACGTTCCACCATGGCCGGCTGATTTTTGTATTTTTAGTAGAGACAGGGTTTCACCAAGTTGCCCAGACTGGTCTCAAACTCCTGACCTCAGGTGATCCACTCGCTTCGGCCTCCCAAAGTGCTGAGATTATAGGTGTGAGCCACTGTGCCCGGCCGTGACATTTCTTTTCTTCAGACCACCAAAGTTCTGTTTGGGTCCCTGAACTGTTCTGGTGAGATTAGTTTCAGCCATCCAACTCATTCTCAGGTGTTTAGATTTCTGGTTAGATTTCTGAATCCAGACAGTGACCATATCCTCCCTTGCCTGTTTTTGTTTTTTGTTTTTCCTTATAAGTCACAGACATCTTGCACTCTCTCATCCTTCACTAGGATAGGACTGAGCCTGGGTCTTGCAGACCACATTGGGGATGGGCAAACTCTTTCTGTATTCCCAGGGGAGACAGCAGTTCCCACCCATGTGCCTCTGGAGCCTTCCCTTGTCTTTTAGCATCCATTTCGTTATCTCCAGGTTTGCATATTAGGAAAGGAGATTTCACTTCATCCAGAAGAGGGCACTATGCACCAAGTCTAGAATATTCAGTTCCTTCCAGTGGAGGCACAAATTATGGGATTAATGAAACCCATATTCAAACCCTGAAACTATAGCACCTATCATAAAACACAAACCAAAATACCACATTAAGAATGTACTCTACAAAAAGAGGAAAACAATGCAATTTCTTAGCAACTTGTACATTTCAGAAGGTACAAACTGCTTTGTTAAATCAACCAAACAATTTTAGGGGGTGCTCCTCTTCCTTTCTTACTGACTTAGGCTCTTTGAACCAAAGCCTGCCCTACAGTTGGCCACTTACACGATGTCCTTAGAGCCTTGGGGGCCAAGGCTGCAGGTTTGGTCCTGTTGAAAACAGAATAACTTGCTTCTTTCAGGCATCTTCTTCCATTAGGGAGTGAATAACATGTCAGAGAAACTTCATGCCAAATGCAGGCGAAAAATGAAATACAATAATTCCCTATGTGCTAAAATGGAAGATGCCAGTGTTTTATAATATGGAGAAAGTTTGAATGGGGAACTTAGTGATTATACACTTTTTGTCCCATTCTCTCGGTCCATTTGTACTTAAGCATCATCTCTCTGTGGTGTGTTCTTAAGAGAATCACCCAGACCCTCCCCCAACCTTTTTTTTTTTTTTTTTTTGCTGCAACTTCCTACTTAGCTGCTAAGCGTTCTCCTTGAATCTTGACTATGACTATCACGTTACTGAGCCCTCCCTGCTTCAGTTTTCTTGTGTGTAAAACAGGCATAATTATAGTGCTTATCTCTGAAGATGTCATGAGATTTTTATTATCATGCATTCTTTTGTTGTCTCTTCTCAAAAGTTTGCAGACTGTTTTAACCTCTACTATACTTTTTTTTTTTTTTTTTTTTTACAATGCTGCCATGTAACTGTCTCTGGAGTAAATTTATTCTCAGGCATATTATTTATCAATCAAACATAAGATATTAAATATTTAAAGGCAACTCTCTGATGGTATCCTTCTCTTGGGGTGAGGTATATACAGACTTTTCCCAATTAGTCTTTTTATTATCACACAGAGCACTCAATATATGCTTCATGGCCTATGAAACCTCTCCAGTGGATTTTCCCTGAAATGCTATCCCTTGGAATTTTATCCCCTTTCTCTGGTTAAGTTCCTGGATTAAGTCAGGTAAAAAAAGATATTAGTAAGATTACATTAACAGCAGATGACATTAATTTGCTACTTTCCATGTTCTAGGCACTATGCTAAGGACTTTATGTATATTGGTTTATTTAATCCTCATCAAACTCTTATGCAGTATCTCAATTTTACAGATGAGGAAACTGAGGGTGAAAGAAGTCTAGCAACTTGGCACAAATCACACAACTAGAAAGTGGCAGGAGAAGCTGGTCCTGCTCATGGTACATTGACTTCCGCCCTACACTAGATTTTCCTAAAATGTGTTTCCCTGAGGAGAAAATCAATATGCAAAAACAGAACTCTGTCCCACAATCTGCAGCAACCAGCCTTGGAAACTAATCTGTTATTTTTAGTAACTAGCCCAGGAAGTCAGCCTGCTATCTCTAAATCAACTTGCAGGAAGTCTGACCGCTGTTTCTAGAAACTGGTCCAGGAAGCCAAACAATAACTCCTGTAGCCGTTGGCCCCAAATTGCCAAGCTTGATTAACAACTGACAGTATCTCTAATTTTTGTCCTTGTTTCCAATTTATAAATATCCAGAGTAAGCCAAATATGTCCCATACCCATCAGGTAGGATGCCCCGCTTGTAGTTAGCCTGCCTCCAGCTTCCCCAGGCCAACAAGCCTCCAAACAGGGCACACCTGAAGCCTTCCCTTTTCTCCATGATGAAGCTTTCTCACTCCTCTGCCTTTGAGTCTTTGCCAAATGCAAGTGATAGTGGCTGGTTCCCTTGCTATATAACAAGCTCTGAATGAATAAGGAGGCTTTGCTTGTTCTTGTTTGGTTGGTTTTCATTTGTTGCCACATTGGTCACCATGTATTTTCTTTGGTCTATGCTGAATCTCTTTCATGTCCCACATCAATCTACCTACTATGCTGATTTATGTGGTTTCATGTTAGAATAGTCTTTTTTTTTTTTTGTATTTGGGTTGACATTTCAACTGCAGAGAATTCTCAGTCTTTCTGTCTAAAATTGCTCATGTACAAACTTAAATCACGATGACTTCATCCACTGATGAATTGTGTTTCTATAGCTTTAGCTACTTCTGTTCCAATTTGCTATTACAGTTGCCTGTCCACTGCTTCTCTCAAATGTTCACTTTGGTTCAGTGTCTACTTTGGTCATTAGATAATGCCTTCACCTTTGCTGCTAGAGAGAGGATTTTTAGACATCTGACAGGCATTTTTAAGAAAGAAAGCAACTTCGGTCCTGAGCACTGCAGATCTTCCCCACTGCTCAGAAATCTTCTGTATTGTGGCTGCTTCCTTTGTCACATGACTAAAGCCTGTCCCTTCTGTCCTGCTCCAGGGATTAAAAACAGTCCAGCTGCTGTTCAGTCTGGGATTTTCATGTCCAACTAGTTCACGTGTCTTCCAATACCATGGGTTGAAAAATAAACGTAGTGTAATTCTGTGCAGGTTGCATCTCAGCTAGAAAGTGTGGATTTAGTCCTAAATTGTATTATTTGTCAGGGTAGTTGGGCTTCACTCTGGGTTATGCAAGAGCTGGTTGTATAGCCTGGACCACTTCATGGACACTTATTGTGTGTCAGGGATTGTATTAGAGAATAAGGAAACAAAGATGTATGAGACTCTGCTTCCTAGGTAGAGAGACAGGCCATGCACAGAAAAGATAGGCTATAACACAAGGTCTTCTACTCTAAGTGTGACATTAGCTACTTCTCTTGTTGGCGCCAACAACAACTGGGTCTTATCCAGTACTAGCACTTGTTTCAGTGTAGCGCAGTGCAGTTGAAGGCACGTTTCTATTTAGCTCACTGAACTGTGATCCCTTGATAACAGGGACTGACTCTTGTCTACCTGCTGTGTTGCCAACAATCTAGCCGGTACCTCATTCATAGTAGGCAGGTTGACGGTCTGAGCTATTTGATCAAAAAGAAGTTCAAGTCGCAGCTCTTTTACATATTAATTATGAGAACTAGGGCAAGTTAGCCTTTCTAAGGTGCTGTGATTTCATCTGTAAAATGGGGACAATAATAATTACTGCAACCCACTCTACCTCATCGATCATTTCCACATCATTGGCATGTATTACACACTCAATATCTTCTGCTATAATTATGAATTCAATTACCTTGAAATTCCAGTGATACAGATGACACATACTTAGAGTTGAGAGGAAGGAAGGATTGCTAAATCACATCCTGAAAATTGGGTGTTATTCTGGGGTGGAAGCCAATTGAACCCATTCCAATGTTACATGGCACGAGCACAAGCCATAATGTTATGTAGTGCTTCTGAATGGCACACGGTAAAATAAAAGCTCTTGCTAATGATAGGGGCATGAAGAACATGAATTCGTTACTTAAAATAGGAATGGAAACATTTGGGCATGCCCATTTCACATCAAGAGTACTGGCAATTCATCCATCCACAGATGCATGGCAGAATCCTGATTTATTTATCAGTGCTTCAGAAGAAAGGTCTTGGTTGTGGGGAGAGTTGAATAAAGAAGTTGATGGATTCTAAGGAAGGGAAGAATTTAGTTAAATACATTTTGTAGGGAGAGAAAACTGGGAGGGGCTCTAAGCTTAAATGCTCCCATTTCACATATCAATGCTGTGAATCTCAATTTCCCCAAATGAGGCTAATGCTATGTGAGAATTGAATGGGGTAACAAATGTGAATGTACCAGTGCAATGCCTAATATTTCTTGAATACTAGAAATAGTCGAATATTATTTTTCTTTTTCATTCTTTTGTGATAGAAATGGTAACACTGGGAATTGTGCAGTATACTAGGGC